>NC_000011.10:115960303-116263333 GCF_000001405.40 Homo sapiens
TGTCTCAGGGTAGCTAAGACAGAAGAAAATCCATGTATAAGTGGGCCCACACAGCTCACAGCTCAAGCCCTTATTGTTCAAGGGTCAACTCTGTATGTGTGTGTGTGTGTGCGTGTGTGTGTGTGCGTGTGTGTGTGTGTAAATATAAAGTTTTTTTGGTAAACAGTTGCTAGTTCAAATATGATTTTATTCACAAATTATTCTGGGGTTTAGATTTTTCCTGCTGCCTTCTTTGGATTAATAGTGTCTTTTGAAAAATCTCTGACATACCAGGGGCTGGAGAGATTTTCTGGTTCCTCTCTAAGCTAATGAAAATTTCTTTTCTATTTTCAAAAAGAAAAATGGTGATAATAACAACTCATCTTCATTGATAACTTAGTGTGTGCTGGACATCATGCCAAACATGTAACGTAAGCTATTTTAGTAATCCTTGTGATATATGTATGTCATCCTTATTTTGCAAAAGCTCAGAGAGGTTAAGGAACTTGTCTAAGACCACACAGGTAGCAAGGAGGGAAGCACAGAAGGAGGTCCTGGCCATTCTCTTCATAGCTTCAGAGAACCTTCTCTCCTGCACCTTCTCCTTGGTCCCTGGTTTTAATGTTTGGCAACACTGACTGCCAAGAAATCCATCGCATCTGGTAATGACATGGAAGAGTGGAGACAGGACACTGGCCTCAAGGCCAAGTCCATGTTTCCAGCCCTGACTCTATGACCTCCTGCCAAAACAAACAAACAGAAAAAGAAAAAAAAAACTTAATAAGCTTTCCAAACCTCTTTTATCCTCTTCACAAAATTACTATAAAAATGAAGAAGATAATATTCATGAAAATACTCTGAAAATTATAAAGCACTGTAGGAATATTTAGTATCATGTTTCGTTTTGACACTGGCCAAGACAGAGACCAGAGTTACCTCTATGCATGGAATAAGTTCCTTCATCCCTTAGCAATGCCTGCATCTCCTCCATCAGCCCTGCCGCTGCAACGGAGGTGTGAGTGTTAAGCTTCCCCTGGCACCGATCTCTGCAGCAATCTCCAGCTCCTTTCCTCCCAAGGCTCCCTCTGGACTTAGAGGAGGCCGGAATGGCTGAGTCAGCTGCATTTCCTTCTGTCTCAGGGATCCCTTAAACCTGTTACTGAAATTGGCTCCGTGGTACCTGCAGGTTTGCTTGCCATCCAGCAAGTCCCCTGGGGTGGCCCCATTAATCACATTTGCTCTCTTTCCCCTCTCCAGCTGGCTCTGAGGACAGCAGGTAGGTGTGTGGAGCCTCTGTGTGTAGGTGTGCGTATGAATTCGTTTGTCCCCTGGGAGCAGCTGGAGACTAAGTTTCCCTGCAATAAAAGTGAGTTAGTTGCTTCTTTCCTGATAACCATAATCCATTCCACTTCTTCCAAGGAAATGACAGGCCCCCAGGTGATGCATCCCCATGACTGGGAGAAATTGGCTATTTTAGTCCTCTTCGAACATGGAGCAAGTTCTTGGAGCTGTCCTGCGGCAGCCTGCCAGGCCTTTCTGCTATTAAGAACACCCTATTCTAGTTTATTCCCTGGTTTCTGGGCTCCCCACAATGATCTATATGAGTTTCAGAGCTCAGGAGACACCCTGCACTGCTCTGCCTGCAAGCTGGGCCATTCTTGGAGGTGGGATATACCAGAGCTTTTCAAACGTCTCCACCCAGCAAAGTTCCCTCTGGCAGAGGAGCCTGAGAGTGTCCTCCAGGGAGGCTGGGGGCAGCGCCTGAAGCAGCCCCACCACAGCACATCTCTTTGAAGTCTTATGTTTTATCTCAGGAATTCACGTGAATTCTGCATTCTATTCCATAATACATATGTTTGTTTTAATATAAAAATGTTTTAACCCCAAATCTTCAAATAAAATCAATGCCCCAGGAAGATATAACTTGTTTATTCTATACCTTTAAACTGCCTAGTTTGCCACTGCATGCCCCCAGGGGTACAAGTACTCTAGTTAGAGAAGCAGTTGCAATAAGGGCGACAACCAAAAAAGTGTAAGTCTTCACAACTTCCCCTCCCCAGTCTTCTGGAAAAGATCTAAGTCTACCTGCTTAGTTGTCATGTCTGTTGTTCTGGACACTAGAAGAATGGGGAGAGATGAAGAACTGAGGAAGATGCAGAGGCAATACTGATCCACAATGTCTGGAAGCTTCAAAATGCTTGTTGAATGAATATTTTTCCTTCCTGCTTTAGCTCAGTCTCATCATCGAGAATCAAGTCCTAATCAGGCAGTCTTTGTCTCAGTTCCTAACCCTACTCCAGCAGGTTATGAAGGTTAACAGCATGAACATCTTTATTATTTATCTGTATATTATTTGTACCAGCCTCGGAGAATGAAAGGTACCTTCCTTCTGAGATAGGTTGTTCTTAGCCGATGTGACCCTGAGAAATTTGGGAGAAAACAACAGTTTTGTTTCGTTTTGTTTTTTTCATTCTAATTGTCTCAAGGGGAAGTCCAGTTAAGAAGAAAACTGATATTGGGATTGAGTATACCAAAGAAGAGAAGTCCAGGGACTTTAAAAAACAAAAATGGGGAGAATCGATTTGGCTGAGAGGAAGCCTTTTGGCTGATTCAGGGGATTTAATCTGGATTGGACAAGTAGATCTAGCTGATCACTGGAGAAAGTCCCCAGAAGCCAGACGACTCTACTTAAAACAATTCAGAGGCATCTCTGCCCGGAGGTGGGGGCTTGTCCGGGTGACACGCTGCAGCCTCCTCTGCTTCCCTCGCTCTGTCTCCACTACCCAGGATAGTCCCCAAAAGGTACAACTATAGGCGAGATAAACGATCGGGCGCAAAGGCACAACCTAATATAATATTTGCAGTATTTCTCAGACAGACAAGGGAAACATCCAGCTCTGTGATTTTGCTTGATACAACAAAGCCAAACCTTCATCACACAAACGTACAAGGAAGCCAAGAGCGAGAGAGCTGTAAACATCTCAGAGCAGCTCTGCAGACAGCCCCGTATGGAGACACATTTCAATGGGGGTGGCAGGGGTGGGGAGGAAAGATGAAGCTTGCCAAGTCACAGGCACTCTGATTTGCAGGGAGCGTAGCATGGATATTTCAAATCATTTCCTTTTCGTTAGTACCTAATCCCCCAGCTGTTCTCCGAGCATTGGCTCAAATGCTGGAAAACAGTCAGCCTCAAATGTAAAAGCCACAGGGCTCCTTTAAATTATGTTGTCTTGCTACATTGATATATCATGTCAACCCAAACTTGTGGTGTATGGCTTCTGGGAAAAGGCAATTTTGTCTGATGATGAATTTAAAGGAAAATGAGCCATTTTTATCAAGGTCACTTAAAATTAAAACAGTGTCAGTCTGGTCCTATGTGAGGATTTTGATGTACTGGAGGGAGGTTATTTCACAGCTACTGTCCCTGATCTCTCCTGCATCTCTCTGGGCTCTGGGGTCTGAAAAGACTAGGAGCTGATGGGGAAGTAGAGGCCTCCTGCTTCAGGGAAGTAGAGCCGGTGTCTCGCACCAGAGCCCCAGATGGAACTCTGTCCCATTCACATTAATTGAATCCAGTACTTTGAACTCTTACATATGCCTGTTCATATAAATTAACTCATTTAGCCACATGAAGCACACTGTATTGTCCCCATGTTTTTTTCTGATGTGGAAACTGAGGCTCAAATGGGTGAAGCAACTTGCCCAAAGATGCTGTGCTAAAATGCTACAAAACCAGGATTGGAATGAAGGCTTCCAGTGTCAAAGCTCGGGCTCTTTCTATTCCAACAGGAGTTCTCATTCTACATTCATGTATTCATTTACTCCTTTATTTACATGCTCAACAAACATGCATTGGGCATTTACTGTGTGCCAGGCACTAGGGACACAAGGATGACTTAGGCATGGTCCCTGCACTAAAAGATTGCAGAATCTAGTGGAACTCACAGTCTAGTCTTGCAATATTTATTCAACAAATATTTAACATTTAGTAGAACAAACAGCTGGCCTGATTGAGCACAGTTCTTAAGCAGCTGTTTCATGTCCCATAGTTGTCCTCGCTATTGTTTTAGAAGTGAGTGGGTGGCATCCCGTTCCCCTTACTCAACAGGCAGTGCTAACTATGGTCCATGCCCAGGAAGGCCTTGTCTCTGATTCATTAGGTCATGAGCCTTAGACATTGTATTTTTTAGAAGCTCTACAGATGGAGTCATTACCAGCTGAAAACCCAAGCTTTGGGGTTTCACAAACCCAAGCTTTGGGGAGGCACACTCCTTTGGGGATGTAAGTGTAATTTTGCTTCCCTGATTTTCATCTTTTATTTGGGGCCTGGAAAATTAATAAAGCAGACTTTCCCCCATGTTTCATTATTTCTTGGATTATCATATTAAGCAGACCCTCAGTCCTACACTAGACATTAGTGGGCTAATGTTGCACATTTGTCAGTGGTTGAGAATCACTCCTTTGAAACTACCATTATTTAATTGGCTGAATATTCATCATAGCTCCTTCCCTACCCCATTTCCCCTTCTGAAGACACCCTCTAAAGCAGTGATCCCCGACCTTTTAGGCATCGGGGGCTGGTTTGTCAGTCTGAGACAAACCAGTGGAAGACAATTTTTCCATGGATCCAGGTGGCAGGGGGTGGTTTTGGGGTGAAACTGTTTCACCTCAGATCATCAGGCATTAGTTAGGTTCTCATAAGGAGTGTGTAACCTAGATCCCTCACATGCACAGTTCACAATGGAATTTGTGCTCCTATGAGAATCTGACAGGAGGCAGAGCTCAGGCAGTAATGCTTGCTCACCACTCATCTCCTGCTGTGCGGCCTGGTTCCTAACAGGCCACAGACTGGGGACCCTGCTATAAAGGACTTCATCCTTCACCTCCCACTACTTTGGAAAATGTCACTGATGCTGCCTCCTAGCCTCCCCTAGCAGCCTTGTTCATTCGGTGGTGCCACACCTTTGCCACAACTCTGCACCTGTTCTCTGTCCCCTTGCCTCATTGTCGTGCCTCTCAGGCCACTCTCACCTGGTGAACACTCACCAGTACCATAGGCCCTCTTTATTCAGGCCTGATTCCTCAAACCCAAGGCCAAGCTTAGCTCAGGGGGAGGTCAGAAAACTTTCTGAGACCAGGATAATAATGAAAAGAAAAAGAAAAAAAGGATAATGGTGAAAATGTTCTCTTTTTTCACCCCATGCACACATATTTTGGTGCTTAGGATCATTTATCCCAGGCCTTCTGCATTCATCTCCCCCTTTCTCTTCCTCCTCTTTTTCCTTTTTAAATTGTACCCAT
Organism: Homo sapiens; assembly: GCF_000001405.40. Taxonomy (NCBI): domain Eukaryota; kingdom Metazoa; phylum Chordata; class Mammalia; order Primates; family Hominidae; genus Homo; species Homo sapiens. The sequence goes on from NC_000011.10 coordinate 115,965,584, forward strand.
CACTTAATCCAAAACAAAATCATCTGGAAATAAAAACAGAATCTAGGAAATATAAGTCCAATGACTTTGTTCATTGCTTTTATTTTGTAGCCAATACAAGTGAAGCCAGAAAGGGAAAGTGCTTTTCCCAAAGGCACACAGCTTCCCAGTGTCAGTAGGTAGAACTGGAGCCCGGAGTATCTAAGTTAGGACCTCGTGTTTGTGTCAAGCCCTATCCTTAACACACTCCTCCAGATGGCAGAGGCTGCCAGCTCCCTCTCATGCCACTCAGCCAAATACCAGGACAACTTCCGTGGTAGAACCAAGTAGCAGACAAGTTCCATGGTGGGTTAGGCCTGAAGTGCAGCCAGGCAGCCAGCAGAGTGTCAGCCAGCTGGCCAGGGGGTCATTAGCATTCAGGAAATATGACAAGCCTCTGCTCCCTGTCTACTGCCATGCAGCATGCGTCACATGACATGACAGGAGTGGCCCTGGTTTAAGAAGGGAATCAAAGGCAGGGCCATCTCCACAGCTGCAGGTTAATAGTGGACGAATTACACACTTGGAAAACAGTTTTCCCCTCGATGCATTATCTGGACCATTTCAAAGCCCTTTGTCTGGGCTAAGCTGGCTGTCAGTGATATTTGCAGGCCAGGGACTTGCAGAAAAGATGTATTTTCTGACAGGGAGAAGGTCACCTAGGCAGAGGCCATTACAATGAGCTGCGGTCAGGTCGGAATTTCCCAGATCCCGGTCGATGTGGTCTCAGGGCATTACTCAAGCATTGGGATTAGAGCACTGGCCAAGAAAATGCTCTTCAAATTGGTCGACAAGTTACACGCCATGGGAAAGTCACTCTCTCGTTTACCCTCAGTTCCCCAATGCTTAAAGCTGGGCCCTGGGGTCGGAAGATTTCTGCAGGTCCAAATAGGGAGCTCAGCAGATGGGGGTGCTGCTGAAGGGTGGGCTGTGTGAGGGAAGCTGGGTGAAAGAGAGAGACTGAACTTCAGCTCCAGTTTGGCCCTGAACTCACTGAATAACTGAATAGGTCACTGGGTGTCCTGGATCTCAGTTTACTCATCTATAAAGTGGGACTAATAATACTTACTGATAGACACCTTTGGTACATTACACAAAACAGATATAAAAAGTCTGAAAACTTAAAAGTGATATTGTCTTCTGAATGTAATTTCAGGAAACAAAAGCCCTTCTTTATCACTCCTTTAGATGTGTATGGGTATGAACAAAATAAGTTATATTAATAGGGGTGTCCAATATTTTGGCTTCTCTAGGCCACATTGGAAGAAGAAGAATTATCTTGGGCCACACACAAAAAATACACTAATGAGCTGTATTAAAGCTGATGAGCGAGGGGGAGGAGCCAAGATGACCGAATAGGAACAGCTCCGGTCTACAGCTCCCAGCGTGAGCCACGCAGAAAACGGGTTATTTCTGCATTTCCAACTGAGGTACCAGGTTCATCTCACTGGGGAGTGCCAGACAGTAGGTGCAGGACAGTGGGTGCAGTGCACCATGTGCGAGCCGAAGCAGGGCGAGGCATCACCTCACCCGGGAAGTGCAAGGGGTCAGGGAATTCCCTTTCCTAGTCAAAGAAAGGGGTGACAGACGGCACCTGGAAAATCAGATCACTCCCACCCTAATACTGCGTTTTTCCAACCAGCTTAAAAAACGGCACACCAGGAGATTATCTCCTGCACCTGGCTGGAGGGTCCTACGCCCACCGAGTCTCACTCATTGCCAGCACAGCAGTCTGAGATCAAACTGCAAGGCGGCAACAAGGCTGGGGGAGGGGCGCCCGCCACTGTCCAGTTAGTTGTTTGATTAGGTAAACAAAGCCGCTGGGAAGCTCTAACTGGGTGGAGCCCACCTCAGCTCAAGGAGGCCTGCCTCCCTCTGTAGGCTCCACCTCTGGGGGCAGGGCACAGACAAACAAAAAGACAGCAGTAACCTCTAAAGACTTAAATGTCCCTCTCTGACAGCTTTGAAGAGAGCAGTGGTTCTCCCAGCACGCAGCTTGAGATCTGAGAACGGGCAGACTGCCTCCTCAAGTGGGTCCCTTACCCCCGAGTAGCCTAACTGGGAGGCACCCCCCAGTAGGGACAGACTGACACCTCACACGGCCAGGTACTCCTCTGAGACAAAACTTCCAGAGGAACGATCAGGCAGCAGCATTTGCGGTTCACCAATATCCGCTGTTCTGCAGCCACCGCTGCTGGTACCCAGGCAAACAGGGTCTGGAGTGGACCTCTAGCAAACTCCAACAGACCTGCAGCTGAGGGTCCTGACTGTTAGAAGGAAAACTAACAAACAGAAAGGACATCCACACCAAAAACCCATCTGTACATCACCATCATCAAAGACCAAAGGTAGATAAAACCACAAAGATGGGAAAAAAACAGAGCAGAAAAACTGGAAACTCTAAAAATCAGAGTGCCTCTCCTCCTCCAAAGGAATGCAGCTCCTCACCAGCAATAGAACAAAGCTGGACAGAGAATGACTTTGACGAGTTGAGAGAAGAAGGATTCAGATGATCAAACTACTCCGAGCTAAAGGAGGAAATTCAAACCAATGGCAAAGAAGTTAAAAGCTTTGAAAAAAAATTAGACAAATGGCTAACTGGAATAACCAATGCAGAGAAGTCCTTAAAGGACCTGATGGAGCTGAAAACCAAGGCACGAGAGCTACATGAGGAATGCAGAAGCCTTAGTAGCCGATGCAATCAACTGGAAGAAAGGGTATCAGGGATGGAAGACAAAAGGAATGAAATGAAGCGAGAAGAGAAGTTTAGAGAAGAAAGAATAAAAAGAAATGAACAAAGCCTCCAAGAAATATGGGACTATGTGAAAAGACCAAATCTACATCTGATTGGTGTACCTGAAAGTGACAGGGTGAATGGAACCAAGTTGGAAAACACTCTGCAGGATATTATCCAGGAGAACTTCCCAATCTAGCAAGGCAGACCAACATTCAAATTCAGGAAATACAAAGAACGCCACAAAGATACTCCTTGAGAAGAGCAACTCCAAGACACATAATTGTCAGATTCACCAAAGTTGAAATGAAGGAAAAAATGTTAAGGGCAGCCAGAGAGAAAGGTCGGGTTACCCACAAAGGGAAGCCCATCAGACTAACAGCTGATCTCTCAGCAGAAACTCTACAAGCCAGAAGAGAGTGGAGGCCAATATTCAACATTCTTAAAGAAAAGAATTTTCAACCCAGAATTTCATATCCAGCCAAACTAAGCTTCATAAGTGAAGGAGAAATAAAATACTTTACAGACAAGCAAATGCTGAGAGATTTTATCACCACCAGGCCTGCCCTAAAAGAGCTCCTGAAGGAAGCACTAAACATGGAAAGGAACAACTGGTACCAGCCACTGCAAAAACGTGCCAAATTGTAAAGACCATCAAGGCTAGGAAGAAACTGCATCAACCAACAAGCAAAATAACCAACTAACATCATAATGACAGGATCAAATTCACACATAACAATATTAACTTTAAATGTAAATGGGCTAAATGCTCCAATTAAAAGACATAGACTGGCAAATTGGATAAAGAGTCAAGACCCATCTGTGTGCTGTATTCAGGAAACCCATCTCACATGTGGAGACACACATAGGCTCAAAATAAAGGGATAAAGGAAGATCTACCAAGCAAATGGAAAACAAAAAAAGGCAGGGGTTGCAATCCTAGTATCTGATAAAACAGACTTTAAACCAACAAAGATCAAAAGAGACAAAGAAGGCCATTACATAATGGTAAAGGGATCAATTCAACAAGAAGAGCTAACTCTCCTAAATATATATGCACCCAATACAGGAGCACCCAGACTCATAAAGCAAGTCCTTAGTGACCTACAAAGAGACTTAGACTCCCACACAATAATAATGGCAGACTTTAACACCCCACTGTCAACATTAGACAGATCAACGAGGCAGAAAGTTAACAAGGATACCCAGGAATTAAACTCAGCTCTGCACCAAGCAGACCTAATAGAAATCTACAGAACTCTCCACCCCAAATCAACAGAATATACATTCTTTTCAGCACCACACCACACTTACTCCAAAACTGACCACATAGTTGGAAGTAAAGCACTCCTCAGCAAATGTAAAAGAACAGAAATTATAACCAACTTTCTCTCAGACCACAGTGCAATCAAACTAGAACTCAGGACTAAGAAACTCACTCAAAACCTCTCAACTACATGGAAACTGAACAACCTGCTCCTGAATGACTACTGGGTACATAATGAAATGAAGGCAGAAATAAAGACGTTCTTTGAAACCAACGAGAACAAAGACACCACATACGAGAATCTATGGGACACATTCAAAGAAATGTGTAGAGGGAAATTTATAGCACTAAATGCCCACAAGAGAAAGCAGGAAAGATCTAAAATTGACACCCTAACATCACAATTAAAAGAACTAGAGAAGCAAGAGCACACACATTCAAAAGCTAGCAGAAGGCAAGAAATAACTAAGATCAGAGCAGAACTGAAGGAGATAGAGACACAAAACACCCTTCAAAAAATTAATGAATCCAGGAGCTGGTTTTTTTGAAAAGAACAACAAAATTGATAGACCACTAGCAAGACTAATAAAAAAAGAAAAAAGAATCAAATAGACGCAATACAAAATGATAAAGGGGATATCATCACCGATCCCACAGAAATACAAACTACCATCAGAGAATACTATGAACACCTCTACCCAAATAAACTAGAAAATCTAGAAGAAATGGATAAATTCCTTGACACATACACCCTCCCAAGATTAAACCAGGAAGAAGTTGAATCTCTGAATAGACCAATAACAGACTCTGAAATTGAGGCAATAATCAATAGCTTACCAACCAAAAAAAGTCCAGGACCAGATGGATTCACAGCCGAATTCTACCAGAGGTACAAAGAGGAGCTGGTACCATTCCTTCTGAAACTATTCCAATCAATAGAAAAAGAGGGAATCCTCTCTAACTCATTTTATGAGGCCAGCATCATCCTGATACCAAAGCCTGGCAGAGACACAACAAAAAAAGAGAATTTTAGACCAACATCCTTGATGAACATCGATGCAAAAATCCTCAATAAAATACTGGATTCGGCAAACCGAATCCAGCAGCACATCAAAAAGCTTATCCAACATGATCAAGTGGGCTTCATCCCTGGGTTGCAAGGCTGGTTCAACATACGCAAATCAATAAATGTAATCCAGCATATAAACAGAACCAAAGACAAAAACCACATGATTATCTCAATAGATGCAGAAAAGGCCTTTGACAAAACTCAACAACCCTTCATGCTAAAAACTCTCAATAAATTCGGTGTTGATGGGACATATCTCAAAATAATAAGAGCTATCTATGACAAACCCACAGCCAATATCATATTGAATGGGCCAAAACTGGAAGCATTCCCTTTGAAAACGGGCACAAGACAGGGATGCCCTCTCTCACCACTCCTATTCAACACAGTGTTGGAAGTTCTGGCCAGGGCAATCAGGCAGGAGAAGGAAATAAAGGGTATTCAATTAGGAAAAGAGGAAGTCAAATTGTCCCTGTTTGCAGATGACATAATTGTATATCCAGAAAACCCCATTGTCTCAGCCCAAAATCTCCTCAAGCTGATAAGCAACTTCAGCAAAGTCTCAGGATACAAAATCAATGTACAAAAATCACAAGCATTCTTATACACCAATAACAGACAAACAAAGAGCCAAATCATGAGTGAACTCCCATTCACAATTGCTTCAAAGAGAATAAAATACCTAGGAATCCAACTTACAAGGGATGTGAAGGACCTCTTCAAGGAGAACTACAAACCACTGCTCAATGAAATAAAAGAGGATACAAATGAATGGAAGAACATTCCATGCTCATGGGTAGGAAGAATCAATATCATGAAAATGGCCATACTGCCCAAGGTAATTTATAGATTCAATGCCATCTCCATCAAGCTACCAATGACTTTCTTCACAGAATTGGAAAAAACTGCTTTAAAGTTCCAATGGAACCAAAAAAGAGCCCGTGTCGCCAAGTCAATCCTAAGCCAAAAGAACAAAGCTGGAGGCATCATGCTACCTGACTTCAAACTATACTACAAGGCTACAGTAACCAAAACAGCATGGTACTGGTACCAAAACAGAGATATAGACCAATGGAACAGAACGCAGCCCTCAGAAATAATGCTGCATATCTACAACTATCTGATCTTTGACAAACCTGACAAAAACAAGCAATGGGGAAAGGATTCCCTATTTAATAAATAGTGCTGGGAAAACTGGCTAGACATATGTAGCAAGCTGAAACTGGATCCCTTCCAAGCTGAAACTGGATCCCTTCCTTACACCTTATACAAAAATTAATTCGAGATGGATTAAAGACTTACATGTTAGACCTAAAGCCATAAAAACCCTAGAAGAAAACCTAGGCAATACCATTCAGGACATAGGCATGGGCAAGGACTTCATGTCTAAAACACCAAAAGCAATGGCAACAAAAGCCAAAATTAACAAATGGGATCTAATTAAACTCAAGAGCTTCTGCACAGCAAAAGAAACTACCATCAGAGTGAACAGGCAGCCTACAGAATGGGAGAAAATTTTTGCAACCTACTCATCTGACAAAGGGCTAATATCCAGAATCTACAATGAACTCAAACAAATTTACAAGAAAAAAACAAACAACCCCATCAAAAAGTGGGCGAAGGATATGAACAGACACTTCTCAAAAGAAGACATTTATGCAGCCAAAAAACACATGAAAAATGCTCATCATCACTGGTCATCAGAGACATGCAAATCAAAACCACAACCAGATACCATCTCACACCAGTTAGAATGGCGGTCATTAAAAAGTCAGGAAACAACAGGTGCTGGAGAGGATGTGGAGAAATAGGAACACTTTTACACTGTTGGTGGGACTGTAAACTAGTTCAACCATTGTGGAAGTCAGTGTGGCGATTCCTCAGGGATCTAGAACTAGAAATACCATTTGACCCGGCCATCCCATTACTGGGTATATACCCAAAGGATTACAAAACATGCTGCTATAAAGACACATGCACATGTATGTTTACTGTGGCACTATTCACAATAGCAAAGACTTGGAACCAACCTAAATGTCCAACAATGATAGACTGGATTAAGAAAATGTGGCACATATACACCATGGAATACTATGCAGCCATAAAAAATGATGAGTTCATGTCCTTTGTAGGGACATGGATGAAACTAGAAACCATCATTCTCAGCAAACTGTCACAAGGACAAAAAACCAAACACCGCATGTTCTCACTCATAGGTGGGAATTGAACAATGAGAACACATGGACACAGGAAGGGGAACATCACACACCGGGGACTGCTGTGGGGTGGGATGAGTGGGGATGGATAGCGTTAGGAGATATACCTAATGCTAAATGACAAGTTAATGGGTGCAACACATCAACATAGCACATGTATACATATGTAACAAACCTGCACGTTGTGCACATGTACCCTAAAACTTAAAGTATAATAATAATAAAATAAAATAAAAAATAAAAAATAAAACAATGGGGATGTATAATAGCAAAAGAAACCCACAAAAAAAAATAAAAAAAATTTAAAAAGCTGATAAGCTAAGCAAATACATCTCATAATGTTTTAAGAAAGTTTATTAATTTGTGTTGGGCCACATTCAAAGCTGCCCTAAGCCACATGTGGCCCCCAGGCTGTAGGTTGGACAAACTTGGGTTTTAATCAGTCCTCCCAGCAATCTCACCAAATTAGTGTGAGTAAAAATAATTCAGACAAAGCTGAGAACTATGAGTGTTGCATTCAGGTGATCATTCCCAGGTACTGGCCCAGTTTTGGGAAACAGTCCATCTTGCCCATCCCATCTGCTCTGAGATGTGTGTTCCAAATGCAAGTTGACCCCAAAATCTAGCCCTGATTTTGGATGGTAGTGAAATTGGGCTAACTGACCTGTAAGATTTCTTGGTGCCAAAATGCTGCAAACCTGTGATTTTGTGGTTCAATATTAGACCCTTGATCATACAGATGTAATGAACTGCATCTGCTCTGAGAGATTTGGAATTGACTGGCTCATTAAACACCTTACAAAACACATTTGGGAACAGAGAATGCTCTGCTTTGTCCAGGATTTGTGTCCACAGGGGATAGTGGGACTCAGGTGAGAAGTGCATGCACTACCAGGTTTTTACAACCAGCCCTTTGTTCATCATGACCCTACCTCCCTAAGCCAGACCCACTGAGCTCCGCCTGCCCATGAAGGTGGACAAATGCTCACGATATGCACAGCACTGCTCCCTCATCTTCCCCGCTCCTTCTCAGCCAGCTCCACTTTGACCCAGTTCTCCAGTTCCCATCCAGTTTCTGTGACTCCAGTCACCCCTTCACTGACGTATCCCTTGTTTCTTGATGGCTATGTCAGCCTCAGGCCCTCAGCTCTCCTTCAAGATCCCGGTCTTGGATTCATCCCACCAGCTGTGTCTCCCCAGCCTGCCTCGGTGGCAATATGAGGGGTACAGCCTCTCCTTGCCCACCACAAAGCTGTTTATCTAGGCCCAAGTTATTTCTGCCATTGCTTTCTGTGGTGTTAAGGTCCTGAGAGAGGCGTGAGCTCCTTGGATTCTGAATGCCATGATACCATCACATCATGGAATCTTCTGACAGGAAGAGCCTTTGGATCTCATCCTGTTAATAGTAGGAGCCTTTCTTCTAACAAACCATCATGCAGAACTACAAGACATGAACTAGGTATTTTAAAAGGTGGGGGCTTCCCTGGTAGAAACAGATTCCTAAGTTCCATCCACTTACCCCACAGCCCATGCAGGGAGCAGGGGTATCCTTAGAGACCTAGCTAAGGATAAACCATTGATCTCATCCAACCTCTTGAAGACACAGAAAGGTGAAGTGACTTTTGCTGTGTCACACAGCTGTAGGTAGTAGTGCTGAGATTAATAGCTAAGGCACTCACCTTCTAAGTCAGTATTTTTCCCTATACTTCATCCTTATCATCATCATCTTCATCTTTATTTTCATCACAGTGTTTCTCAGCCTTTAATAAACATTGTCCACTAAACCAGTTTCCTTTTGTTGCTGTTGGTAACTTTGGACATGATCCATTGAGCCTACCGTAGTGTCTTTTCTAGTGAGTCAGAGCCCAGGAAGGAGACAAAAATGGTATAGCTAGGAAGAAATCTAGATTGAGAGACAGAAGATCTGAATAGGGCCTCACTTTCCTTATCTGCAAAGTGGGAGGAACACCATTCACTTCAAAGATTCATTTGGAGAACCCAGTAAAGTGGCATCCACTGCAGTGCTTGGTGCTGTGCCACAGTGGGTGTGCCATGAAAATGCATTCCATTTGAATGGGAGACCTGCAGGGAACCAGTTTGAGGAGCCTTTGCTTTGCCTGAGTGGACCCAGCATTTCCAGCAAAATAAACTCAGCTTCTTTCCTCTGCATTAACATTGCCTTCTTTGGCTCCTTCTGTGGCCTTAGCTGAAAAATAAATAAATAAGCATGCGACAGGGTGAGAGGTGGGGAAGGGATGTGGCAAAAGACAAAGAAAGAAAGAGAGAGGAAGATTGATTTCTGGGCAGAATTTATACCTTTTTGGCTTTTTCAAAGGTAAATGAATAGATTGTTGTTGTTTTTCAGCCTGCCGCTGAGAGTGTGCGTGCGCCTCTGTTATGTATAGACCCTTTTAAAGGCTTCTGGAAGCAATCCCTAACATTTTCTATAGGTGCAGACAGATAATTGAATGCTTTCAAAGACCACTGTGAGGCAGGGGAAGTTCAATTTTGCCGTGTGCTGGTGCTGCATTGACGGAGCGCCCCGTGTGTGTGTGTATTCTCAGGAAGTTGAATTTCTTTTTTGCTTTCCTTCCCACTACTGCCCCTTCACCCCTTGTTCTCCCCCAACCTCTGATGAAGCACTTAGAGAGAGGACAAGAAACAATATATAATCGCCCCAAAGTCACACCAAATAAACACAGCAAAAGCTCCCAGCCGCTTCTCTGGCTGCGAATGAAAAGCGCTGCCTCCTGGCTCCCGGGCCTGACGGACAGGGGGCCTTTCTGCTCAGCTATTATTAGAGCCGATGTGGCAGAAGCTCAGGCAGCTCTGGGCGGTGGGGGGTTCTTGTTTTAATTTGTTGCCTGTGCAGGCAGAACAAAGCGACATAGGGAGAGAGGACGGGGGAATTTCCTCCTGCTGCTGTTTCGCCACACGGCGGCCATACCGTGTGTGTGTGTGTGTGTGTGTGTGTGTGTGTGTGTGTGCGCGCGCGCGCGCGCGCATGAACTGGATATGTCTGTGTGCAGTGCACGTATGTGTCGGGGGGGGCATGACCTGGAGATGCCCGTGTGCCATGCACTCGTGTGTGTGTGTGTACATATGTGCATGTGTACATGCAGAGGCCAAGCTCTGAGTGTGCCCATTGTGTAGAACAAGAATATGCTGCATGCAGCAGTGCTATGTTCCCTTTAGGGCATGAAGGAAAGATGCACAGAGGGTTGAGATAAGGAGGTAAAGAAAGCCCAACCCTCCAGATTCATGGCAGATTCAAGTAACCTTGACCATCAATCTGTGCAAATGATATCTAGTTTCGTTCTCACAACTACCCTTTCAAAAATTGTCTTTCTCATTTTATAGATGAAGAAACGGAGGCTCAAGAGATATTTGAGTGAATTACCCAAAGCTTAGTTCAACCGGCTCTAATTACAGTACGATTTCTGCTATATTTGGTGTGTCCTAGTGGGTTGTAGGGTAAAGCAGAAAGAGAATTTCTTAAGGTTTCAAATCCAGGCAGTGGGGAAGGAAGATTCACCAGGGTTGCTCTTTGTGGTGGATGGGGAAGGGCAGCAGGTATAGTGTCCCTCCTGGTTTAGGGAAAGGGATGGCGCAGACGTTTCATGGCATCACTGTAATGTCTCCACTGCTGATGATACTAACGGCCACCTAAAGAGGGACACCGTGCCTCCTATGTGCCAGGCACTGGACTAGAGCCCTAGGTACCTGTTTTCCTGTCCTCTTGCTGTACACCAGAGAATGTAACTCACCTGCTCAAGGTAACCAACTAATAAAGGGCTGGGCCAGGATGTTAACTGAGGCTCCTTCCTTAAGCGATGTGGCTTTATCTTCTCCAGGTGTATGGAGAGGGAAACTCTCTCCTTGGGTTAAGAGCACACTACCTGGTGTCTTGGTTTCCTCCAGGTCCCATCGCTACCCCTCCTGGCTGGACTGAAACAGTACTCATTCCAAGCTGCACTTCTTTGCTCTGAGGAGCACATAGGAATGCCCAACAAATGCTCTTCTTCTGGCTTACTTCCCCTCTTGGAATGCAAGCTCCTTGGAAACAAAGCTGCGCAGCCAAGGGGTTTTCATTTGCTTTAATCTTTCATCCAATCTAACATTTCTAGCTACCACGTATTAATTGAGCACTTATTATATTACACACTGTGCTAAGTACTTCATGTGCATCCTCACCTTAGACCCAGGAGGTAGGGATTATTGTTATTCCCATTTTACAGATGAGGAACTTGAGGTTCAACAATGTTAGGCCATTTATCCACGCCAAACACATAGTGAGTATTCAAACCCTATTGGAACCCCCAAATCCATGCTTCACTTCTTGCCTTCTTCTTCACAGTGTATGCTGTTTAAGTGCATTTTCTCCTTTCCTTTCATCTTGCACCACCTCTCATCCTAATTATTAGAGGTGTTTAGTGCTATATCACCCTCCCATGGAGCCCTGGATCCCCTTGGTAGGATTTGTCAAACCTTCAATGAGGCTCTGCTATGTAATCCCAGGGACAGAGAGCAGACAGTCCCTATTGTTTTGAGAGTTCTAAAGGAAGTTTCTCTTGTCACCCTAGGAGGCAGTAGGGGTTAAGAACCCAGGCTCTGAAGCCAGAAAGTCTGCATTAGAATTCTAGATCTATCACTTATTCACTATTTGAACTTGGGCAAGGTAATTGGTTCTTTATGACTTGGTTTTCTCATCCATAAAACGGTCATAATTATAGTATGTACAGCATGAGGTTATTATGTGAATAAAATGAGCTACATGTATAGAATGCTTAGAATTGTGCCTGTAACATAGCAAACACTGAATAAATGTTAGCTAATATTACCTTAATATTGTTATTTTCTACAGAATTGTAGATTTTAAATCTGGAAGGAATCTGACAAGTCACTTGGTTGGCTCAACCTTCCATCTTTAGGCAAATAGAGGATTTGTAATCAGAAGACCTGAATTTGAATCCGAGATCTACCACTTAACACCGGTATCTAGAACTCTGAGCAACTTGTTTGACCTTTCCCAGTCTCATTTTCTTCAAATGTAAGAAAAGAGTTGTATTAACAAATATCTGCCCATCTCATAGATTTGTTGTGAGGATCAAACGAAGGGATGTAATGAAGAAGGCAGATAGAATTTTATGTTAATATTATTTGATTTTTACCTGAAGATAAATAAGACTCAAAGAGGTTAAATGGGTTACCCAAGAAGAAACTCCTCACCTACCAAGATGGTATCAGCAACTCAACAATATGCAGTCAAGTTTCCACCATCATACCCTTCCGTTTGGACTGTAGACCCAACAACTAGGAGTTGACTGAAGTAAATGAATGCTGGATCCAGGCAAGAAATTGTCAAAATAACAAGATTGAGGTACCAGGGTGCCAAATGGCAGACAGACTGAAGAACTAGGAAACAAAACAAGGTCAAACTATGAACAAACTCTCACCGTAACAGAAGTTAATATATAGGTTACATCAACCAAGTATAGGTATCTTATGGTCACAGTGTTAGGAGAAAATAATGTTTATCCGATTCTGCCTACAACTGTAGATTGAAGAAAGAACCACTTGCTTTCTAGGTTTCTTATAAAGGGTATTTATTGTATTGTCTCTGACCAGCCCTGCCTTAAGGACACTGCTCATTCAATAGCACCTAGCATCCACCGTCCCCATGTTAAATGCAGGAGCAGTCATTTAAAATACTGGGTCTTCCTCTCTGGTCTCAGCCTAGATAGGTCTAGAGACAGTCAACTGACTCAATCTGGGCCAATCAGGTCTCTTTCTTGAGATTTTTGAATTTTGCACCCAGGCTGAAGCTTTAAGGCCAAGGAGCTGTTGGCAGCTCTGTTGCTCCATTTATTACCATTCCTGAGTGCCAGCCCTTGTCTTTGGACCTGGCTTTGATACCTTTGTTCCCTCATAGCTCCTGTCTTCACCCAAACTGATTGCAGTGGTTCAAGCTGTCAGCCCCATGTATATCCAGTAGCATCTGAATTCACAAGGCACACGGCTTAGTTTTCAGGGAACTAAGCTGAGATAAGGTAAGGGATGTTCTATACCCCTTGCTCTTCTTGGGAAAGACCTTGAATTCAGACCTCTTAAGGATGCTGAGGTTCTTGGACACAAACCCTCTTTGCTTCTCCACTATGACAGCTTCCTACCCCTCCCAACTCCCGTATCTTTATGAGCTACTAATTCTTCTTAGTACCTACAATCTCACTGTAATGAGACATGGTCTTGGGAAGCAATGAGTCTCTTTTGTGCTAAGAAGTAAATATTCTCGAATGTGATGATTTGTACTCAGGGTGTTGGGAAGTGGGGAGCGATATGTTTAAAATTTCTAGAGGGCATTCTCTTGAGTAAAAAAATGCACACGCAATATATCAATTGTTTTCATAATCTAAAACATAGAAACAACTCAATGTAACAGTTTTGTCTGGTTTTAGATATGCAGTAGTGTGAGATTACATTGAGGCGCAGATTACAAAATGATTGAGAACCATTTCAGATTTTCTTAACCATTTTTAATAAGGTTTAACTTACATGCAGTAAAGTAAACAGGTAATAAGTGTATAGCCCAGTGAATTTAGTACATATGTATACACCTGTATAACTACCACCCAGATCAAAATTTAGAACATTTCCAATACCCTAGAGGGCTTCCTCATATCTCCTCCCAGTCAATAACCACCACCTCCAAGATAACCATTCTGACCTCTAATTATCATAGATAACTTTTGCATGTCTTGGAATTTCATATAAATGTAATCATACACTACATACTCTTTTGTATCTGCCATCTTTTGTTTGACATTTTAAATGTTAAATTCATCCATATTGTATGAATAGTACTTTGTCCTTTTTCATTGCTGCATTAACGCAAATGCAATCGAATCATTGAATAAACATGCCTGTAATTTATTTGCCTATTTTACTGTTGATAGACATTTGGGCAATTTTTAGTTTAGGCCTATAGGAATAAGGTTGCCATGAACATTCTTGTACATGTCTTTGGTAGACACAAGCACTTTTTGTTGGATATAAACTCCAGTGAGTCATACAGCATAGGTATCGTTAGCTTCAGCAGAGACTGCCAAGTAGTTTTCCAAAGAAGTTGTATCCACTCCACAATTTAAACAGTTTGTTTACCAAATAGCCACTGAGTACCTATTATGAGCCAGCCACTCCACTAGGCATTGGGAATACTGAGAGGAAGCATGCACGTCCATGGCCTAGAAGCGCTAATAGCCTGGTAATATCAACAGATACTTTTTAAATAATATGGTAAGTGATAGGTGAGAGGTGTGCCTGACAGGAGGATCCTTTGGGGCTCTAAGGTTAGATTCCCCGACTCCAGGTGACCAAATGGAAGCTTGGCCAGGTAAAGAAGGGATGGCATTCGAGGAGAAGGTTGCAGAGGCTCCTCTAGCCCCTGCCAAGCCCTGCAGGCTCTTCTCTGGCTGGGAGTCTCATTAATGGAGCAGCCAGGCCCAGGCCAGGCTGTCAGGAGCGAACAAACGGCTGCCAACATGAGCAATGATTTAAAGGAGAAGGTTAAGACGTCGGTGAGATGAATACCATTGACTTCGCTGCCATCCTGGAAGCAATTCATCAGGGCGGCTTGGCAAAGAGGGGCATAAATCCCTAGCCAGCGAGGCCAAGCAGGGCTCTGGGAGGAGGAACAGGATGTGATGGCAGCTTCCAGAGCTGTCTCCAGCTGGGCCTGTGCCAGCATTTTGAAAAGCGTCAGTTGGGAGGAATCCCCAGAAGATGACTTTGTAGCTAGGGTCCCTCCTGTCCTGAGTCGTGGGTCACCGAGGAGGACACCCTCCCTAGTCACTTGCTGTTTGTGCTTCCCATTCTGTGCACCCACTGGAGGTTTTTCTTGAAGCAGGCTCTGCATTGCCTTCTCCTTCTCTTCAGCCTGAATCTTGGCACTCCTGGAGACTCTTGGTTCAAATGATGTATTTATTTTCTTAACGAAAGGGAAAGATTTAAGAGTGGGTGTGAAATGCATCCTCCTCCCTCCTCTGACCCTCCCACGTACTTCCTCCGGCAACCTGAGGCCCAGCTCAGCAGACACTTGGGAAGTCAACAGAAACAAACATGGAGTGGGCATTGCAGAGCACGTGAGTGGATGAGAGATTTTTATGAGTGAAATTTGCTCACAAGCTTCTTTAATAATGTTATTCATCTTTCTGTCAAAGTCATCACATTAATGTAGCTGGAGAGATTTAGAGGAGATGAATTAAGACTTAAATACACAAAATGACTTGGGGAATATTTAAATACAATACATTTGATTCTGGTGCAGCATCCTTCCTCACGGGTGTTGCTCATGACTCTTTCCAGGCCCACACAGCCTGGGAATCAACAACTCCCCCTCTCCTGCCGCCTCCCTCCAATGCTTCATTCATCCAACGCTTCCTGCACCTACCATGTGTGAACTCATTGTCTCCACAGAGCACATATACAATAGCCTGGGTGCCTGTTCTGGCTTAGACAGGCCACTTTTCCTTTGGGTACCTCAGTTTCTTTATTTGGAAAATGGGTGGGGTTGGCTCTGAATTTCAAAGGATGCAGAGATTCCTTAGAGACAGTTGCAGGGAAACAAAGGGAGCCCAGATGCAGAGTCATGGACCCTCTCCCATCCCTTCATCACAGTTCATTGCTATCTACCTGTACGTACTGGAAGTTGTGTATTATTTTATTTAAAATAAAAACGCTTTGGCTTTAAAAAAGAAACTATTTCTTCCTTTCTTCCTTCCTTGAGTATTTAGTGAGTCCCTTCCCTGGACTAAACATTGTGTTAAGCATTCAGGATAGTCACTAAGCAAGTCTGACAGGGCTCCTGTCCTCCTGGTCGGGCAGTCCAACTCACATTCCCTGGTGGTACAACTTAGAATAAAGAGCGTGCTGTTACAATTAAGCAGAGAAAGCTTCCTGAAAGAGGTGGGCTGCAGAACTCCTGCCTCTCCATTTGCTGTGCATGCTAGACTTCTGGGCAGACAAAGCTCCTTTCTTCCCAGGGGAGTGGGAGACTCAGCTCTGGCTGCAGAGAGGGTGAAGTGAGGACATCAGACTAGAAGCCAAAATTAGAGGCAAGAAGAACAGCCCAGACATTGAGCACCCACTCAATGCATCTCCCCACTGTCTGACTGGGCCCAAGCCAAGAGCCAGAGACCTGGGGACGTTGCAATCCTATTCCCTTCTCCCATCCACCACACTCGCCCCCAGCCCACACCACAACTCTCACCATCCTCACTTTGCTCTCCCACCTCTCCCCTTCCTCTGCTTGGAGTGGCTGGAGAAGGGGAAAGGGACATCTTCTTGGATTGGAGCCCTTCCCACCCTACTGGCCTTCTCTGACCTCTCCTGGAGCTGCTACACAACAGCAGGGGCAAGGCCTCTTCCCCTGCTGTCCTCCAAACCTCCCACAGATCATTGCTTTCAAGGCAGGGCCAGAGGCACCCCTCAACCTGACCCAGATGGGTTGCTCAGACAGGCTCCAGATTATGTCATAGGGGGCACAAAAAAGTAGTAGACTGGCGAGAGCCCAAGAAAGCTCTGATGAGTTGTTTTTGCTCTTCCTTCTAAATCCAGGTTTCTCAACGATGCTTTCTGTGTGAGTTTTAGGTTCAAGAAAAAATAAATATACTCAGGCTGCTGAGATTGTTGCAAGAACACAGGAATGCAGCCTGATGAAAAGACAGGCCTGGGAGCCGCTCAGGGGCCAACCAGCTTTTGAGACAAGGTCAGCAGATCATGCCCCCAGCAGCAGGCCTTGCCCCTGACCTAGAATCCCTCCACAGAAGAGCCTGGCAACTCTCAGCGTTTGCTTCTCTGGCTTCTACCATCACCAAGGAGCTCAGCAGCCAAATCTCTGTACCTCTTACATTCAGACTTCTGAGGGAGAGTACAACAGATGTGGCTAGTCACCATCTGGGACTGGCCACCACTCACTGGGAAGGTTTAAAAGCCTGACCACCACACAGACCACTGGCAGGCTGGAAATTGGCTACCCTGGGGTCTGAGGCCTCCTCCTGGTTCCGTAGCTATCGTGAGAGGATAGGTTAGGCCTGGCGTGGGTTTGGCACAGAGACCCATGCATAAGAAACCCTCAGAAGAGAGCTTGAGGCTTGGGGTATGGCAGAGCTGGGGTTCCCCAGGGGGAGCAGGCCCGAGGGGACAGTATAACAGGCAGCTACCTGTTTACTCCCCAGGATTCCAGGGAAACAAGAGGGTGGAAAGGAAAGGGATTAGGATTCAGAGCCTGAGGCTTTCAGAGTGTGAGACACTCACAAACCAGGTCTATGTGTGATTCTCTGCTTGATCTCAAAGCAGCTTACACAAAGAAAGAATCATAACTCTTCAAGAGTGTGCCTCATTTCTGTTGGCCATGTTAGTCTGCAGTGGTGAGCCAGAATGCAGATGTCAGGGTAACAAAGCTTAGAAGGAGATGTACTCAGAACCTAGCACAAGGGGACAGGGTGGGCCCCCAGTCCAGAAAAACCAAGGAGAGGGGCTAGCACACAGTCAGTAGGACCCATGCATTTCTTTAGGACCTCAGCACCGCTCTAGGGGAACATTCCAGGCTGTGTGCTTCAATTCAGAAAGTTCCCAGGAAGAGCAAGATGTTCCACCCCTTTTTCTCTCATTTGCACTGAGTGGGGAGATCTGGCTGTTCCAAAGTCCATTCCCAAACCCTTCCCTTTGCAGGACCTGAGGCCAGACTCCAGGGAACATGCTGACCCTTCTCAGATAGATGTTACTTGCATCCCATGGCTGTGTGTTGGCTGTGTGTTAGTGATGAACTTGAGCGTGTGCTGGGTCATCCACACTCTCTTGCTGGGACCCCTTTGTCCTAAAGGAGATGGGTTTGTAATTCAGCTGGCTGGGGAGAAAATAATGGATCCCACAAAACCTTCCCAAGAGCTGAAATTGTATGAGAGTCATATACAGGTAAACCGAGAACTACTGCTTTTTCTCCCTAAGTCCCTATAAGAAGCCAGGGCAAATCTATAGTTCAGTCAATTGATGGTACAAGGGACAGGGAAAGGCCTCTTCAGTTGCTGCTGGGCTTCCCAGCCTATCGAGGAGACGTTTTATTTTTTTGGAGGCAAGAGAGACATGAGATGACTCCATGAAGTCCTGCTAGGCCTGCCCCCCCCCCCCCCGCCCACTGATTTCTATCTGAGAGGGGCTGGAGGAGTCCTGGGGTCAGCATAAGGTGTCTCTGACTTCATGCAATAGAACCAGCACATCGTCACCAGTATGTCGAGAGCAAGCCTCTAATACCCAGGCCTTAGTGATATTTGTACTGATAGAGTCTTCCACCCAACACTCTTCTTTTAGGCTCATGGAGAGGATCTTTCAATCCTTCCAAACAAGAATGCAAGGACAAGCTCACCTCTTTATTGCCTGCCTCTTTGCCTCTGCCTATCTGTACCCCAGCAGTAGGGGGGGTCCAATATCATTGCTCCTGGAATCCTTGAGCCCCAGACAGATGGCAGTCAACAGCCTGGTGACACAACAGCGGCTCTTGGTGGCCTTCTCAAGCAGCAGACGGGCAATTTATATGAAAGCATGTTGTAAAATATCTGTTGACACTGAAGCTATTGTTCTGTTATTGTTGTTGTTGTTGTTGTTAATACAACACCCTTGCCACTCTCAGAGAATTGAGAGTGGGAATGTTCTTCAAAGATTACAGTCCCCCTGGAGACTGGCTGTCTTCCAGAGGTATCTATTTTTAATTTCACTAATGCTTTTCTTCCAAGAGGACACAGAAGTCCCACCCAAAAAGGTAGGACCTACCTAGAGTTCAGTCTCATAGCTTGTTGGACTGCCTGTCCTAGGAATAGAATTTAAATGAATTTATGCTGGGCAATAAAATATATATTGTAATATAAATGTATAAAGTACAAAGGGTCTTGTCTTCCACTCCACCTTCCTACCACAAGCCCATGAACCCATGTCCCCGAGCCTTTGGCAAATTTGATCCTAGATGCTAAGCTGACACAGAACACCTTCAATCCATGTAGCTTGGTGTGGTGATGACAGCGCTAGGCTAAGAATAAAGAAACCTAGGTCAAAGTCTTGATCTCCCTTTACCAGCTTTGTGCCCTTGGGTGACCCTTGGGACCCTTGATTTCTTCAAAAGCTATGTAACAATTGCTATGGCCTGAATATTCATGTCCCTCCAAAATTCACATGTTGAAATGTGAGCTCCCAAGGGGATGGTATTAGGAGATGGGGCCCTTGGGGGGTGATGAAGTTATGAGAGTAGAGCCCTTATGATTGCCATTAGTGCCCTTGCAAAAGAATCCCCAATAAGTTGGATAGCCCCTTCTGCCACGTGAGTTCACAACAAGAAGGCGCCATCTATGAAGCAGGAAACGAGCCTTCCCCACACCCCAAATCTGCCCTGATGTTAGACTTCCAGACTTCAGAACTTTGATAAATATATTTTGTTGTTTATAAGCTACCCAATCAATGGCATTGTGTTATAGCAACCTAAATGAACTACGGCAACAATAACACCTATTATTATAGTTGGGAGGACCAAATAAGATAATGGAGATACACTCCCAAGACCCAGGGCATACTGAGGGCTTAATTAAATAGTCACTGAATTGGAGCTGAAGAAGGCTGTCCACACAAAGTAGGTAGGATTCCAGGGAAGGGCTTGTGGGAATGTGTTCTCCACAGGTTGAGGGCAGAAAATGGCCAAGTCTATGCTACGTTTAGACCTCGTCAACCACTAATGAAGGGAAACCCAGCTAGAGGCCCAGCCATAGGACTTGTCAAATTCTAATATATGGAGTCTATAAAAATCAACAACACTCTCCCATGGATTCATTAAAGCAAACAGACCCTCTTATTTATCAATGCTATTCACCCCAAGTGAAGATGACAACAATCAATTAAATAAACAAATCAAGTTT
The DNA here is from genome assembly GCF_000001405.40 of Homo sapiens. NCBI lineage: Eukaryota > Metazoa > Chordata > Mammalia > Primates > Hominidae > Homo > Homo sapiens. The sequence goes on from NC_000011.10 coordinate 115,985,841, forward strand.
AAAAAAGCTTAACTGAAGGCAGATGTGATTAATTTCCTCATCATTGATTGACATTAACTATATTAGCCAGTTTTGCTATGGTAACAAACAACCCCTAAAATCTTAGCGGCTTATATCTTACAAGCATTTATTTCTTGTTCACAGAGCGTGTTGGCAGCTGCAGATGTGCTTCATGAGTCTTCTCATTCAGGGACTTAGGCTGAAAGGGCAGCCCCTAATTTGGGACCTGCCGATCTGACAATAGAACTGAGCAAGAGAACTGACCGAACACGCTGTACTCCTTGTATCTTCTGAACTGACTCATATTCCATGAATCCAAGTGAGTCACATGGCCAAGCTTGATGGGGGTGTGGGGAGCTGGCACACAGGGGCAGGAGGTGGGGGCATAGAATATAATCCATTTTCTTGTTTGTTTGTTTCAGATGGAGTCTTGCTCTGTCGCCAGGCTGGAGTGCAGTGGCGTGATCTCGGCTCACTGCAACATCCGCCTCCCAGGTTCAAGCGATTCCCCTGCCTCAGCCTCCTGAGTAGCTGGGATTACAGGCACCCACCACCATGCCTGGCTAATTTTTGTATTTTAGTAGAGATGGGGTTTCATCATGTTGGCCAGGATGGTCTCGATCTCCTGACCTCATAATCCACCCACCTTGGCTTCCCAAAGTGCTGAGGTTACAGCCATGAGGCTCTGCACCCGGCTATATACTCCATTTTCTAAAGGCCACCGCAAGCCACAGGGAAGCCGCATGGATGCACAATGCTCTCAAGGGGAAAAAGTGAATATTCTAGAACAACAGTACAATCCACGACCGTGAATCTGACCCTGTCCTTCTCACTCCATACACACCCACATGGATTTTCATAGCATTCTTATTTAGAAGATATTCTATGTCCTATTAATATTATCTTCATGTATTTGATGTATTTGTGGGGGATGATTTGCAGCACAGGTCATATATCTGGAAGTCTTCTGAACAACTAGGAGCCCCTTCATCCAGACAGTCTGCATGCTTTCTCCTGTAATCTTTCCTGCTGGCTCCCTTCATAGATGCCTGGCCTGTCTGGGCTTCCCTTCTCTCAAACTGGGCTCACTTACTAAAGTGACCTTTCTCTTGACTAGGCAGCTACTTTGATGACCTCCTCAAATGCAATGCAAAAGCTGGACTCTCCTCCGCCCCCAAGCACTCCCAGGCTCCTGGGCAGGGCCATCAACTCCACTCCAGCCATCCCTCCAGACTGGCGCCTGAAAAATAGAATTTCTGCTTCAGGTAATACAGCTGCTTCTCTCTGAATAATGCATGCCGTGCACCACACCGGACAAAGGACAAGCGGTTGAGAAATTGGGGAGCTTTCATTTGATTTCATTATTTTGCTTTTAGACCCAAGCATTTGCTGCCGTCAGGCATTTCAAAGAGGACAAGACAACAAGGTGTTCTGAGACAAGCAGAGAAGATCAGTCATCCTTGGGGACTGAGGGGATTCAGCAGAGAAGGCTGGGCTGGACAGCCCTTCCCAGGGACACAAGGACCTAAAGAGGCACCTCAGTGGGTGTGCCCCATGGGGGGTATAGGAAGGCTTGAAATTTTGAGTAAACGGACTCTCAGGGGGATGCTTCCATAGAGGCTGGGGGTGAACACCTCCATCTACATCAGTTAGTGACAGAGGGGAGCAGAACACATGGAGAGCTGTGAGACGGCAATTAGGAATCACAGAATCCAAAGCAAAGGATCATCATTAGTAGAGTAAATGGCCCTTGATGAAGGAAACTTGACTCCAATAAACAGGTGGAGTTCAAGCCAATGAATTAGCCTAGCTACAATAAAATCAGACACCCACCAGCCTGCTCCTACCTGGTTCAGTCTTCCCATAGTACCTGCCTGTGGGGTCCCAATGTGAATCACGTTGACCCTAAAGATGTCAGCCTTAAGCACATCCACACCTCACTACCACAGTACACACAGGCTCTGCTCTCACAAGGTTGGCTCTTTCTTTGTGCCTGAAGAGCACACATGAGTTCTCATCTTGTGTCCATGCCATTGCTCACATCCATGCCCCGACTGGAATCCTCTCCCTACTCCTCTCTGTCTACCCAGATGCTTGCTATTCTTTAAGGAGCAGCATGGGTCCTACTACTATTTAAGCACTGAAGCTCACATTGATCTCTCCCTTCTCTCCATTTCTACAATTACCTCCATGAATGGCCAGTTTGTATTATTCTTGATAATTATAATAATACATTATTTCAAAGCATTTCCTCTCTGGTCCTCACGTTATGCTGCTCAGAGCTATAGGGTACTCCTGGGTGCCCCCAGGGCCAGGAGGTGGCTCACCCTCAGGACATAAGCCTCATGCTTATGTCCCTGCCCCCTCTAACTACAGCAGCTCAGCTCTTGATCTGTGTTTCATTTTAGAGTTTCACACACAATTTTTTTCTGTTTTAAAAGGGATTGCACTATTGATTTAGAAACTACATTTTTTATTTCATCCTCATGAGAAGTTTGTGAGGCTTGTAGGACTAGGTATTATCACCCACATTTTGCAGCTGAGGAGCCCGAAGCTCAGGGAGATAAACTGTCTCATCAAGAGCACACAGCTAAGGGAAGAAGGAGAATCTCGATTTCTGTCTTTTGAGTCTAAATCCAGTGTATTTACAACCCACACTTGGGCTTATCTCTAACCTAATTGTTAACTTCTCTCAGAAGCAGAAACTGAATTTTTATTACTTATTTATCTGGTTTTCTTGCTTGCTTGCTTGCTTTTCTTTTTTTTTCTTTCTTTTCTTTTTTTTTTTTTTTTTATGGAGTCACCCAGTCTGGAGTGGTACAAATGGTACGATCTCAGCTCATTGCAACCTCTGTCTCTGCGGTTCAAGCAATCTTCCTGCCTCAGCCTCCCAAGTAGCGGGGACTATAGGAATGCACCACAATGCCCGGCTGATTTTTGTATTTTTTGTAGAGATGGGGTTTCGCCAGGTTGCCTAGGCTTGTCTTGAACTCCTAGTCTCAAGTGATCCACCCGCCTCAGCCTCCCAAAGTGCTGGAATTACAGGCATGAGCCACTGCACCTGGCCCTTCTCTGTTTGCTTCTGATTCCGAACATGGTTGTGGGCACACAGTAGGTGCTTACTACTTACCTAGCCTTGATTGCAGGTGCACCCTTGGCTTTGCTGGAGATGCAAGGCCTGACCTCACCTCATGCCTTTTTTAGGCAGCACATACCTGTGAGCTGAGTGATTTACAAGGCTGTACTAGGTACCTGGGCATTTTATGTAATCAAAGGGATACTTTGCTGCTCTCTTTCTCTTGCTGTTGACATGGTTACAAAATCTTATTATTAGCCCAGAGGATGGGGTAATAGGACATGACATTCACATTGTCAGTGTTTTAAAGAGCTGTAGTTACCTCCTGGAGAATAATCTGTGTATTGTAGCAAGCAACAGTGCTGCTGCTGCACCTGGTGCAGCTTCTGTTTTCCGGCTCCCTCTTCATCCTTCTGCAGTTCTGAGAATGAGGCGTTCCCACCAGGAGGCAAGATCGGGTATCGTTCTTGGCCACCCTGGCCACACTGTGGGAATACACCACCATCCCTGTCCTCATGACCTGGGGAGGAGGTATGCAGGGAACCACCTTTAGGTAAGAGAAGGAGCAGAAGCAGTGGGCTGACTCACAAAGAAAAAAAAAAAAGATAAATCAAGATAAAATTGTTTCTAAATTGAATGTTTTTCACTATTTTCAGTGTGGTATCTGCAGTGCTCCAAGATGATTCCCTCTCGAGGGCTTCAGAAAAGCTGTAAATAGAATGAATTGCTTTTAGGGACTTAACTCTGGTAGTTCACTTCTCAAGAAAATATATGCTAATGCATGTAGACTATCATTATTGGGGAGACCTATGTCCCGACTCTTTTATGTCTATGAAGAGCAGGTTTCTGATTGCTAGCATTTTGCCAAAGTCTTTGTCATGCGTGGGCTGAATATCTAGCAGAAAGAGGCGGATTCAGCCGCAGCTACATGCTGTGTCTCTCCTAGGCCAAGTTTGGAGGGGGGTCTTGGTTTGCCTAAGAGAAGTTTCTTATGAAACCAGAAAGAAGGAAAGCACAGATTTTTCTAACAGCCCCAATAAAAGCCAACGCGGTCCAGATTCATCTGCAATTCTGGGACCTCAGAGAGGTATAGAGACAGGGAGACCCCCGCTCCAAGGGATGGGGGAACTTCCTTGGTCCAGCAGGATGCGGTGCTACACCCAGCCAGAGGGTGGCAGCACCTCCCACACGCCCCATGGCTGGCTTTGTTTTCTGACCATTCCAGGGCACTGCTGTGGGACCGCCTTCCCCATGCCCAGCGAGCCTCTTCTGCATCTCTTTCTGCTGTGGCAAAGTGGGTTAAACAGCGCGCGGATTTGCGAGGAACATAGCCAACAAATGAGATATCAAACGCAGCTTCCCATGTAAGAGATCAGACTCCGGCGGGCACGCACGCCGGCGCTCTGCTGGAGCTCCTTGGCTCTGCAGCCAGCTTCATTTAGGATTCATAAATACTTTTGCGCACTCCCGCACATACAGCCGCCAAAGGAATTTCATTCTGTATCATCTGCATTCAAATGCAACAAAGTGAAAAAAAAAATGTGGACATTAAAAAGAAGGAGAAGAAGAAGGAAGAGGCTCTGAAGAAAATCTGAGGCTCGGAGTGGTGGGTGTTGGGTAGCTGATGACTTGAGGAAGGCTTCCTCTACCTCTGTGTTCCTACAGAGAAGCCTGTCCCTGACTTCAGTTCACCTGTCGCATGGTGGGTGAATGCAGCCTAGACCTGCCGGCGTGGGGTATGCTTTTCAATGACACTTTTAAAATAATGAATTGGATGCTTGTCAAGGTAGGCATCAACCTTAGATAGGTATCGGTCCTAAAGTTCCTCCTTCCAGCTGCTGGGGAGCTGGGACCTTTTGATCTCCAACTTAGGCCTCAGTTAGCAAACTCAAATGCTTTTGGGAACCAACCCGGGGAACCCAAAAGTATGAAGCCAGTCAGGTAACCGGAGCGTTCCCGCTCAGGCCGAAGAAGGGAGCAGCTACTCCATCCCAGCTGGTTATTGTCAAGTGAGAATTGTTATCAAGTCCCCCCATTTATCAAAAGAAACCAGAAACACATGTTTCGTTTGTTTGTTTGTTTTGAGATGGAGTCTCGCTCTGTCGCCCAGGCTGGAGTGCAGTGGCGCCATCTTGGCTCACTGCAACCTCCGCCTCACGGGTTCAAGCAACTCTCTGGCTCAGCCTCTCAAGTAGCTGGGATTACAGGCACCTACCACCACGCCCAGATAATTTTTGTATTTTTAGTAGAGACAGAGTTTCACCATCTTGGCCAGGCTAGTCTTGAACTCCCGACCTCGTGATCTACCCGCCTTGGCCTCCCAAAGTGCTGGGATTACAAGCGTGAGCCACCGCGCCCGGCCCAGAAACACATGTTTTTAAAATGTATGAAATCTGGTTTTAAGTAATAAGCACCAATTTTTAAACTATTAAATACTCTGTTGGTCTAACAAAACAATTCCAATAGATTACACCTTGTAGGAATTCTACCCTAAACACCCTAGTCTATCAAAGACTTACCTTCTGTCATTGTTTGAAACACTTATCTATGTCTCATAATTTGCCAGGTTTTATTTTTCTGACTTGTTCTCTAGCTTTTCGTTGTTTGCTCAGCAAGACTATATGCATTTCAAGGGCAGGGCATGTCTTATTTTTGTTTTTTCCCAGTAGTTCTCAGCTGATGGTAAAAGCTTAGCAATTTTTAGTTAGTTATAACCTAACCTACCCCATTCCACAAAATATTTGACAATTTCTACATAAATGCATGCTATAGAAAATAAAATAATTAGATGCATCAGAATAAATAAGTGGACTTGGCCTTCTAACCGAGTGCTTTTATAGACATGGTGCTTGAGTGAGTTTCCTCAGGATAATATCCAAATGTCTTCCTTAGATTATAGGCAGACCCAGAAGCTTGGGAGGGTCCCTGGAACATGGGAAAAGTACACATAGTGTGAATAAAGACAAGGCAAGTGCAATGGCCTTGGAGAATGAGTTCTGTGAATAGTAAGGCAGAGAGATCAGGATGTGAGATCCACGACCCACCTGGAACTAGGAACCAAAATAATGAATGGCTGCCTCTCTGTGGAGCCTCTTTTGGTTGTAAGTGACAGACATAAAATTGAAACTGGCTTAGGCAAAAAGAGGAAAGTATTTGAAGGATGCTGAAATAATATCCTTCCAAGCCATAGGACAAGAAAGGATTCATTTGGACCCACAGGAAAATCTGAACCAGACATATCGTGATAACTCTGTGTTTCATCTCTGTTTGTTCTTCATTTTCTCTCTGTGCAGCTTCATTTTCTCCCTCAGCAGCAGGCTTCCTCCATGCATTAGGGAACAGAATGACCAACAACCTGCATGCCTCCCACCTCGCAGCTTCCACCCCTAGAGAGAACTGCTTCACACTCTTCTCATAGCAAGGTGGAAACCCTTGGGGAAGGGCTCTGAATGTCTCACTGGAGTTTAGATGCCCACCTCAGAGCCATCCCATTCAATGATGACAGCTATGATAGGGGTGGCCATGACTGACCTGGCTTTGGAAAGATACCCACACATGGAGTAACAACATGGCAGCCTTTATTTAAACCACATGATTCCTTTTAGGAGGGAAACATTTCCAAGAAGAAAAGGACACTTCCTAGAAGAAGGGAAGATCAATTGTCCCTGAAGTTCATATGGCACTTGGCTACAAATGGCTTCTATTTGTATCATCTCATTTTATTTATTTTATTTGTCCCTCACAAAACTGTGAGTAATGTAGGGTATCTATAATTGTTCCCATTTGACTGGTGGAATAAATAATGTTAAGAGAGACTAAGCAACCAAGGTCACACACATAGCTTTGAAAAATGGCCAATCCAGTACTCAACTCATATCTTTTTTTTCTTTTACTTCAATTCCAACACTCATTCCACTATACAGGAGGTGAGTGGGAAGGTTGTGACTTTCCAGAAAAAGAATTTTTTATTGCAAGATCATGCTTTCCTGAATAATATAAAGCCTGGCTGGTAGATCTCTAACTAGGCTGCTCCTCCTCTGCTCTTCAAGGTTTGCTGGAATTTCCTGAGATGCAAGCAGCTGACCTCAATGGCTCTCCCTGCTCAGTTTAAGGATTTTGTTGTCTGCCCAAGATCCATATCCAAAGATTCCACATCCATCCCTACTCCACTCCTGAGTGTGTAATTTGGGGTATTTAGAGGTACTTCTGCCTTATGAAATGACTGGAGCCCTCTGGGCCACAAGCATGACTACCCATTGGAAAAGAACTGAGACAGGGGAGAAAACACTGCTGGGAATGCAGTACCAACTGAGATGAAGATGATCCTTTCCATTTTTTCAGCTGAGAGCAGCACCGCTTGCCACTGGTGGATGGCACAGCCCTATATTGAGTACTATGGCCATGGTGGCAAGGTACTTGGCATCTTCCATGCAAAGATGAAAGAAAGAGGCCTTCTCGCCTGTATCACCAGAAGACTCCTGTAGACTCACTGTCTCATGGTCTCTCTTGCTTTTGAGGCAAATCATGAACATGCATCTTTTCTCATCCTGCCGATCGATGCCCAGAGAAGTCCTGGATCTAATTGATTTGAGTTGGATCAGCCAGGCCCTGTGTCCAAGCTGCCTCGCCTCAGTGTAGTAAGTGCAGCATATTAAAAAGAAAGAATTACTCCTGACGCCAGGATTATATCATTGCCAAATGCATCGATAATATATGAAAGATGTGGAATAATATAACACTACTTATCAATTGAGGGAAGCCATCCTGAGGAGGAGGCAAGTAAGGTTTCGATTTCACTTTCTGGATGAACCCTGCCCCTCCATCCCACAACAATTTGCTGTTCCCTAGGTTTGGCCTCATGCATAATTCAGTGATCCGCATGGCAGGAAAACATTTAGAAAACTTCTTTTGCCTTCTCCAGGAGGCTGGGGCAAAGGTGGCTTACAGCTATTCATCCATGCAAGGAAAGCTATCTCTGCTGCAGCCCACTGGAAGAGACGGGGCCATGGCCTTTCTCATTCCCATTTGGGGACTTGCCTAAGGGTGACATAATGAATTGCTCTGACCCAGTCAGAGAAGAAAAATACAGGTTGGATGAGATAAATTGATGCCACCCCAGTCTTTCCAGCAGTGCTGGTGGGGACAAACTCCTGCCTTGAGGTTTTGCTTTCTCAGAAGAAAACAGTAGTGTTTTTATGCTGTTGACGAAGGTGAAGGAATAGAGTTCTCTGGGGTGTTACAGGGAAACTTACATGAGTTGGCTGGTCTCTAATGTTACATTTATTCATCTTAAAAATTTAATGATCCTCTGCTATGTTCCAGGCACTGTGCTAGGTCCTGGGAATATGTTGAAAATCAATCTCAAAACACTCAGAATGTAGTAGGAGACACACACAAGTATATAAACTATTGTATTTTGCATCTTTGATGCCTGAGATGTTAGAATCATTTATTGTTTTTATTTATTCTTCAGGTAGATATTTTTGAAACACCAACTATGTGCCTGAGCCTGTACTAGATACTGAGAATACAGCAGTGAATGAGACAAGATAAGGTTTCTAGGGAGGAAGATGAACAATAAACCAGTACACAAAATACATGCACAAGATAGTTACAGATTGAAATATACCCTCTGAAGGAAAGAGTGGATGATATAATAGAAAGTGAAGGGAGTGGGGGTAACTTGGGATAAAAATATCTCTCAGAAGAGGTGATATTTGAGCTGAAATTTATGGATTAGAAGAAGCCAGTCATGCAAAGAGATAAACGAGGAATAACGTTGACAACAATGGTGTGGCAGTAAATGTTTTACAGCCAGCTCTCAGGGGGAAAAGAAAGCCCTGATTTGCAGTGGTTGCCAGTTACCATGGTGTAAATACTCCCACATTGCCAGTTTAAAGTTGCCAATGTGATATCCCTTAATGCAGACTTGGGAAGAGATGTGTACAATGGATCGTCACTAACCTGTGAGAGCTGCCTCCAGCACACTGCCGTTTGCCAGTTACCTGGCCATACTGAGGGGCAAGTAGGGAATGGGTCCTGGTCAATGCTAAGGGGTTAGACACAAGATGATGAGACTAGAGAAGGTTCTCTGGAGCTACAGGTTGGGGATCAGAAGTGCTACATTCAGACACAACCATGATATATTATATGGATAATACGCCCCACCAGTCAATGCAAAAGACATCATACCTTATCCTTCTTGATACTGTTTAAAAATTGGATATTCCCACACCACCCACATAGATATTTTATACTTACTTTAATAAGTTCAATTTAACTGTGTGTGTGTGTGTGTGTGTGTGTGTGTGTGTATGTGTATGTGTGGATGAATAAGGCATGGCATTAGGGGTACAAAAATGAGAAATACTAAGTCCCTCCCCTCATGGCTCTGGCAGTCTGATAGAGAAAGGGGAAATAGGGAAAGAAAACTAACATTTATTAAACATCTACCACTAACATAAATTAAAGAGACCAGTAGAGGGAAACACAGATAGATCACATATATTTGCTATGATATAAAGAAGAGATTTTTTATAGTTTAATACAACTCAAAATATTAAAAGGACAGAATTTCTGGGCCAGTTGGACTAAATGGGTGGTTTCTCTTGGCTCAGACCAGGAAAAAGAAATCTGATAAGAATTGGTCTTATTACTCTTTTGATGATCACCTTGTTTACCCATCAAGGAGGGTTTGGGAAGGACCCAGGAACTCAGCTTATAGACTTTGGCCATTGACAGTTTCCAAAACCAAGAATATAGAACCCAGAGAGATGGATAATATGGGAGAGTTGTCAATTCATAAAATGCTTTAGCAATACCCAGAGACTCATGGGAGTGAATATTACCATCCTCTACTTGGCATGCAGATACTATAATTTACAACATGAAGTTTACATAAAAGGAATTGTTCTCTCTGATTGGCATTTGGGAGATGGGCCCTGATGATAAGTGCACTCCTTTGCAGGGCTGGCCAATAATATTTCAGTCCCTGGCCTTTTCAAACCACTTTGTCAGAGGCTCTGCAAAGATGCATTGATTTATCTTGTGACAACAATAAAGAATTTGAGATCCTGGCAGGAAAACCAGAGGAGAAATCCAGCAGGGTTTTAAATCCGGGACCAAAACTTGGGAGAGAAATGTGAATTGGTTATGCATCCAGAAGAGATAGTTGAATCCATGGAAGGGTGATTATTCCCTCACTTGGAAGTAAAGGAGGAACAGCAGAAAAGGGAAGACAACTTATAGGAATCTGGATGTTGCGGGAGAAAGAGGATGCAGAGAGGAAACTGGAAATGAGATGTTAATTTCTTAGAAACAAATGAAAAGGAAACCATGGAAGTAAAGAGTTTCACAAAGGAGGGCACAGCAAGTTCAAATGTGGCCAAGACACTATGAGATGGAGAACCGAGAAAAGGCCCTTGAAGCAGGTGGTGAAAGACATCACTGATCATCTCTGTGACAGCAGTTTCACTAACACTAACAACTGTACAGTGTTTTTCAGTTCATGGGGAGAAAACGTCTTCCTCATCTATTAGCTCATCTGATGCTCATAACAAATGTGATGAAGAAAGCGAGGTTCGGATAGTAAGTGGCTGATCCAGAAACTGATCCAGGCCTTCTGATCTCAAATCATATTCTGTTTCTGCTGTGTTACATGGTTGTCTTTCAGAAAAGCACCTTGGGGTTGAAGTTGGACTGTAAGAAAGGTGTGAGGTGCAAGGATGTGGCCAAGGTCAAGGGCAACAAGACTAGAGCATCCACTTTACAAATTTGAGTGAATGGAGGCTGACTAGTAATTTTAGGGACTTTTTTGTTCTAGGATAAAAATACTTATAAATGTTTAGAACCAATAAAAAGCAAAGATTGGTTACCAAGAGAGATGGAGGAAGATCCTAGAAGGGGGAGAAGGGAAATGGGACCAAGAACACATGTGGAGGACTATGTCACAGCAAGACAGAGGGCCTTTGAGGGTGTAAAGGCAGAAGAAACGCTGTGCTGGAGAAAAGAGAACTTGAGGAACACCCTATTGTTGGAGGAAAACACAGTGAGGTCATCTTCTGAAGCTAAGAAGGGGAAGGAAAGCTGCTGTGGGGCATTTTCTTCATGGCCTCCTGACACCCTCCTGGGGTTCGAGAAGTCACGGAGATGACTCAACACAGCACTGCCACTTTTTGTCACTGGCTGTTTTCTTTGGGATAACTATGGTATAATGTAAACAGTACTGGGCTTGGGCACCCAACACTCAGAGTACAGTTTTGTCCCTGAGAGGTCTCGTTGGCTTTATGTCCAGGAACTCCAGCTCCTGGACACTGCATCTGAAAATTGCACTGTTATCTCAAATTCAATGGGACAGAATCCAGCAGAAAATAACAGAATCTTAAGTGCCAGAAAAATTACCTGGTCTAATTCTTGGATTCCCTCTGTAATATACCCTACCAATTGCCCTGCTTGATCATTTCCTGTGACAAGGTACTCACTACTTCTTTAGGCAGCTTGCTCCATTTTTAGACATGTCTAATGGATAAAAAAAAGTCTTCCTTATATTTGTCTTAGTTCTGACCTCTGGGAAACTCAGAATACAGAAATAAATTGGCTAATTTCTGTTCCCCTGGGAGTAGCTGTCAAAGATTTGAAGAGAGCCATCACGTATCCTTACATTTTCTATTCTTCAAGGCAAGCAAACCAAATTCTCCTTATTATTTCTGGGCTTCTCACTATCACATTAATTCTCCCCCATGCTCATCCCAGGATGCCAGTGACTGGTAGGCGTGCCTCTGCTGAGCCCACTTTCTGACTCTACCTTTTCACCTATTCAATTTCTGATCCCCTTGACCAGAGTTCTTTCCTCCGATTCCTCTTCTCTCATTCCCCTCTGAACACTACTGTCAGACTAACCATCCTAAACAAGGTTTGTTACAGGTCACTTCCCTTGTCAGAAAAACTTCAGTGGTTCTCCATTTACTATAAGATAAAGTCCAAATCTGGCATTAAATGCCCTCCAAAATGAGGCATTTTGGTATTGCTCCAAGCTCTTTGTTCTGAATATTCCCCTCCAATGGGTTTATTCATTCATCCTCCCATTTATTCATTGCAGAAACAATTATTGAGTGTCTACTATATGCCAGGCACTATGATAGGCTAATAGACATCCAAAGATGACAGAGAGATGGTCCTTGACAAGAAGGGGTTCACAGTATGATGGGGAAAAACACCATGTAAGTACACAAGCAATTCAGGTTATTACATGCAGCAAAACACAATCATTAAATATCACACCAATGATGTGTAGCGGTAACAGGGAAGGAAGAGACCCACTCTTCTTGGAGTGGATGGGAGAGCATTCATAGGGAGAGTGATGTTTCAATTGAGACTTGAAGGGTAAAAGAAATGTGCATCGTTAATAAGAAAAGACAAAAATATTATAAGTAGAAGGAACAGCTTCTGAAAGGCCATGTTCTAGAAAGTTCAAGTTGTCTAACATTTCAGTAGAGTATATCTAACATTTCAATGTGGAAAATGTGAGAGAAAGCAGTGATGAGCTGGTAAAATTTGAACAACCAGCATTTTGGGGTGGGGTTACGGGAACCCTGATTTTTAGCATGCCAATTTCTATAGTGTAAACATACCCAACATGGCTGATTTCAAACTTCCAAGACATCATTAAACTCAAAGCTGGGAAAAAAATATGCTCAATTGGCTCTCAAAAACCAGCAGGAAGTAGAGAAGGCTATAATCAGGAAAGGCTTTTTATATGCTATGGAATTGGGATTTTTTGTCCTATAGGATTATGGAGAGCCCTTGAAGGGCTTTAGACTAGATAATGTCATGACCAGCTTTGCCTTAACAAAAGCAAGTGCAAACTGCCCGTGTGTATATATGACAGGTAGGGATGGTGTTGGAGAAGTAAGTTATCAAAATTAGGACACTAATTCCCAACCCTAGCCACATGCCACACATTAGAATTACCCGGGGAATTAAAAAATAATCATGGTATTGTGACCTCAATCCTGAGATTCTGATTAAATCTGCCTGGGCTGCACCTCGGCTTCAGTAGGTCATAAATGCTCCTCAGGTGATATTAATATACAGCATGGACTGCAGAACACTGAGTTAGGAGACTATTTCTCTGAAATATATTTTCTCGCTATTCAATTTCATATTTTGCCTTGGAACATCTCCAGCTCCACCTCTGAACATTCTTCATTTGTCTCGGTCCAATTTGGGTGGCCAGCCCTTCCCTTCAGACTCAGTTCTTCTTGATTCCCTCCCCTGATGTCTTTTTGTACCTTCTTTTGCTTCCCAGTCTGCACTTACTCAGGAGCCAAATAATGAGTGGCTTTGGATTCCTGCCTTGCTGCTTGCTATGAGACAGCTCTGACCACTCCCACTCCAAGACCTCAGTACCAAAACCCCTAAGCCTTCTCGGAAGGAGAGAAGGGACAGAAGACTGAGGAAAGAGATGATGGATATCTGCACAGATATGTGGCTGTGAAAATTACAAGAAATTAATAATAATATAATGATAATGAGTTACCAAATGATTATTGTGGGCTACTTTCTAGATGCTTTTTATGTATTTGTTTAAATCTTCAACAACTCTATGAAGTAGGTACTATTATTATCATTCCTTTTGCATATATGAGGACATTGAGGCACAGAGAAAATAAGTAACTTCACCAAGGTCAACAGCTGGTAAGTGGCAAAACCAGCCTACAAACCCATGCAGTTTGGCTCAAGTGATCCTCTTTCTAACCACTAAATTCTTCTGCCTCTTTCAAGAAATACTTTGGTATACTTGAGAGAAGTCTTAATTATTCACTGGATGTACATGGAGGGAAAAGGAGAAGTTAAATTCTAGGTTGCTGGTATTGGAATTTGAGAGGACAGGAGTTTCACCAAGCAAAACAGAGAATTTAGGAGGAAAAGACATTCTACAGGGTATGGATTTAGACATGTCGAATTTTGTATGCTACAGTAGATGACCAGCAAATGGCTAAGTATGAGGAACTGGGGCTCAGGAAAGGAAATATGAATTGGAAATACAGTATAGGTTTTTACGGTTGTCAGGATTGAGGTGGTGTGGAAGCCATGGGAACAGGGGCAGTCACTGCATTCACCCACGTAGAGTTTGTAGATTGAGAAGAGAGAGGGTCAAAGTCAAGTATTAAAGAGACAAACAATGAATGAGACCTGAGTAAAGGGCACTGAGTGCAAAGGGAGAGAGATAGCAGAAGCTTCAGGGGAGCATGATATGGAGGAAACCAAGTGAACATGGAAAAACAAACTAACTCCATTTTTCTCCACTCTATTACTCTCACTCAACAACCAAGACTTTACTCCTGGCCACCAAAATGTGTGGTTTTTTCCCCCTCACATGCATTCCCAACCAATTCTCTGACACCCAGATGTAGCTGGATATCCTGCAACTTAACTGGATTCCAACACTGTCTACTTGGAGATAGCACAGACTCTACAAGTCAAGGACTCAGACCCACAAGACTGCCTCCCACTTCATATTTCAGTTGCAACTCCCAGATTGTGACCTTTGCTTCTGACCCTCCAGCTTTAAATCAGGGTTCCCACAATCCCCTCCTTGGGTTCCATAGCTTCCTAGGATGACTCAGAGAAACATGTGCTTACTGGTTTCTTGTAAACTATATTACAAAGGACACAGATGAACAGTGAAATGAAAAGTTACCTGGGGCAAAGTGTATGGGAAGAGGCATAGAGTTTCCAAGCCTTTCTGCGTACACCACCCTCACAGCACCTTCATGTGTTCAACAGCCTGGAACTGCTCTGAACCCTGTAGTTCAGGGATTTTTATGGAGGCTTCATGATGTAGGCATGATCTATTATTTAACTCAATCTCCAGCCTTTCTTCTCTTCCTGGAAGTCAGGCAGTGGGGCTGAAAGTCCCAAGCTTTTAATCCTGGCTTGGTCTTTCTGGTAACCAACCTCCATCCAGGAGCCTACCAAGAGTCACCTCATTAAAACACAAGACGTCCTTATTGCCTAGGAAATTCCAAAGATTTTAGGAGCTCTTTGACAGAAACTGGGGGCAGAGACCAAGTATGTATTTCTTATTATATCACAATGTCATGCCACTAGGAAGTGAATTATTCCTTGAAAGTGGGAGAGGTTGATCAGTAGTATCAAATATTGTAGGAAGCACAGGTAAATAAGACAGAAAAGTGGTCACTGGATATGAACATAGAAGGTCACTGGTGACTTGCCAGAGTACTTTTAGTAGTGTAGTAAAAGAGTAAGAGCCATGAGCTGTGACTCATGGGGTATACGGAAAGTGAAGGACACACAAACACAATCATGTATATATGTATATGAATTACATATATTAGAATACATCTCTATATTAGAAAAATATATATTAGGAAACTTTATAATTTTTTAAGTGGATGGGGAAGTGTGGATGATTTTTTGTAAATGTTTTTGCTTGTTTGATTTTAAGATGGTAAAGCCTTGCAGATATTTATGTATCAAAAGGATAAAGGCAGAAAAGAGAATGAATTTGATCCTGAAGGAATAAGAGAAGGAAAAATGGCCCAAAGTAGGTGGGAATGATAAACCTTGAACAGAGGGTCATATGATTGTAGAGATTACAAAGTATCCCATTGTGGGTTTAGACACAGGTATACTTAACTCACACCTGATAGCCTTCTTATTCTTTGTGAAGTAGAAAGCCAGAGGTTCAGAGAATGATTAAGGAAAAGATGGGTTTGGAATATCTTCTAAAGGAATATTGACAGTGAATTGTCTAAGCCAAAGGAAAGGTTTGTTAAACAGAATTGAAAACCAGTTCATATTGGAAATTATAAATTTCCAATAATGTCAGCTTGTATGGATATAAAATTTTCTCTGGCTCTTCTCAGCCATACATGTTTAGGGACAGAGAATATAGATTGCAGAATGAATTTGGAAAGAATGCCAAGTAAGAAAATGGGAGAAAAGAGTTGAAGTTACAAGTGAATAACTCAAGATATCCATGTGGGTTTCATGGTTGGTAAAAGAATGAAATTAAAAGGTAGTTGATAGATAAAAGGAAAATGAGGGATTCACAGGCCGGAGACATCACTGGGATTGAAGAGCAAGTACAATGGGAATTAGAAAGTAAAAGACCTGATACACTTATTTTGGCAGAGAAGGGCCTCTAGATTTGAAGTTTTCACACTGAAGGAAGAGCCAAATGATGATATATAGGTAAGACACAGCCATATAGGAGTGGAAACAATGTTCAGTGGGATTAAGAAAGGTCAAGGAACTTAGGATCTATTGTGTTGGATCAGCTCTCCAAGAATTCTGAAATATTCCCATGGAGCAGTATGCAGAAGAAGACTCTAAGTGCTTATGGCAATGTGATTGTATGTTAGGGCATTTCAGGAATCTGTGTAGAATGAGGATCTCATTAAGTTCACTTATTCTCCTTCTTCTCCACACCAGGGCTATACTGTTTCCTCTCACTGCATTAACTGAAACCATCCCCATTTTTTTGCTCAGGCTCTATCTCTTCAAACCTGGCTGCAGAGTGAAACTCAGCCTTCCCAGCCCTCACATCCCTGATGCTTCTGAGGACAATCCTGCAGGCCCTTTTGGTTCTGAGAACCTGCTGATTGCTGTCAGAAACTGAAGTGAAAGTGGCAGGTACCAAATGTAGGAGGCTGCAGTTTCCAGAATCTTACACCTTCCTCTCTGGCATGGTCTCCTGGGTGTATTTTCTGACTCTTTTCTGGAAGGTGCAATGGAAGCCACATGGAACTTGATTTCTCCATGAATTCCTGAGTGGGGCTCAGCAAACCAAACTCATTGGACTGACCTTCCCCTCTCTTTGAGGATGGGCCAGTTTCTTCCTGTTTTATGTTACAAAACACAAAAAACAGAGACATTTTCAAAATATAATAAACATTTGTTTTTCTACAACTGAAATTAAACAGAAATTAATATGTTGTCATATCTGCTTCAGATCTCTGTTTTTTAAAAGAAATAATTTCAGTTACAGATAAGGTCCCACCTACATTCTTCTCCCATCTATTCACCCCATAGATATCTACTAACTTGAAGTTTGTGTAATGTCCATTTGTGTTTCGTGCTTTTACTATTTATGTGTGTCTGCAAATAATACATACCCTATTACAATTAATTTTTTCACTCGACTTTTTCTTATGAGCTTTCTTCATGTTGATATATGGTGGCTGTAGTCTATTCACTGTAATTATTATATAGTATTTCACTGTATGAGTAAACCACAGTTTGTTAGTTGCCTGATAAGGCACAGTTTATTTCCATTTATTCACTATTAGAAGCAATGCTATCAAGAGAATCCTTGAATTTGTTTTCTTGTGCACATTCACTAGACATGGTAATGTCTAATGTGTCCACAAGAGAGAGGCTAGAAAGGATATTGCCATAGTTTATGTATGGTAAGGGTAT
Source organism: Homo sapiens (assembly GCF_000001405.40). Taxonomy (NCBI): domain Eukaryota; kingdom Metazoa; phylum Chordata; class Mammalia; order Primates; family Hominidae; genus Homo; species Homo sapiens. The sequence continues at coordinate 116,003,362 of NC_000011.10, forward strand.
ATTTAACTTCTTAAGAAACTGTCAAGCTGTTTTTCAAGGTGTTCGTGCCATTTTTTTTATTTCTACCAACAGGGTATGAGAGTTCCTGTAGCTTCAATTCCTTACCAACACTTGGTAATGTGTCTTTTTAATTTTAATCATTCTAGTAGGTATAATAAAGGTATCTCATGGTATGGCTTTAATTTACTTTTCCCTTATGACTAATGATGTTCAGCATCTTTTCATGGTATATATTCTTTGTGAACTGTCTTAAATGTTTACCAACATTTCATTGGATTATTTTCTTCTTATTAAGCTGGAATAAGTTCTTTACATAATCTGGATTAAAATTCCTTGTAAAATACATGTATTGAGAACATTTTATTCTAGTTTGTGGTTTACCTTTTCATTTTGCTAGTTTAAAATTTTTAAATTAGTAATTATTTTCTTTAGGGCTTTTGCTTTTTGTGTTTTATTCAAGAAATATTTGCCTACCTCAAAGTCATGACAATTTTATGCTGTGATTTTTTTGTCTGGAAATATTGTAATTTTAGCTTTTGTGTTTAGGTCTATGATCCATTTTCAGTTCATTTTTTTGTATGTTATTAGGAGAAGGCTGAGTTTTACTTTTTTTCATGTAGATATCCAGTTATCTCAGCACCATTTGTTGAAAATACTTTTCTTTCTTCAGCGATTTATCTTGTGATCTTTGTTGAAAATCAATTTACCATATATGTGAAGGTCTATTTCTGGACCTTTGATTCCTCTCCATTGATCCAAAAAACCTATCTTTATGTGAGTACCTGTGTATTACTATAGCTTTATAGTAAGTCTGGAAATCATACAATATAAATCTTTCATAGCTGTTATTTTTCAAAAAAATATTTTCACAAGTCTAAATTCATTGCATTTCCATATAAATTTTAGAATCAACTTGCTATTTTCTAAAAAAGAAGGCTGCTAGGACTTTAATAGGAATAGTTTGAAACTGTAGAGTAAATTAGGGACAACTGACATCTTAACACTATTGAGTCTTTTGATCCATGAACATGGTATGTCATGCCATTTATTTACATCTTTAAAAATCCCTCTCAACAGTATTTTGTAGTTTTCAAGATATTGATCTTGCACATATTTTGTTAAATTTATCCCTACATATTTTCATTTTTATACTAGTATTAATAATATCATTTCTTATTTCATTTTTAAATTGTTTACTGATAACATATAAAAATATAGTTAATATTGGTATATTGCCCTTGCATCTTATAAACATGATAAAGTCACATATTTGTTCTATAGATGTTATTGTAAATTCCTTATAATTTTCTGTAAAACTATAATGTCATGTGCAAATAAAGATAGTATTACTTCCTTTATTTCACTCTGTATACCTTTATTTTTAAAATTATTTATTATTTTTAGTTGTTTTTAAATTGAGGTAAAATTTACATAACATATAATTAAACATTTTAAAGTGTACGACTCAGTAGCATTTGGTACTTTCACAATGTTGTGCAACCACTACCTCTAGGTAGTTCTAAAACATTTTAATAAATCCAAAATATAACCCTCGGTCCGGCATTTCAAGATGGCCGAATAGGAAGAGCTCCAGTCTGCAGCTCCCAGTGTGAGCGACGCAGAAGATGGGTGATTTCTGCATTTCCAACTGAGGTACCGGGTTCATCTCACTGGGGAGTGTCGGACAGCAGGTGCAGGACAGTGGGTGCAGTGCACCAAGTGTGAGCTGAAGCAGGGCGAGGCATTGCCTCACCCGGGAAGCGCAAGGGGTCAGGGAATTCCCTTTCCTAATCAAAGAAAGCGGTGACAGATGGCACCTGGAAAATCGGGTCACTCCCACCCTAATACTGCACTTTTCCAATGGTCTTAGCAAACGGCACACCAGGAGATTATATCCCGTGCGTGACTCAGAGGGTCCTACGCCCACGGAGCCTTGCTCACTGCTAGCACAGCAGTCTGAGGTCAAACTGCAAGGCAACAGTGAGGCTGGGGGAGGGGCACCCCCCATTGCCAAGGCTTGAGTAGGTAAACAAAGCAGCTGGGAAGCTCAAACTGGGTGGAGCCCACCACAGCTCAAGGAGGCCTGCCTGCCTTGTAGACTCCACCTCTAGGGGCAGGGCATAACCAAACAAAAGGCAGCAGAAATCTCTGCAGACTTAAATGACCCTGTCTGACAGCTTTGAAGAGAGTAGTGGTTCTCCCAGCACGCAGCTTGAGATCTGAGAACTGACAGACTGCCTCTTCAAGTGCGTCCCTGACCCCCAAGTAGCCTAACTTGGAGGCAACCCCCAGTAGGGACAGACTGACACCTCACACGGCCGGGTACCCCTCTGAGGCAAAACTTCCAGAGGAACGATCAGGCAGCAACATTTCCTGTTCACCAATATCCACTGTTCTGCAGCCTCCGCTGCTGATACCCAGGCAAACAGGGTCTGGAGTGAACCTCCAGCAAACTCCAACAGACCTGCAGCTGAGGGTCCTGACTGTTAGAAGGAAAACTAACAAACAGAAAGGACATCCACACCAAAAACCCCATCTGTATGTCACCATCATCAAAGACCAAAGGTAGATAAAACCACGAAGATGAAGAAAAAACAGAGCAGAAAAACTGGAAACTCTAAAAATCAGAGTGCCTCTCCCCTCCAAAGGAATGCAGCTCCTCACCCGCAATGGAATAAAGCTGGATGGAGAATGACTTTGACGAGTTGAGAGAAGAAGGCTTCAGATGATCAAACTACTCCAAGCTAAAGGAGGAAGTTCGAACCCATGGCAAAGAAGTTAAAAACCTTGAAAAAAAAATTAGACGAATGGCTAACTAGAATAACCAATGCAGAGAAGTCTTTAAAGGACCTGAGGGAGCTGAAAACCAAGGCAGGAGAACTATATGACAAATGCACAAGCCTCAGTAGCCGATTTGATAACTGCAAGAAAGGGCATCAGTGATGGAAGATCAAATGAATGAAATGAAGTGAGAAGAGCAGTTTAGAGAAAAAAGAATAAAAATAAACGAACAAAGCCTCCAAGAAATATGGGACTATGTGAAAAGACCAAATCTACATCTGATTGGTGTACCTGAAAGTGACGGGGAGAATGGAACCAAGTTGGAAAACACTTTGCAGGATATTTTCCAGGAGAACTTCCCAATCTAGCAAGGCAGGCCAACATTCAAATTCAGGAAATACAGAGAACGCCACAAAGATATTCCTCAAGAAGAGCAACTCCAAGACACATAATTGTCAGATTCACCAAAGTTGAAATGAAGGAAAAAATGTTAAGGGCAGCCAGAGAGAAAGGTCGGGTTACCCACAAAGGGAAGCCCATCAGACTAACAGCTGATCTCTCGGCAGAAACTCTACAAGCCAGAAGAGAGTGGGGGCAAATATTCAACATTCTTCAACCCAGAATTTCATATCCAGCCAAACTAAGCTTCATAAGTGAAGGAGAAATAAAATACTTTACAGCCAAGCAAATGCTGAGAGATTTTATCACCACCAGGCCTGCCCTAAAAGAGCTCCTGAAGGAAGCACTAACCATGGAAAGGAACAACCGGTACCAGCCACTGCAAAAACATGCCAAATTGTAAAGACCATCAAGGCTAGGAAGAAACTGCATCAACTAACGAGCAAAATAACCAGCTAACATCATAATGATAGGATCAAATTCACACATAACAATATTAACCTTAAATGTAAATGGGCTAAATGCTCCAATTAAAAGACACAGACTGGCAAATTGGATAAAGATTCAAGACCCATCAGTGTGCTGTATTCAGGAAACCCATCTCACGTGCGGAGACACACATAGGCTCAAAATAAAGGGATGGAGGAAGATCTACCAAGCAAATGGAAAACAAAAAAAGGCAGGGGTTGCAATCCTAATCTCTGATAAAACAGACTTTAAACCAACAAAGATCAAAAGAGACAAAGAAGGCCATTACATAATGGTAAAGGAATCAATTCAACAAGAAGAGCTAACTATCCTAAATATATATACACCCAATACAGGAGCACCCAGATTCATAAAGGAAGTCCTTAGAGACCTAGAAAGAGACTTAGACTCCCACACAATAATAATGGGAGACTTTAACACCCCACTCAACATTAGACAGATCAACGAGACAGAAAGTTAACAAGGATATCCAGGAATTAAACTCAGCTCTGCACCAAGCAGACCTAATAGAAATCTACAGAACTCTCCACCCCAAATCAACAGAATATACATTCTTTTCAGCACCACACCACACCTATTCCAAAATTGACCACATAGTTGGAAGTAAAGCACTCCTCAGCAAATGTAAAAGAACAGAAATCATAACAAACTGCCTCTCAGACCACAGTGCAATCAAACTAGAACTCAGGATTAAGGAACTCACTCAAAACCACTCAACTACATGGAAACTGAACAACCTGCTCCTGAATGACTACTGGGTACATAATGAAATGAAGGCAGAAATAAAAACGTTCTTTGAAACCAACAAGAACAAAGACACAACATACCAGAATCTCTGGGACACATTCAAAGCAGTGTGTAGAGGGAAATTTATAGCACTAAATGCCCACAAGAGAAAGCAGGAAAGATCTAAAATTGACACCCTAACATCACAATTAAAAGAACTAGAGAAGCAAGAGCACACACATTCAAAAGCTAGCAGAAGGCAAGAAATAACTAAGATCAGAGCAGAACTGAAGGAGATAGAGACACAAAAATCCCTTCAAAAAATCAATGGATTCAGGAGCTGGTTTTTTGAAAAGATCAACAAAATTGATAGACCACTAGCTAGACTAATAAAGAAGAAAAGAGAGAAGAATCAAATAGATGCAATAAAAAATGATAAAGGGGATATCACCACTGATCCCACAGAAATACAAACTACCATCAGAGAATACTATAAACACCTCTATGCAAATAAACTAGAAAATCTAGAAGAAATGGATAAATTCCTCGACACATACACTCTCCCAAGACTAAACCAGGAAGAAGTTGAGTCTCTGAATAGACCAATAACAGACTCTGAAAGTGAGGCAATAATCAATAGCTTACCAACCAAAAAAAGTCCAGGACCAGATGGATTCACAGCCAAATTCTACCAGAGGTACAAGGAGGAACTGGTACCATTCCTTCTGAAACTATTCCAATCAATAGAAAAAGAGGGAATCCTCCCTAACTCATTTTATGAGGCCAGCATCATCCTGATACCAAAGCCTGGCAGAGACACAACAAAAAAAGAGAATTTTAGACCAACATCCTTGATGAACATCGATGCAAAAACCCTCAATAAAATACTGGATTCGGCAAACCGAATCCAGCAGCACATCAAAAAGCTTATCCAACATGATCAAGTGGGCTTCATCCCTGGGTTGCAAGGCTGGTTCAACATACGCAAATCAATAAATGTAATCCAGCATATAAACAGAACCAAAGACAAAAACCACGTGATTATCTCAATAGATGCAGAAAAGGCCTTTGACAAAATTCAACAACCCTTCATGCTAAAAACTCTCAATAAATTCGGTATTGATGGGACATATCTCAAAATTATAAGAGCTATCTATGACAAACCCACAGCCACTATCATACTGAATGGGCAAAAACTGGAAGCATTTCCTTTGAAAACTGGCACAAGACAGGAATGCCCTCTCTCACCACTCCCATTCAACATAGTGTTGGAAGTTCTGGCCAGGGCAATCAGGCAGGAGAAGGAAATAAAGGGTATTCAATTAGGAAAAGAGGAAGTCAAATTGTCCCTGTTTGCAGATGACATGATTGTATATCTAGAAAACGCCATTGTCTCAGCCCAAAATCTCCTTAAGCTGATAGGCAACTTCAGCAAAGTCTCAGGATACAAAAGCAATGTGCAAAAATCACAAGCATTCTTATACACCAGTAACAGAAAAACAGAGAGCCAAATCATGAATGAACTCCCATTCACAATTCCTTCAAAGAGAATAAAATATCTAGGAATCCAACTTACAAGGGATGTGAAGGACCTCTTCAAGGAGAACTACAAACCACTGCTCAATGAAATAAAAGAGGATACAAACAAATGGAAGAACATTCTATGCTCATGGGTAGCAAGAATCAATATCGTGAAAATGGCCATACTGCCCAAGGTAATTTATAGATTCAATGCCATCTCCATCAAGCTACCAATGACTTTCTTCACAGAATTGGAAAAGACTACTTTAAAGTTCATATGAAACCAAAAAAGAGCCCACGTCGCCAAGTCAATCCTAAGCCAAAAGAACAAAGCTGGAGGCATCATGCTACCTGACTTCAAACTATACTACAAGGCTACAGTAACCAAAACAGCATGGTACTGGTACCAAAACAGAGATATAGACCAATGGAACAGAACACAGCCCTCAGAAATAATGCCACATGTCTACAACTATCTGATCTTTGACAAACCTGACAAAAACAAGAAACGGGGAAAGGATTCCCTATTTAATAAATGGTGCTGGGAAAACTGGCTAGCCATATGTAGAAAGCTGAAACTGGATCCCTTCCTTACACCTTATACAAAAATTAATTCAAGATGGATTAAAGACTTACATGTTAGACCTAAAGCCATAAAAACCCTAGAAGAAAACCTAGGCAATACCATTCAGGACATTGGCTTGGGCAAGGACTTCATGTCTAAAACACCAAAAGCAATGGCAACAAAAGCCAAAATTGACAAATGGGATCTAATTAAACTCAAGAGCTTCTGCACAGCAAAAGAAACTACCATCAGAGTGAACAGGCAGCCTACAGAATGGGAGAACATTTTTGCAACCTACTCATCTGACAAAGGGCTAATATCCAGAATCTACAATGAACTCAAACAAATTTACAAGAAAAAAACAAACAACCCCATCAAAAAGCAGGCAAAGGATATGAACAGACACTTCTCAAAAGAAGACATTTATGCAGCCAAAGGACACATGAAAAAATGCTCATCATCACTGGCCATCAGAGAAATGCAAATCAAAACCACAATGAAATATCATCTCACACCAGTTAGAACAGTGATCATCAAAAAGTCAGGAAACAACAGGTGCTGGAGAGGATGTGTAGAAATAGGAACACTTTTACACTGTTGGTGGGACTGTAAACTAGTTCAACCATTGTGGAAATCAGTGTGGCGATTCCTCAGGGATCTAGAACTAGAAATACCATTTGACCCAGCCATCCCATTACTGGGTATATCCCCAAAGGATTACAAAACATGCTGCTATAAAGACACATGTACACGTATGTTTATCACGGCACTATTCACAATAGCAAAGACTTGGAACCAACCCAAATGTCCAACAATGATAGACAGATCAAGAACATGTGGCACATGTACACCATGGAATACTATGCAGCCATAAAAAATGATGAGTTCATGTCCTTTGTAGGGACATGGATGAAGCTGGAAACCATCATTCTCAGCAAACTATTGCAAGGACAAAAAACCAAACACCGCATGTTCTCACTCACAGGTGGGAACTGAACAATGAGAACACATGGACACAGGAAGGGGAACATCACACACCGGGGCCTGTTGTGGGGTGGGGGGAGGCAGGAGGGATTGCATTATGAGATATACCTAATGTTAAATGACGAGTTAATGGGTGCAGCACACCAACATCGCACATGTATACATATGTAACAAACCTGCACGTTGTGCTCATGTACCCTAAAACTTAAAGTATATTAAAAAAAACAAAAAAAACAAAACAACAACAAAAAAATATGTAACCCTCTGCCAATTAAGCAATTACTCTCCACTTTCCCCAACCCTACCTCTCCTCCTCTCTAACCCCTAGGAACCACTAATCTGCTTCCTATCTTTACAAATTTACAAATTATGGGTATTTTATATAAGTGGAATTATATAATATGTAATCTTTTCTGACTTCTTAACATAACATTTTTGAGGTTCATCCACATTGCAGCACATATTAGTACTTTATTCCTTTTTATAACTAAATTATATTTTATTGTATGTATATACCATAATTTGTTTATCCATTCTTCCGTTGATAGATGTTTGTGTTGTTTCCACATTTTGACTACTGTGAATAATACGGCTATCAGCAACTGTGTACATGTGTTTGTTTGAGTTCCTGTTTTCAGTTATATGAGATATATACCTAGGAGCATAGAATTGGTGGGTCATATGGTAACTTTATCTTTAACCACCAAACTGTTTTCCACAGCAGCAGCACAATCTTACATTCCCACCAGCAATGCACAAGAGTTCCAATTTCTCCACATCTTTACCAGTACTTGTAAATTTTTATCTTTTTTATTATCGCTGTCCTGATGGGTATGAAGTATTACCTCATTGTGGTTTTGATTTACGTTTTCTTTGTAACTAATGACACTGAGCAACTTTTCTTTCCCTTTTTGTTATGTATTTTTAGATAAAAATTATTCAGCTTTATTGAAGTATGATCAACAAATAAAATTATATATGTTAACGTATGATGTATGATGTGATGATTTGATATGTGTTTGCACTGTGGAGTGATTACCTCAATCAAGTTAACACATCCACCACCTCACATTGTTATCTTTTTTAAAAAAAAAGTTGAAGAATACAATACGGTATTATTAACGATAGTCACCATGCAGGATATTATATCCTCAGAACTTATTTACCTATAACTAAAAGTTTGTACCCTTTGACCAACATCTCCTCATTTTTCCTACCCCTGCCCCAGCCCCTTGGCAACCACCATTCCACTCTCTGCTTCTATGAGTTCAACTTTTTTTTCTTACGATTCCACATATAAGTGATACCATACAGCATTTGTCTTTCTCTGTCTGGCTTATTTCACTTAGCATAAGGGCCTGCGGTTTCATCCGCATTATCACAAATAGTAGAATTTCCTGCTTTCTAATGACAAATAATATTCTGTCGTATGCATACGTCACATTTTCTTTATTCGATTATTCATGGATTGCTGCTTAGGTCATTTTTATATCTTAGCTACTGTCAACAATGCTAAAATAAACATAGGAATGTTGATAACTTTTCAAGATACTGATTTTGTTTCCTTTGGATATGTACCCAGGCATGAGGTTGCTAGATCATATGGTAGTTCTATTTTTAACGTTTTGAGGACCCTCCATGCTGTTTTTCATAATGGCTGTACCAATTTACATTCCCACCAAGAGGATATAAGGATTGCCTTTATTCCACATCCTTGCCAACACTTGTTATCTCTGGTCTTTTTGAATAGCCATTTTAACAGATGTGAGGTAATATCTCATTGTGGTTTTGTGTTTCCCAGATGATTAGTGACTTTGAATACCTTCTCATGTACCTCTTAGCCATCTATATGCCTTTAAAAATCAGTTTTATTGAAGTAGAACTGATATAAAATAGACCACACTTATTTAAAGTGTACAATTTGATAAGTTTGACACATGTATATAATCATAAAGCCATTGCCACAATCAGGATAATGAACATATTTAACATAACCAAAAGTTTTCTCATGCCCCCTTGTATGCCTGCCATTCTCATCCTTACAGGCAACTACTGACACGCTATCTGTAATTATACACTAGTTTGCAATATCTGGAGTTTTAATAAACAGGATATAGTGCAAATTATTTTGGTGTCTAGCTTCTTCCACTCAACATAGTTATTTTGAGATTCATTCATGTTTTAAATAGATCATTTTATTTATGAGTAGTATTCTATTGTATACCACGAGGATTTTCTCTGGTGTTTTTAAAATTTATTTTAAAATATTTAATTGATAAATAAAGATTGTATATTTTCAAGATGTATAATGTGATAATTTGATATATGTATACATTGTGTAATGATTGGCACAATCAAATCAACACACCCATCACCACCCATGCTGTACATTAGATTCCCAGAACTAGTGAATCTTATAACTAAAAATGTGTACTTTGTGATTAATTTCCCACAACCCCTTTTACCCCCTAGCCACTGACAACCATCATTCAACGTGTTACTATGAATTGGACCTTTTTAGATTCCATATATAAGTAAGATCATAGAGTGACTTTCTTTCTGTGTCTGGCTTTTCCCACTTAGCATAATGTCCTCCAGGTTCATCCATATTGTTGCAAATGGCAGGATTTATTTCTTTATCATAGCTGGAGAATATTCTATTATGTGTGTATGTGTGTGCATATATATTATATATGTATAATATATATATACAAGTATATTATATACATATATTATTACATATAAAATATAGGTATAGTATATGTAGAAATATAATATAAATTAGATATAATGAATATATATATATTAATTCTTAACTCATTCATCTGTCAATGGCACTTAGATTGTTTCCATATCTTGGCTATTATAAATAATGCTGCAGTGAATATGAGAGTGCAGATATCTCTTTGAGATACTGATTTCATTTCCTTTGGACATATACCCAGAAGTAAAGTTGTTGGGTTTCCTGGTAGTTCTATTTTAAAATGTTTGAGGAATTTCCACACTTTTCCATAATGGCTATATCAATTTACAATCCTGCCAACAGTATTCAAGGGTTTTAATTTTTTCACAGCCTCACCAACACTTACCTCTTGTCTTTTTGAATAGCCACTCTAACAAGTGTGAGATGATAGCTCAGTGTGATTTTGATTTGCATTCCTCTAAAGATAGTGATGTTAAGTAACTTTCCATATACCTGTTTGGCATTTGTATATCTTCTTTGGAAAATTGTCTGTTCAGAGCCTTTGCCCATTTATTAAAAATCAGCTATTTTTTTGTTTTGCTGTTCAGCTGTGTGCATTCTTTATGTATTTTGGATATTAACCACTTATCAGATACATGCTTTGAAAATATTTTACCAGTTCTCTAGGTTGCCTTTTCATTTTGTTGATTGTTTCCATTGCTGTGTGGAAGATTTTTAGTTTGATGTACTCCCTCTTGTGTATTTTTACTTTTGTAGCCTGTGTGTTTGATATCATATTCAAAAACTCATTTTCATAGCCAGTATCAAAAACCTTTTTTTCCTGTTTTCTTCTAGAAGTTTTATAGTTTCAGATATTACATTTAAGTCTTTAATCCATTTGGGGTTAATATTTGTATATAGCAATATACAAGAGTCCAGTTTCATTCTTTTGTATGTGGCTATCCATTTTTCCCATAGCCATTTATCAAAGAAACTTTTTTTTCTCCCATTGTATATCTTCATTGTGAGCTCTTGTCAAAGATTAGTTGACCACATATGGATGAGTTTACTTCTGGGCTCTCTATTCTGTTTCATTGGTCTATGAATCTCTTTTTTATGCCAATATCACACTGTTTTGATGACCGTAACTTTGTAATATAGGGAAATTAGGGAGTGTGAGGCCTCCAGCTTTTTGGTTAATTGCTTTGGCTTTTCAAGGTTTCTTATTGTTCCCTACACATTTAAGTATTTTTTTTCTATTTTTGAGAAAAATGCTTTGGAGTTTTGATAGAAATTGAATTAAATCTGTGTATCACCTTGGATAACATGGAAATTTTAACAATATTTATTCTTCCAGTCTATGAACCTATCTTTCAATTTACTTGTGCCTTCTTCAATTTCTTTTATCAATGTCATAGTTTTTAGTGTACAGATATTTCATCTCCTTCTAAATAATTTGTTCTTTTTGATGCTATTGTTAAGTGGAATTATTTTTTAGAATTTCATTTTTGGGCAGTTTGTTAGTGTATAGAAACAGAAGTGTATAGAAACAATTTCTTTCCTTTTTGAACAGTTTGTTGTCAGTGTATAAAAACAAAAGTAACTTTTGTATACTGATTTTGTATTCTGCAACTTCACTGAATTTGTTTATTACAGATATTTTGTAGTCATTAGGATTTTCTACATATAAGATAATGTCATCTGAAAACAGAGACAATTTAACTTTTTCTTTTCTATCTTGGATGCCTTTCATTTCTTTTTCTAACCTAATTGCTCTGGCTGGGACTTCAAGTATTATGTTTAATATAAGTGGTGAGAGTAAGCACCCTTGTCTTTTTCCTGATCTTAGAGAAAAGTTTCCATCTTCTCACCATTGAGTATGGAGTTACCTATGGGCTTGCCATATATAGTCTTTATTATGTTGAAGTACATTCCTTTCACATCTAATTTGTTGAAAGACTTTATCATAAAAAGATGTTAAATTTTGTCAAATACTTTTTCTGCATCCATTGAGATGACCATATGATTCTTTATCTTGTTAATATGGTGTATCACATTTTTAATTTGCATATGTCAATTGCATATGTCAAACCATCCATGCATCTCAAGGATAAATTATGTTTGATTATAGTGTTTTAGCCATTTAATGTGCTGTTTGAGTTTAGTAGTATGTTGTTGAGGATTTTTGCATCATATTAGTCAAGGTATTGGCCTATAATTTTCTTTTCTTGTAGTGTCCTTATCTGGCTTTGGTATGACACTAATGCTAGCCTCATAAAGTGAGTTTGAAAGTGTTACCTTCTCTTCAATTTTTTTAAAGAGTTTGAAATGAATTGGCCTTGGATCTTTTTCAAAAAAGAATTCACCCACGAAGCCATTTGGCTCTGAGCTTTCCTTTGTTGGGAGGTTTTTGATTACTGATTCAATCTCCTTATTTATTGGTCTGTTCAGATTTTCTATTTCTTTATCATTCACTCTTGGTAAGTTGTAGGTTTCTAGGAATTTATCCATTTCTTCTGTTATCTAATTTGTTGGTGTATAATTTTTCATAGTATTCTCTTATGATCCTTTCTATTTCTGTGATGTCAATCATAATGCCACCTTTTTAACTTATGATTTTATTTGAGTCCTTTTTATTTTTTGTGATTAGTCGAGTTAGAGGTTTGTCAATTTTGTTTATATTTTCAAAAAATCAACTCTTACTTTTTTAAACTTTTCTATTATCTTTCTAGTGTCTATTTTTTTCTCTAATATTTATTCTTTCCTTCTGCTTACTTTAGGGTGAGTTTTTCTTCTTTTTCTAATTGAGATATAAAATTACATTGCTTATTTGAGATCTTTCTTCTTTATTAAAGTAGGCAGGTGTTGCTATAAACTTTTCTCTTAGCACAGCTTTAGCTGTACCCCATAAGTTTCTGTATGTTAGGTTTCCATTTTCCTTCGTTTCAAGATATTTTAAAATTTTCTTTTTAATTTTTTCTTTGACTTATTATTTGTTCGGGGGTGTCCTGTTTAATTTCCACATGTGTGTCAATTTTCCAAAATTCCTCCTGTTACTAACTTCTAGTTTTATAACACTGTGGTCAGAAAAGATACTTGAGTTGATTTCAGTCTTCTTAAACTTGTTAAAATTTGTTTTGTATGCCAACATATGATTCATACTGCAGAATACTTCATGTGCTCTTAAGAAGAATATGTATTCCACTAGTGTTGGATGAAATATTCTTTATATGTCCGTTAGGTCCATTTGGTCTATAGCATTATTCATTTATGATGTTTCCTTATTGATTTTTTGTCTCGATGATCTGTTCATTGTTGAAAGTGGGATATTGAAGTCCCCTTCCATAAGCATATTGCTGTGTGTTTCTCCCTTCAGTTCATTAATATTTTCTAATATACACAGGTGCCCCAGTGTTAGGTGCATGTATATTTACAATTGTTATGTCCTTTTGATGAATTGACAACTGTATCATCAAATAGTGATTTTTTTGCCTCTTGTGACAGATTTTGACTGAAAATCTATTTTGTCTAGTGTAAGAATAGTTGCTCTTGCTGTCTTTTGGTTAACATTTACATGGAATAACTTTTTCCAACTCTCACTTTCAATCTATATGTGTCCTTAGGCTAAAGTGAGTCTCCTGTAGGTACCATATTGTTCAGTCTTTTTTTGTAGTTGTTGTTTTAAATCCATTTAGTCACTCTATCTTTTAATTGAGGAATTAATTCATTTACACTTAAAGTAATTATTAACAGGTCAGAACTTACTATTGCCATTTTGTCAATTGTTTACTGACTACATTGTAATTCCTTTATTTTTCTCTTCTAATCTTGCTATCTTTCGTGTAATTTGTTAAATTTTTTGTAGTGGTATGTCTTGATGTCTTTCCTTTTATCTTGTAGGTATAGGTATTTTTCTTTGTGGTTACCATGGGGCTTGCATAAAACATAATTATAATATTCAAATTTAAGCCAATAACAACTAATCTTCAATTGCATAAAAAAACTCTACACTTTTGTTTCTCTGCCCTCCACACACATTTTATGCTATTGATGCCACAATTTGCACCTTTTTTATTGTGTAACCATTTATGCATTATTATAGTATAGTATATTTTTAATACTTTTATCTTTTAACTTTTAAACTAGAGTTAAAAGTGATTTATAGACTACCATGACAGTATTACAGTATTCTGAATTTGACTATGTATTTATTTTTACGAATAAGAGTTATAATTTCATATGTTTTCATGTTGTTACTTCAGTTTCCTTTTATTTCTACTCAAAAACTCCTTTTAGCATTTCTTATAAGGCAGGTTTCGTGGTGATAAGCTTCCTCAGCCATTTTTTAAATACATTTTATCATTTATACTTGAGATTTACAACATACATGTAGATAGTAAAATGATTACTATAGTGAAGCAAATTAACAATGTCTATCATTTCACATAGTTACTCTCTGTGATAAGAACAGCTAAAATCTACTTATTTAACAAAAATCCCTAATTCAATACAATTTTACTAACTACAGTCCTCAAATTGTTCATTAGACCTCTAGTCTTGTTTATTCTACATATCTGCCACTTTGTATCTTTTGACTTATATCTCCCCATTTCCTCCCCTCCACCCCATTTCTGATAACCACTGTTTCATTCTCTATGTCTGTATATTTGACTTTTTTTGTTTTTAGATTCCACATTAAAGTGAGATGCAATATTTGTCTTTCTGTGTCTGGCTTATTTTACTTAGCACACTGTCATTCAGGTCTATCCATGATTTAGCAAATGGTAGAGTCTCCTTTTTTAAGGTTGAGTAATATGTTGAATATTATTTAAATATGCATATTTTTCACATTTTTAAATTCATTCATTCATTGATGTACACTTAGGTTGTTTGCATATCTTGGCTATTGTAAATAATGCTACCATGAACATGGGAATACAGATATTTTTACAAGGTAGTTGTATTAGGCCATTCTCACATTGCTATAAAGAAATACCTGAGACTGGACAATTTATTTTTAAAAGAGGTTTGATTGGCTCATGGTTATTCAGACTGTACAGGAAGCATAATGCTGGCTTCTGCTCAGCTTCTGGAGAGGCCTCAGAAAACTTACAATCATGGTGGAAGGTGGAAGGCAAAGGGGTAACAGGCACATTACATGGCAAAAGCAGGAGCAAGAGAGTGAGGTGGGAGGTGCCACACACTTTTAAATGACCAGATCTTGTGAGAACTCACTCACAGTTTGTAAAAATCAATTGATTATATATCTGTGGATCTATGTTTAGTTTTGTTTTTTTTTTTTTGCCAGTACCACATGGTGTCAATTACCATGGTTCTTTATACTAAGTCTCATACTCTTACTCTAAGTCTTTTAACTTTGTGTTTTTTTGTGCTCTAAGTATATTAGTTATCTATGGCTGCATAGCAATCTGCCTAACACTTAGAGGCTTAAAACAATAAACATTTATTATCTCACAATTTTTGTCAGTCAGGAATTTAGAGCAGCTTAGTTGGGTTTTTCTAGATAAGATTCTCTCATAAAGTTGAAACAGAGATATCAGCCCAAACTACAGTCATCTGAAGGCTTGATTGGGCTAGAAGACTTATTTTCAATTTCACTTAGATGTTGGCGAGGGGCATCAGTGTCTCACCACTTAGACATCTCCATAAGGCTTCTCACAATATGACAGCTAGCTTCCCCAAAAATGAATGGGGTGTGTGTGTGTGTGTGTGTGTGTGTGTGTGTGTGTGTGTGTGTGTGTTAGAGAGAGAGAGTTAGAGAGAGAGAGAGAGAAGGAGAAAATGTAAAAGGGTGTCTTCTGACCAATAGAACATGGTAGAACTAATAGTATGTCACCTCCAAATTTGGTTAATTCTGCCATATTCTATTAGTTCTACCATATTCTATTGGTCACACAGAGACTAATCTGAATACCAGGATCATTAGGGGTTATCTTGGGGACTGATTACCACAAAAGATTCATTGCCCATCTATATAAACTTCAGAATGAACTTGTTAATTCTTACTCTACCTGCTAAGAAAAGAACTTGTTATAGTTTTCATAAGACTCCATTGAATCTATAGATTAATTTAGGTAAACTGATGTGTAACAATATTGAGTCTTCCAATCTATGAACACAATATTATCGTGTTTCATTTACTTAGGTCTTCCTTGATTACTGTCATTAATGTTTTATAATTTTCAGCATAAAAATATTACATATATTTTGTTAGATTTATCCTTTATGATTCATGGTTTGTGTTGGCATTATATATGGTACTCTTTTTATAAATTTAACTTTCCAATTGTGCATTGCTAGCATATAGAAAACAACTAATATTCAAAAATCTGTATTCTGCAAACTTGCTAAACTCACTTATTAATTTTAATAGCTTTTCAGATTCTTTAGGATATTCTATACAGAAGTTTATGTTTTCTGAAAATTTCAAGAATTTTACTTCTCTTCTAATTGTATGCTTTTGTTTCCTTTTCTTTCTTTATTGCACTGTTGGGGTCCTCCAGCACAATATTTAAGAGCGGTAAGAGTAGACATCCTTGCCTTTTTCCTGACCTGAGTTATAGGTCTTCAAAGCTGCCATTTATCAATTAGAGAATGTTCCCTTTTGTTCCCTTTTGCTGAGAGTTGTTATCAAGAATACGTGTTGGATTTTGTCAAATCATTTTCCTATACATATTATCATGGTCAAATGTTTTTCTTTAGCCCATTGAATTGTAGATTACATTGATTAATTTGTAAATGCTGTACTGACCTTGCATCCTGAGATAAACTCCACTTGGTCATAATGTATTATCCTTTTTGTATATTACTAGATCAATTTATTAATATTTTATCAAGAAGTTTTGCATCCAAGTTCATGAGGGATATTTGTCTGTTGTTTTCTTGTAATGTTTGGTTTTTGTGTAAGGATAATGCTGACCTCATAAAGTGTTTCCTCTTCTTTTATTTCCTGCAAAAATTTGTGCAGAACTGGTATTTTTTTCCTTAAATGTTTAGTAGAATTCACCAGTGAAATCACCTGAGACTGTAGTTTCTTTTTGTTGGGAGATATTCAGGTTATCTGTTTTCTGAGTGAGCTTGTGCTAAGTTTATGTCTTTCATGAAATGTATTGACTTTTTTTTATGTTTTCAAATTTATTGACACAGTGTTGTTCAAAACATGTCTTTATTATCTTTTTAATATCAGTGTGATCTGTATGATGTTTTCTCTTTCATTTGTGTTATTGTTTATTTCTATCTTTCTTTTGTTCTTGATCAGGTTTGGCTAGAGGTTTGTCAATTTTATTGATCTTTTCAAAGAACTTTTGATTTTGTTTTTTTCTCTATTGTTTTACTATTTTTATTTATTTTTACTCATAATTATTATTTCTTCCCTTCTGTTTTTTGTTTAATCTTTTCTTCTACTTTTGGTTTCTTAAAGTAAAAACTTAGGTAATTTATTCAAAACCTTTTTTATTGTCTAATATAAATATTTAATGCTATAAATTTATTTATAAGCACTTATTTTACCTGCATATCAAAAGTTATGCTTCAATTTCCATTAAATCCAAAATTGTTACTAATTTTCCCTGTGATTTCCTCTTTGATACATTGGTTATTTGCAAGTACAGTGTTTAATTTCCAAATACCTGGGGATTTTCTAGATACCATTCTACTATTGACTTCTATTTTAATTGTATCATGGTCAGAGAATATGTTTCTTAAAATTTTAATTAAATTTTTTGTTTTTATTGTTTTCATGGCCCAAAACATGATCTATTTTAACAAACATTCCATATACACTTGAAAAACATGTATATTCTGTTATTGTTGGATAGAATGTTATATAAATTTTAATTAGGTTATGTTGGTTAATAATACTGCTCATGGCAATTTAATCTTACTATTTTCTGTCTACTTGTTCTATTAATTAATGAGAGATTATGAAGCCTTTGACTATAATTATAGATTTCTCTCTTCTGTAAGTTCTATCAGCTTTTGCTTTGTGTATTTTGAAATATATTATTAGGTGCATAAACATTTAGAATTATTAGTCTTCTTAATACATTTATCAAGAGTATAGTTTTCAGCCAAAGACTCAAGGGAATTCCTATGCTGTTTTCTGGAGCTCTTTATCTGTATAGCTTCCCCTCTTCAGTATTCGGTCTTGTAAATTTTTGCCACCCCAATCTCACTGAACTCTGATCTCTAACTTCTCAACTCAGCAAGACCATGAGGCTGTTTTGGCTCACAGGTCAGGAATTGCTTCAGTGAAGAAAGCCATGGTGATTGTATGGCTCCCTTGGTTTGTTTCCTTTCTCTCAGGGATTACAGTCCTGCCTATCTCCTGTTCAAGATCTGAAAAATGTTGTTTTACATATGTTGTCCAGTTTTCTAGTTGTTGATGTTGTCAGTTCTTTATAGCCAGAGTGGAATTTGCTATATTAGATTTTTATCTTCCACTTTATTAGGTGTATTGCCCAGTTGCTTTCAGCTATACTCCTTTAACAATGTTTAAGAGTTTCTTAATTTCTCTCTTTTTTTTTTTTTAGTTTCTAAATTTCTCACCACCACTTACTTTTGTAAATCCAATAGATGTCAAGTGACAGCCGATTTTTTTAAGTTTGTATTTCCTGATTACTAGTGAGGATAAGCACCTTTCTTTTTATATGTTTTTGGATATAAATTTCCCCAGGGTATATGTCTTAGTAATGGTGAACATATATCTTTGTTTACTGAGGAAGTCCCAGGGTATATTTTAGGGTAGATAAATATCATTCGATGTCATATTATTTATTGTGTTTACTGATATTTGGATTTAATTATACTTTTCATTGTTTTGTTCTTCCCCAGACTTTTCTGCTTTCTCTTGCTTTTAATTTGATTGATTGCATTTCTTTTTAATTCCCTTCTTTTATGCATTATATTCCTATTTTCTATGTGTTTGTGGTTAGCTTTACATTTTTAACATAACTGCTGACTTGAAAAATCTAAAGTTAATCGATATTTGTACTCTAAACAAAACAAGAAAGTTTGAACATTTTAACTTCCAACTATTATGCTAAAAATATTTTACTTGATGTTATCGCTCACTATTTTATTTTCCACCTTCTTTTTGTAGTCCTCAAGTTATTTATTTTTATAATTATTATTTTATATAACCCTTGTTGCTAATGTTGCCCCTGTGTTCACCAGTTTATTTACTCAGCATTATTTTTGCACCTTGCTCTTTCCTTCTGGGTTCAATTCCTTTCTTTAATTTTTCTCTCAGCAGGATTCTAGGAGTTATAGATTCACTTAACCCTTATTTTTCTGAATATATCTTTATTTCTCCTTCACTTTTTGAATGACAGTTTAGATAGGTACAAAATTTTTTGTTGGCAATTATTTTTCTTTGGCATTTTGAAGATATTACATTATTTTCTATAGTAAACTCTCAGTTTCCTTTTATAAATTTCTTTTTGTCTTTGGCATTTGGCAGTTTCATTATGATGTGACTAGTTATGGGTTTATTTTTATTTATTCTGCAAGATCTTTGCACTTTTAAAACATGATTAATTAAGTTTGCTATCCATTCTGGGCAACTTTGCCTTTTATGCATTATTTTAGTTCTTTACTTCTGGAACTCCTATTGGGCATTTATTGAGGATTTATTATTCAATTCTCTATTTTTCTATTTTTCATCTGCTATGGTTTGATTTTATTCCCCAAAGTTCATGTGTTGGAAACATAATACCAGTGTTGAGAGGTGAAACCTTTAAGAGATGATACGGATCATGGTGGACAGGAGGCAGGACTAGATTGCAGCTCCAGACAGAGCAGCTTGCAGAAGCTCGCATTGTGAATTTTAGCTCCAAATTGACTGCAAGAACAAACCAGCAATCCCGAGAGGACCCACAGACCCTCTAAAGGAAGCGGACTGCTCCTGCATGACCCAGGAGACACCCCAAATACTGTGAGTGTGGAAATGAGAAAGGAAGACCCTCCTCTCCTGAACATATACCCCCACTGTAGAAGCTGAAGGTCTGTTTGTAGGAGAAGTTGCTGACTTTAGCTGGAGCTGAGTCAATTTAGAGAACCAAGTGAAATACAGGGGTAGAGGAAGCAGCAGAAAGGCCCTTGGAGCTCACTGCATCCCCTAGTAGGCCATTCTTACCTGGCACCACAGGGATCCATCGGGAGGGTGACCAGAGGAGTAGGGGGTGAAACTCCACAGGAAAAAGGACATCTCTAGCTGAACTTTGCAACAATTTGAAAGGGGTGAGGAGCCTTCTGGCCAGAACTTGGGGGAGGGTGCAAATCCAGTGTGCAGACTCCATAGGCAGGGGAGGAACCAATCCCTTTTCTTTCACAGCTAGAAGGCTGGTAGCCCAGGGCAAGTTTTCAAGCCCATCATGCCCTCTGCCTGGAAATAGACTCGGGGCTGTTGGGGTGAAGGACATGGTGGGAATGAGACCGGCCCTTCAGTTTACATGGGAGCTGGGTAAGGCCTGTGACTGCCAGCTTTCCCCCACTTTCCTGATGACCTGTATGACTCAGCAAAGGCAGCCATTATCCTGCTAGGTACACAACTCCAATGACCTGAGGATCTCACTCCCATTCCCCACAGCAGCTGCAGCAAGACCTGCCCAAGGAGAGTCTGAGCTCACACACACCTAGCCCCACCCCCACCTGATGGTCCTTCCCTATCCTCTCTGGTAGCAGAAGACAAAAGGCATATAATCTTGGGATTATATTGGCCCTGCCCACCACTGGTTCCTCTCTATATTACTACAGCTGATGCTTTCTAGAACCATCACAAAAATAGAGCATTAAACCACCAAAGCTAAGAACTCTCATGGAGTCTATTGCACCCCCCACTGCCACCTCCACCAGTACAGGCCCAGGTATCCATGGCTGAGAGACTCATAGACGGCTCACATCACAGAACTCTGTGCAGACAACCCCCAGTACCAGCCCACGGCTGGGTAGACTTATTGGGTGGCTAGACCCAGAAGAAAGACAATAATCACTGCAGTTTGGCTCACAGGAAGCCACATCCATAGGAAAAGGGGGAGAGTACTACATCAAGGGAACATCCCGTGGGACAAAAGAATCTGAACAACAGCCTTCAACCCCAGACCTTCCCTCTGATAGGGCCTACCCAAATGAGAAGGAACCAGAAAATCAACCCTGGTAATATGACAAAACAAGGCTCTTCAACACCCCCAAAAATCATACTAGTTCATCAGCAATGGATCCAAACCAAAAAGAAATCCCTGATTTACCTGAAAAATAATTCAGGAGGTTAGTTATTAAGGTAATCAGGACCAAAGAAAGGCAAAGCCCAATGCAAGGAAATCCAAAAAATGGCACAAGAAGTGAAGGGAGAAACATTCAAGGAAATAGATAGCTTAAAGAAAAAACAATAAAAAATTCAGGAAACTTTGGACACACCTGTAGAACTGCAAAATGCTCTAGACAATCTCAGCAATATAATTGAATAAGTAGAACAAAGAAATTCAGGGCTCAAAGACAAAGTCTTCTAACTAACCCAATCCAACCAAGACAAAGAAAGAAGAATAAGAAAATATGAGCAAAGACCCCAAGAAGCCTAGGATTATGTTAAATGCCCAAACTTAAGAATAATCAGTGTTGTTCCTCAGAAAGAAGAGAATTCTAAAAGCTTGGAAAACATATTAGGGGAAATAATTGAAGAAAACTTCCTCAGCCTTGCTAGAGACCTAGACATCCAAATACAAGAAGCAAGAAGCACAAAGAACACCTGGGAAATTCATCACAAAAAGATCTTCACCTAGGCACATTGTCATCAGGTTACCTAAAGTTAAGACAAAGGAAAGAATCTTAACAGCTGTGAGACAGAAGTACCAGGTAACCTATAAAGGAAAATCTATCAGATTAACAGCAGATTTCTAAGCAAAACCCTACAGGCTAGAAGGAATTGGGGCCATATTTTCAGCCTCTTCAAACAAAACAATTATCAGCCAAGAATTCTGAATGCAGAGAAACTAAGCATCATATATGAAGGAACGATACAGTCATTTTCAGACAAACAAATGCTGACAGAATTTGCCATTACCAAGCAACCATTAGAAGAACTGCTAAAAGGAGCTCTAAATCTTGAAACAAATCCCAGAAACACATCAAAACAGAACCTCTTTAAAGCATATATCACACAGGACCTATAAAACAAAAATACAATTTAAAAATCTAAAACACAAAGCAAAAAAACCAAAGTACACAGACCACAAAAAGCACAATGAATGCAAAGGTACCTCATTTTCAATACTAACATTGAATGTAAATGGCCTAAATGCTCCACTTAAAAGTTACAGAACTGCAGAATGGATAAGAACTCACCAACCAACTATCTGCTGCCTTCAGGAGACTCACCTAACACATAAGGACTCACATAAACTTAAAGTAAAGGGGTGGAAAAAGGCATTTCATGCAAACGGACACCAAAAGCCAACAGCGGTAGCTATTCTTATATCAGCCAAAACACATTTTAAAGCAACAGCAGTTAAAAGAGACAAAGAGGGACATTATGTAATGGTGAAAGGCCTTGTCCAACAGGAAAATATCACAATCTTAAACATAGATGTGCCTAACACTGGAGCTCCTGAATTTATAAAACAATTACTAATAGACCTAAGAAATGAGGTACACAGCAACACAATAATAGTGGGGACTTCAATATTCCACTGACAGCACTACACAGGTCATCAAGACAGAAAGTCAACAAACAAAAAATGGATTTAAATTATACCTTGGAACAAATGCACTTAATGGATATATACAGATCATCTTATCCAGCCACCACAGAATACACATTTTATTCAACAGCGCATAGAATTTTCTTCAAGATAGACTATATAATAGGCCATAAAATGAGCTTCAATAAATTTAAGAAAATTGAAATTATATTAAGCACTGTCTCAGACCACAGTGGAATAAAACTGGAAATCAACTCCAAAAGGAACCTTCAGAACCATGCAAACATATGGAAATTAAATAACATGCTCCTGAATGAGCACTGGTTCAAAAGTGAAATCAAGATGGAAATTAAAATATTCTTCGAACTGAATGACAATAATGACACAACCTATCAAAGCCTCTGGGATACAGCAAAGGCAGTGCTAAGAGGAAAGTTCATAGCCCTAAGCACCTACACCAAAAAGACTGAAAGAGCACAAAATGACATTGTAGGGTCACAACTCAAGGAACTAGAGAAACAAGAACAAACCAAACCCAACCCCAGCAGAAGAAAGGAAATTACCAAGATCAGAGCAGAGCTAAATGAAATTGAAACAAAAAAATACAAAAGATAAATGAAACAAAAAGCTGGTTCTTTGAAAAGATAAATAAATTTGATAGACTATTAGCAAGATTAACCAAGAAAAGAAGAGAGAAAATCCAAGTAACCTCACTAAGAAATGAAACAGGAGGTATTACAACTGACACCACTAAAATACAAAAGATCATTCACTGCTACTATGAACATCTTTATGCACATGAACTAGAAAATCTAGAAGAGATGGATAAATTCCTGGAAAAACACAACCCTCCTAGCTTAAATCAGGAAGAATTAGATATCCTGAAGAGACAAATAACAAGATGTGAGATTGAAATGGTAATTTTAAAATTACCAGCCAAAACAAGTACAGAACCAGATGGATTCACAGCAGAATTCTACCAGACATTCAAAGAATTGGTACCAATCCTTTTGACACTATTCCACAAAATAGAGAAAGAAGGTACCCTCCCTAATTCATTTTATGAAGCCAGCATCACCCTAATACCAAAACCAGGAAAGGACATAACCAAAAAAGAAAACTACAGACCGATATCCTTGATGAACATTGATGCTAAAATCCTTAACAAAATACTAGTTGACCAAATCCAACAACATGTCAAAAAGATAATTCGCCATGATCAAGCGGGTTTCATACCAGGGATGCAGGGGTGGTTTAACATACATACATCAATAAATGTGATACACCACATAAACAGAATTAAAAATAAAAATCACATGATCATCTCAATAGATGCAGAAAAAGCATTTGACAAAATCCAGCATCCTTTATGATTAAAACTCTCAGCAAAACCAGCATACACGAGATATATCTCAGTGTAATAAAAGCCATCTATGACAGTCAGCATAATACTGAATGGTGAAAAGTTGAAAGCATTCCCTCTGAGAACTGCAACAAGACAAGGATGCCCACTCTAACCACTCCTTTTCAACATAGTACTGGAAGTCCTAGCCAGGGCAATCAGACAAGAGAATGAAATAAAGGGCATCCAGATTGGTAAAAAGGAAGTCAAACTCTCACTGTTTGCTGATGATATGATCATTTACCTTGAAAATCCTAAGGACTCCTCCAGAAAGCTCCTGGAACTGTTAAAAGTATTCAGCAAAGTTTTCAGATACAAGATTAATGTACACAAATCAGTATCTCCTCTATACACCAACAGCAACTAAGCAGAGAATCAAATCAAGAACTCAACCCCTTTTACAATAGCTGCAAAATAAATAAATAAATAAAATACTTAGGAATATACCTAACCAAGGAGTCAAAAGACCTCTAAAAGGAAAACTACAAAACACTGCTAAAAAATAATCATAGATGACACAAACAAATGGAAACAAATCCCATGCTCATGGATGGCTAGAATCAATATTGTAAAAATGACCATACTGCAAAAAGCAATCTACAAATTCAATGCAGTCCCCATCATAAAAAATGATGGTGATATCAAAAAGCAAAAAGAACAAACCTGGAGGCATCACACTACCTGATTTCAAATTCTACTATAAGGCCATAGTCACCAAAACAGCATGGTACTGGTATAAAAATAGGCATACAGACCAGTGGAACAAAATAGATAACCCAGAATACTTACAATACTTACAGCCAACTGATCTTCAACAAAGCAAACAAACAAAAAGCAAACAAAAACATAAAGTGGGGAAAGGACACCCTTTTCAACCAAATGGTTCTGGGATAATTGGCTAGCCACATATAGGAGAATGAAACTGGACCCTCATCTCTCACTGTATACAGAAATCAACTCAAGATGGATTAACGACTTGAACCTAAGACCTGAAACTATAAAAATTCTAGAAGAAAACATTGGAAAAACCCTCCTGGACATTGGCTTAGGCAAGGATTTCATGTCCAAGAACCCAAAAGCAAATGCAATAAAAACAAAGATAAACATCTGGGACCTAATTAAACTAAAGAGCTTTTGTGTGTCAAAAGGAACAGTCAGTAGAATAAACAAGACAACCCACAGAGTGGGAGAAAATGTTCCCAATCTATACATCTGACAAAGGACTAATATCCAGCACCTACAACAAACTCAAACAAATCAGTAAGAAAAAAAAAACAATCCCATCAAAAAGCATGCTAAGAACATGAATAGACAATTCTCAAAAGAAGATATACAAATGGCCGACAAACATGAAAAAAATGCTCAACATCACACTAAAGATCAGGGAAATGCAAATCAAAACCACAATGCAATACCACCTTACTCCTGCAAGAATGGTCATAAAAAAAAAAAAAAAAAAAAAAAAAAAAAAAAAAAACAGTAGATGTTGGCATGGATGCAGTGAACAGGGAACAATTCTACACTGCTGGTGGGAATGTCAACTAGTACAGCCACTATGGAAAACAGTGTGGAGATTCCTTAAAGAGCTAAAAGTAGAACTACCATTTGATCCAGCAATCCCACTACTGGGTATCTACCCAGAGGAAATGAAGTCATCATTATTTGAAAAAGATACTTGCACACACATGTTTATAGTGGCAAAATTCACAATAGCAAAATCGTGGAACCAACCCAAATGCCCATCAATCAACAAGTGGATAAAGAAACCGTGGTATATATGTAGGAAGGAATACTACACAGTCATAAAAAGGAATAAATTAACAGCATTTGCAGTGACCTGGATGAGATTGGAGACTGTTATTCTAAGTGAAGTAACTCAGTAATAGAAAACCAAACATCGTATGTTCTCACTGATACGTGGGAGCTAAGCTATGAGGATGCAGGGCATAAGAATGATACAATGGACTTTGGGGACTTGGGAGAAAGAGTGGGAGGGGCTGAGGCATAAAAGACTACAAATATGGTGCAGTGTATACTGCTCGGGTCAAGGGTGCATGAAAATCTTACAAATCACCACCAAAGAACTTACTCATGTAACTAAACACCACCTGTACCCCAATAAGTTATGAAAAAAAATTTAAAAATAAAATAAAATGCATGTAATATACCTAAAAAAAGAAGTGATTACATCATAAGGGCTCAGCCTTTATGAATGAATTAATGCTATTATTGTGGGAGTAGTCTAGTTATTTTGGGAATGGGTTTCTGATAAAAGGATGAGTTTAGCCTCTTTTCTGTTTCTTGCAAATACTGTTTTTTCCTTCCACCTTCTGCCATGGAATTGCGTAGCAAGAAGACCTTCACCAGACGCAGCCCCTCAGTCTCACACTTCTCAACCTCCATAACCATGAGCCAAATAAATTTCTGTCCGTTAAAAATTAACCAGTCTATGGTATTGTTATAGCAGCACAAAGTGTGCTAAGACAACATCTATTTCTCTCATCATACCCTACTTTGATTAAAACCTCTTGTCACCTAATTCATTTATTCTCTTCTATTTCCAACATGTTTCCATTGAACGTTTAGTTTCAAAGTTTGCATTTTTATTACTATTTGGTTCCTTTTCAAATTTGCCAGTTCTGTTTCATAGGGCATTTTTCATGTCATAGAGTCTACATTACTTTTTAAAGGTCGTTATTCATTTTAAGTATAATTATTCTATATAATCTTTCAAACTGCCATTCTATTATGTGAAATTTTTGATGTTCAAATCTTTCTGTTAGTTGCATATGCTGATTCTCAGTCATGGTAGACCACTTCCATGTGTATTTTGTCCATTTTTATTGTGAGCTCATATTTAGTAAAATTTTTTTCCCTGTGAAAATTCATTGCAGATCATACTGTGGGAGCAAAGTTCCAAAGCAGATAACATTTTCTTCAATCAGCAGTTCCCAGGGATTTGTTGAGCAGGAACCTATTTTTATGTTAAGTTACTCACTTGGACTTTCTAGACAACAGGGTTATTAATAAATTTGGACCTCAAACTCAGGTAGTACGTAGACTCAGGTTTTCTAGTTTACCGAGAACATTTGCTTTTATCATCCAGAGCACAGGTAGCAGAAAATAAACCTCTTTATGGTTGCCCCGTGATCATAGGTTACTTCTTTTTCTCATTTCACATATTCATTGGGTGTGTGCATTTTGAGTTGATCTTGGTTTTATGCATAGATCTCAATTTCACTTCTCTGCCTTGTGTGAACACAAGGTTACCAAGACAAAAATCTCTCCCATTCCACCCCCTCCAGGGCATTTGCAGCATCAGTCAAACTAGTCCCTGGGTCCTAGTTTTCTCATTCATGTAAAAACATTTTTCTTGAGAAAGAAAACAAGATTGTTTTTGTTTAAATATTAAACATTTCTAGATGACTCTAGTGGAAGATTTTCAGATTATGATTTACCATTTTTCTAAAACCACAAGGCACACTTCTTCTTCCATAATGACCGTGCTTCCCATTAGATAGGTAATCAAATGGCAGCAAAAGTGCCCTTTTGTTTTAACTGGGTCATTTCTACCTTTGTAAACTTCAACACTTGATCGCAATTGTCTCCATCCACCTTTGATTTTATTTTTTAGCAAAGTTCTTTTAGTTGTAAGTATCAAAAACAAACAAGCAAAATTTGAAACAAAGCTACTTAAGCTTGGGTGAAGGTGGGGATTATTCCAAAGACACAGGAATATTTTAAGGACATGGAGGCGGAGCAGTTGAGTCTCAGAACGGACTAGAAAGCTGTCAGGTGCCTCTCTCTGCACATCTGCCTTTTTCTTCTCCACCTTCCTTCAGATTGGTCTCCCCACTTCATGTGCACATGGCCAAACATGGCTACCATACAGCTCACCAGTTTGCTGTTCCTCTGTTCAAGGGACCATCTCAGATTGAAACTAACCTCTTGGTCTCCTTTCCCAACTCCTAGGGAAAGGATTGGATTGGTCCTCCTGGGTCAGGAGTCTAACTGGGTCCTGTGACCTAGGGATGAGGGATCGGGGATACATAATATAAAGAGTTTCTGGACCACACTCCTGTATCAGGCAGTAGTTGAAGAGCAGGGTGACCAAGGATTGGGAAGGCACACCAAAGATAGTTATTACATTCCTAAGCAGAAGTGTCATCCTCCACATCATTTTTCAGAGTGAACCAGAGTTTGACAGAGGGCATCAATGAATAGAGGTAGAGAAGGGTCTTAGCAGATGCCATTAGCCTCAAATTATGATGCAGCATTTCCACATAAGAGAAAGAATAATGATCCAGAAACAAGTGGAGAACTAGGAGGACTTTGAGCCCCAGCCCCTCCCTTATGTAGATGACACTAGGTGAGTGGGAGAATAAAAGAGTATCTCATGGAGAGGACACAGAGGAAGCCCTGACCACCAGGGGGAAGCTGAGTGTTTAATTAGAGCAGGAGGTCTAGGGCACTGGCAACAAAGTTGAGTATACAGGAATTTATTTATTTATTTATTGAGATGGAGTCTCACTCTCTCACCCAGGCTGGAGTGCAGTGGCGTGATCTCGGCTCACTGCAACCTACACTTCCTGGGTTCAAGCAATTCTCCTGTTTCAGCTTCCCAAGTAGCTGGGATTACAGGTGCATGCCACCACACCCAGCTAATTTTTGTATTTTTAGTAGAGACAGGGTTTCACCATATTGGTCAGGCTGGTCTCAAACTCCTGACCTCAGGTGATGGCACCCGTTTCGGCCTCCCAGAGTGCTGGAATTACAGGCATGAGCCACCACGCCCAGACAGGAATTTTTTTTTTTAAACAATTAATTAGGTCTGGATTGGAAATAAGTTAACACCCACAGGGCAGCTGCCAGGTGAGGGCTGGGGTGAAGAGCTGTTTGGGAAGAATTTGCAGGTACACGTGAGCTGAGATGTGGTGAGACAGAGATGGACACAACTGCTGAGGGCTGCCTCCCTGTTGAATCTGGAGCTGGCCAAGGTGCTCAGGGGTTATTGGATTTTATTTCCTTTGAACATATCTTTTATTCTCTACCTCTTTTTTTCTACTCTTTTCTTTCAGTTTATAGCAACCCATCTTTAAGATCCAGTTCATATTCCACTTCTCTTGTGAGGCCTTTCCTGACCACCCTAATCTCCAGCAACCTCACCTGCCTCCTGTGGTCCTCCTCGTCTGCTCCATTCACTCGGTGGTGAACCATGCCCTGCCTCGTGCTGTTCTCCTGAGCTGCTCCTGTTCTCCTCTGTTATTACTGAACAATCAGTGGTTCACCTCATGTTTTACCAAAAGGACTGAAAGATCAAGGAGGTGGAAACACAACTTGTA
Organism: Homo sapiens; assembly: GCF_000001405.40. Lineage (NCBI taxonomy): Eukaryota > Metazoa > Chordata > Mammalia > Primates > Hominidae > Homo > Homo sapiens. The sequence continues at coordinate 116,032,970 of NC_000011.10, forward strand.
CTTTCTTTTATCTGCGGTAGCATCGTAGATAGTGGCCCTCATGTAGCAGGTATTTAATGTGTGTTTATGAGCTTTGGCAAATCACTCTGCGACATTTAGTTTATCTAATTGTCAACAAAAGCTAATAACATCGACTATCCATTCACTTATTCTGTCTTTTGGGAGATGTTTCTTGAGCACCTACTCTGTATAAGGGTGAGTTTGTGGAGTGAAAACTTATTAACGGGATCGCTAGAATCAGCAAATAAGATAAAAAACAGTAAAAAATGCCATGCAAAGCAGGAAGCACTGAGGAAAGAAAGACGTTATTTAAACATTCACATTTAGACATTGGAACATTAACTAAATTATTTCATAAGCTCCCTCCTGAGTTCCCGTAGCACTCTGAGCATACAGTACCTATATTACAGCACTTACCACATTGTATTATAGTTATTTGTGTCTGTTTCCATCTCTGCCCCAGACTGTGAGCTTCAACACGGAATCTCCAGCACTAAGCACAGTGCCTGCCATATAATGGGCCTCAGTAAATATTTTAAATAAATTAATGAGTAAAATAAAATCAGCATCCAATGGTTCTCACACTACAAAAATGTACTCAGACAACAAGCACACTGAGGAAAATTCTGTCCTAGGACTCTTGTGGAGAGGGTAACAAATAGAAAACAAAATATAGATTTTGCCTTGAAGGAGCTTATAAATGGAATGGAAAACAGAGCGCATGCCTTTGAACATGTCTAAAGATGATGTATCCAATTACCTAAAAGCAGTCACATTTTCAAATTCTGACAGATGTTGATGGATGTCAGAAAAACCATAGAGGCAGGAGATGTTCATTGGGGTGCTTCCTGGAGAAACAAGAAATTAATGGGAGGCCTTGGCAAGATAAACAAAATTCACAGAATTCCCTACACTATGGGTGGAGAGGGGGAGTGGGCCACTGACTATTTGCAAAGATATCTGAGAGCTCATAGTGCTTGCAAGAGATGTTCTGTTCCTCTGTTGGAGACACACACCCAACACACAGGCTTGTGCACACACACACACACAGGCATACACTCATATCTGTGGCTAGAGGGGTGGGGTGATGGGCTTGAAGTGCTTCCCCTCTTTGGAGAGAAATCCTCTCTCCTCAAGTGCTTCTCCGTTTGCTTTCACGTCAACCCTTTGAAGGCAGCAGCTTTGCTGATCTCAAGAGCTCTCTCCCGGGGCTGTACTCACTCCGCAAGTGCCCCCATTTCCAGGATGTGACACAGAACTCATTCGATTACGAGTCTTTGTTCCAATCCCTTTGATCATCTTAGGAACAGGTAATTTGAGTAGGTCAGCAGAGGGCAGAGCAAGGGGGACAATTGTTTATCTACCTCAAGGTTGGAGGTGGGAAGCACAGACACCTGCTACTGGGGGTGGTGGTGCTGGTGGGCGGTGAGGAGGCTTTGAGCCTAGCTCATAATCTGCCTTCATCAAACGACATCCAGAAATGTGGCCTCAGTCCTCACCCTACAATAGGAACTCCATGTTCATTGATTCAACAAATGTTTATTATACTACTATGATATGCTAGCTATTATTCTAGGTGCTAAAATTATATTCTAGGAATATGACTTTAAACAAAAGAAAAAAGTTAACTGGTGTCATGAAGATTATATTCAAGTAGGAAAAATAAAGAAAATCTGCAACTTTATTTTATACAAGACAATGTATGGCTACTAAGAGAATAAACAGTGATATAGAGAGAGAGGTCCAGGAAGATCTCCCTGAAGTGGAAATAGTTGAGCCAATACTTAAAGGGCAGTAAGGGACCGGCCATATCAAGAACTAAGGAAAGGGTATTCCAGGGAGAGAGAACTGCAAGCTCAAAGCTGCTGAGGCAGGGACAAGACTGGAAACTCTAAGATGTGTGCACGTGCTGGCACACATAGGCGCGCGCGCATGCGCGCGCGCGCGCGCACACACACACACACACACACACACACACACACACACACTGGCCTAACGCAGGGAGTGAGAGGGCATTAAGGAGGAGAATTAAGACAGAAGATTGCAAGGCCAGATCACACAGGCTTAGTAACTATGGTAATGCACTGGGATCTTATTCCAAGTGTAACGAGAAGCCATTGAACCATTTGAATCAGAGAAATGATGTGATGACCCGCTGACCCCCAGAAAGGCTTGATATCTGGCCTGTCTCATGGGAGGTGGCAGCTATTGTGCAAAATCTTAAGAGTAGTGGAACTTCCCATGTGAGCGCAGACTCCTCCCCTCTCCTGAAACATGGAATTTGCCCATAGAGAAGTTGGCCACCATCCTGAACGAGTGCTTTAACATATATCGAACTGGAAAGTCCAGAAAGTTGAGGCTACCTCTTTTGTGTGGGCTCCTTAAAAACTCAGGCCGATGAGGGGATAGAAGACTGATTAAAACTGTCTCATGGGGGTCACTTAAAATCACTAAGGCCACCTCAAAATTATTCCAGACACGCTGGTTCTTATTCCACATTGAATTTCTTTCTAATATGCATCTTCTTTTGTTGATGTACCCCACTGGTTTCCCCTCTGGGATTTTCCCATTGTCTAGTCCAAACTCCTCACCTTATGACTTATCCCAACTTCTTCCTCACCTAGAAGGCACCTTACAGAACATTTAATCCAATCTGCTTAGTTTATTGATGAGTAAATGGAGATCCAAGGAAGGGAAGTGACTTGATAAAAATCATTCAATCCAGGTCTTTCAGTCCCAATCTTATCTCCTTCCAGTATTCTTAGTTAGCCTGAAGATGGACAAATTAGGTAAATTTAGACTGGTATTGTGGTTCAGAAAAAAAAACCCCAAATAAACAACAGTTAATGCAAAGTTCCCAGCATCGAGAGTCTGGAAAATGAAAAGACGGGAGTCACTGGAAATCTCCTTGAGCTCTAGAATCTGAAAGTCAGAACCTCCAAAATAAGCAGGGGCCAGAGGGGGCACTGATGGGGGTGAAAATCCCATGGATGTTTTTACATCTGCAGGTGGTTTCATGTGAAATATCAGCAGTTGGGGGAGGGGACCGACAGCAAGTGCTTGCTCTTAATTCACAGGAGCCAGGTGGCTCACCCTGGGGCCAGGGAAGATAGGTGCAGGGGCAGGGGAGGGCCAGCTCTCTTTGAGGGGTGAAGGGGATGGGCCCTGGTAATCCAATATCCTCTCGGCGCCACTGAGCGCTCCAGCCCAAATCCATCACTGTAAATGAACCAGGTGACAGGATTAAATATCCCCTAATTGCAGTCCCCCGGGAGGGGCTGTGCCAGCTGTCTCTTCCACATGCCTAGCCCAGCAGATGGGAGATCAGATATCAAAGGGTCACTTCTGACAGGACAGGAGGCAGCCTGGGTCCTGGCCACCTGGGCCAAGTGGAAGGAGGGACTGAGGGCAGATTGGGGTGCTCAAATGTGTCTGAAAAACAGAATTATTTAGTACTGTCTGGCCCCTTGGCTCCTTTGTAGTAAGGTCTGCACGACTCCATGGCTGCAACTTATTTGTCCTCCTCATTGCCAGGACAGGATCTGGGCTCCTGCCTCTTGTCCTCCCGCCATCTGAAACTTGCTGCTAGAGATGGATTTGTGTCACAGAAAATTGGATACAGCCGAGGGTATGCAGGAGGTCACCTGCTCCCGCCCCTGCCTCTAGGCAAGCCTGCGTCTCACTGAACTCTAAGAGGCAAAAATTTCTCATCTTTCCTTCCAGCACTCTCAGGAATGATATTCTACAGTTTTGCTTGGTTGTGTATTCCAGCATTCTAAGCTTAAATATACGGCACTTTCTCCAAATTTACTGAGGATTGAGCAAGAAGAAATGCAACTTACATTTCAGCTCAAGAAATGGACTTCAGTGCTAAGTAAAAGCTCCTGGCCACGGGAGGATGTATGGGGGTTCTCACTTGGCTGGGCTGAGAATGCCCCTGGCAGGGGGCAGTTCAGGGTGACTTCTGATAGGCTCTCTGCCCTTTCTTTCCTCTAAGACCTTTTCATTTGGGAAGCTCTGCCACCATCTCACCTCAACACTACTCTACCAAACTACAACACTACCAAAACTGGCTCCCATCAAAGGGCTCTGTGCAGTTCTGTGGGAATAAGATGTATTTTCATTTCACCGAAATCATGATATTGCAAAATCATCAGGAGCAAGTGTGAGACAAGAATAGCTCCCCATCCAGAAAGTCCGGACCACAAGGCAAGGTAAAAATTTGCTTGCCAAACCTCACTGAGGCTCAGGTAAAAAGTAAAAACAGCCATCAAAAAGGCCACTCAGGGCCCACCACGAGAAGACTGCAAAAGGCTCCAGTGACCTTTGAAGCAACACGATTATTGAAAATGATAAGACTTCACTGGGGCGGGTTAGCAGGGGACAGGGGAAGGTCCTCAGTTCAGTTTTCTTTGGTGAAGCTAGAGAGCTCCAGGTCATCAGGCCCTAGACCGAGGAGAGAGTCTGATGCCGGTCCAGCTCTAACTGATTGCTTTTCTTTTGCATTTGTTCATTCACTAATTTAACAAATACAGTATTTTCAAGGTTCTCCTATAGAAATATGCTAAGGGGTACAAAGGTGATAAAAACTGATACTGTCTTCACCCTAGGGATCATGTGCCTGTTCAATTTGCAAAGTCAGTCACTGCATTGCTCTGAAGTTCAACTTTATCATCCATCAAACGGAAGTTGTGACATCTACCCCAGGTTCTTCATAGTGTTGTTGAGAGGTGGTTCACACGTGATGACTGAGGGAAAAGTGCTCTGGAAAAGCTCTTTTGCAGGCGAATAGAAGTGTGCAGTATTTGGAGTATTGCTTTAGCTCTGAGAACAATGTGGCTAAGTCACCAGGGAGCTGACTTAGACCTCCTTCCCTTTCTTCCTTTGATTTTCCCCTCCTCTTTCTCAAGCGCTAAACAGAGACTTAGTCCAAAGAGAACCAACCCATGCTTGATGATAAAAGGAACAATGGGATTTCTGGGTCATCCTCTGGGCCCACAGACAGGAGGGCTGCAGTCCAGGATGCCAGACAAACCAGGTTATTTTGGAGCAAGCCAGCAGCAGAACTGTAGGCTGAGAACAAAGGATTTGGCCCATGTCCATATCCCTGCAGGGGTCACGTACCAGCTGAACACATCAGCCTTTAGTTATGTTCCCATTTTAGGAAAACCAGAAATAGGGAATCTCAACATAATTTCCCACTCTGAAAACCACAGTTGGTGGGAGAAACATGGTTCCTGGTCATGGCTGATAGATAGGGTGTTTCCATATAAACCAGTGGCCCAAATGTTGGAATTACCTGGGAAATCTGTCAACATATAGGCATTCAACTTCCACCATGAGAAATTCTGATTTTGAAGGGTTGGGGTTGAGCCTGGGAAGTGATTCTGATGCACAGAGAGCTTGAGAACCTCATCTATAGACGATCGGCATGGGCCACTATCTTGTCTGCTTTTGTTATACGTTTTGGAAAAAGTACAAGGCCTGGCACAGAGTAGGCACTCAATACATGTTTCTCGACTGAATATATTAACATATACCCAAATACACTCAAAGAAAAAGCAATACATGGCACAAGTCAAAAATTTTCTAAGGCTTAGAGGTCCTCTAAAATTCACTTGGATCTGACTGTCTTTCTGACTTCCAATTCTCAGGGTACAAAATTGAGGAACCTAGATTTGAGTTTCTTGTGTTTTGCTTCCATTGGAACAAAACAGAACCAATATAAAAATGGTTTTTCTTGTTTCTTTTCTCATCACATATTATAATTATTATTATTGCCTTATCAGTAATAACAGTAATAATAAATTATTTTACTTTCATTGTCTCATTTCCTCATTGTGGATCTTATGAAAGAGATAAAGAATTATTATCCCCACTTTACAAATGAAAAACAAAATGTGTAGAAAGGTCATGTATCATATCTACCCTGCGATTCACACGATTGGAAAATAGCAGGATGAGACTCAAACCTCCTCACTCACAATCTGATGTTCTTAGCACTAGACAAAGCTTGCAAAAGAACCGCTACAAATCTGCTTCCAGTGAGCTCCCACCTATGTCATTCCAATGTGCAAAATAGGACTGAAATCATCCACAAATCACTGGGGTGTGTTCCTTTTCCAAAGAATCCCTTTTTACAAAAGTTCTTCATCTTATGTGGGATCATTAAGAGGTTGAGTAAGACAGATAATGTAAAGAATCACTCACTGCTAATTGAAATGCAGGGAAATCATTTCTGAAATTATAATGTAAGTTAATAGAAAAGAAAGGAATTTGTTCTGCAAAAATCTGGCCTATGTGTGACTTTAGGAGTGTACCTATTGCAGAAAAGTCAGGTAAATGTGTGCACTCATATACCAGGCTTCTATAAGAAATCCAGTCCTGAATTGAAAATAAATTGATAAATAAGCTGCTTTTCCCTTCTGTTCTCCTGGAGCCAGGTCCTCATGCTATTAGAACATTCCAGCATCGCAGCAACTGTCCTCAGTCAGACCACAGGCTCATGTATTTTCAACCAGGCAACTTGGACTGAAAGAAGCTTTCAATGGAGCCCAACAAAATCATCACAGCCTTAGACTGGATCTAGATGATGCCCAAGAATAAAAAGTAAAGGCAATGTTCTGAATATTTTAAACTTTTACACTTTTAAAATGTCGTTCACTTCAAATACAAAGATAATGACTGAATATTTAGCCCAACCTTTTACCCTACATATTTTAAGCAATGCCTAATTTATGACTTTTCTTAACTCCTGTCTGATCAATTCATCCTGAAGTCAATTTGATTAAATAGCCAAATAAAAGATACTTTATTTTAATGTCTCGTTATTCCAAGGAATGAGACAACTGACAAAATAGACTGATAATCTTCACAATGGGACTCTGAGTCTGTAGAAAGATGGGGTAGGAACTAGGAAGTCACCAGCTTCCCGATATGGAGCTGCTTGCTATGAGTCAAGACCGAAGCAGACATGAGCAGAGCACAGGTGTCCTTATTCTCTGTAGGTGTCTCTAAGGCTCAGACAGAGGGACAATTCTTGTCCCTGAAGAATCTTGATTGCCTTATGAAGCAGCTTGGCTTCCCTCCAGCCCTCTCTCCCCCCCTCCCTTCTCCTACCCTTAGCCTCCAGGTCCCTGTCAGTTCTAACAGGGAGTGGGGATTGGTCAGGCCATTCATTGGTTCTGAAGTTTCTTCTACTTAAACCAATTTGTTAGGTACTTCGTGATTTACAGCCACAGTGGAAAATGGGGCTGGGTATTGATTCTTGGCCTTTTCTATTGCAAATGGGTGTAATGTTTTATAGTATGTCAGAATAATAGCAGTGGGCACTCTATCAATGTCAAATGTTAAAAATGATCAGCTATTGTGATGTAGGAGATTAAATATGAAAGCTTGATGGGTATATAAAAGTGAAATGGCAATAATAAAGGGATTTTTATGTTCTGCTCATTGCTCTCTGGAATCCACCTGGGGAACTATTAGAGCCAATTGTGCTGATCAGTGACATATCACCATGGGTTAAAGGACAGGACAGGTGTGTCCCTCCGCAGGTGCTGTTTGGCCTGGCAAAATGGAATGAGAGAACTAGGGTAGAGAGGTTGAAGTTCATATGGCCGTACCTTTGGGAGCTTGAGTCTAATTCCCCAGGTGACTAGAAAGAAAAGGTACAAGGCAACCGAGAGCCAATCAGAAGTGCCAGAGGTCACTATGACCCTTCTCTGCTGCAATGACGGCTCCATCTCTAAAGCTAGTGGAGAGAATCCATCCCCTCCTGTAAGGTACCCTGAGATGACAATCCTATTCTATACAACAAGACCAGACCTCATTGGCCATCTTACATAGTCAACTTTCTCAGGGAATTGAGGCCCAGAGAAGTAGAGATATGTCCAAGGCCAGCAGATGAGTAGCAGAGGTGGACCAAACCAAGGCCAAGGCAGGGCAACCCCATCTGCCCTCAGCTGCAATAGGTGTCTGAAGCTGTCATGATCCTCTAGATCAGTGCTGGCCAATATAAAAATACAGAGATCCACACATGTTTTTTAAATGTTCTTACAGCCACATTTAAAAAGTAAAATCAAGCAGGTTAGGTTAACTTTAACAATATATTTTATTTAACCTAACATGGATGAAATTATATTCTTTCAATATGTAATCAATATAAAATTATTGAGATGCTTTATATTCTTTGTTTCATACAGTCTGTGGGTGTATTTTGCACTTAACAGCACAGCTCAATTAGGACGAGCCACATTTCAAGTGCTCAATAGCCCCATGTAGCTACTAGCTATGTATTGTAAGTGTGCCTCAACTGATACGTGCAGGGCAGGGAAAGGTATACATATGCCCTAGGGAAGCATTGTGTAGTTTGAAAAAGCAAAGAAATCCTAAAATATACTTAGAACACACACAAAAAATCTAGTTTATAAACACAAATTACAGACAGCAAACTTTGACAAAATCTTAATGAAGAGACTCTGAAGAAGAACTGTCAATCACATATGAGGGCTTCTCAGTGAGGTATGAAAGTTGTATTAGAATTTCTAGGGCTTTTAAAGGGTCTGGGATTTTTTAATGTTTACCAAAACATAAAAAAGCATGGATTTACAAAGACTAAGGAACATACTAGCCCTTTGGGGAAGAGCAGCTTCTCAGATGATGTTTTTGTCATCCTAAGTTATCAAACTCATTTCCTGAGAGAAGAAGAAAGTACAAGGACTGCATAGTCTTATGTGAAGGTGAAATTAAGTCTTAGATTTTATGTAGGACACCCAGTTAACTCTTGGAGGCATCCACATGCTGGAGTCATGGGTGGCCCTATCTCAAACACACAGGCAATGGGCAATCTTGTCGAATATTTTTGGATGGGTCCATCTATGTCCTGAAGCTTTCACTGGGTACACCAAGCATGGGGGAAAGAGAAGTCATGGTTCCCTGCTAAAATCTGGAGTTCTGGCCTGTCTGGCCCTGAACACCATGGCCAATGAGTAGGGAGGCAGGAGCTGGGGAAGAGCAGATACCAGGGTGCAGTTCAGCGCTCTCAGTGTTGCCGTTTCCAGGAGCAAGCAGACCATATAATGCACACAAAGCCAGCCTGAGAACTAACACCAGGTCCCTTTCAGCCAGAGACAGGTTGTCACTCTGACAGCTCTCAAGCCAATCAGCAGGGTAAATTAAGGTGTCCTTCTTTTTTTTTTTTTTTTTTTTCTTGAGGGGCAGGGGGTAGTTAAAATGCTGATCTCCAAGTGACAGGTTTCTGAGCTGGGAGTGAACTGTCACCACTGCCATCCTCACTCTGGAGCCTCTCAGGCGGAGCATGTCAGGGAAACCAGCAGGCTCCTTATAGACCTGCTTGCTCCCTAAGGGCATCCAGGCACAAGTCACGCTGTCTGATCTGCCTTCTGGGACCAAGTGGGTGAGAGTGCCAGTCTGCACCAGTTCCCATCGCACTGGGAGCCAGGGATCAACTTTCCACTTTTGAAAGAGAAACTCCTCCTTCTTGCCTTAATTGCAGCATTAATAATTAAGTGGGTGCTTTAATTGCATGGATCTCATTACGGAGTAACATTGGAAACATATGCACACAAAGGCACACACCTCCATGCACATACATGTATTCCGAAAGCCAGGCATCAAATCATTTCAAAGAATTATCGTAAGCAAAAATTCAAAATACAAAACAACAGGGATGTATGTATGCTTAATTACACGAGGACTTTATTAGCTGGCACTAATTAAAGCATGTTATGAAGTCTGACAAATATCTAAAATTACTCACTTTGGTAAATAGTTTTGACACGAGTAATTTATTTAAAACTAGAGCTCGGTAGAAAAGTTCAAGCAATTTTATTTTTGCCTGGGTAGCACATTATGTGATGTCTAGGGGGATAATTAACGATTAGTGGCTTAATGACAGAGGCACATTCATTATCCTGTTTCCTAACTCCTGCCAAGCCTTTAATGCTGAGTACTCAAGGCCCACTCTACCCTCAGCTCTATGAGAGCTGATCTTCTCCCGATAGATGAACCCATTTCACAGATGAGATTTTCTAAGGCCGAATGCCTGTTCTTTGGTCCAACCAAGATCACAGAGCACAGTCCTGGTCTTGCCCTTCCATGGCAACAGGAGTATTGAAAGGGACATTCCCCACTACCAACAGATTAAAGGAACATTCTAATCACTATGTTCTTCATGAACGCTTCTGCTATGGGTTGAATGTTTGTGCACTCCCCTCACACCAAATTTATAATCCTAACTCCCAAGCGCCCTTGCGGGGAGATTAGGTCATGAGGGTGGAGCCCCCATGGAAGATTAATGCCATTAGGCTGGGAAGATTGAGCCGTCAGGCTCAAGCCTGTAATCCCAGCACTTTGAGAGGCTGAGGAGGGCGGATCACTTGAGGCCAGGAGTTCAAGATCAGCCTGGCCAACAGGGCGAAACCCCATCTCTACTAAAAATACAAAAAAATTACCCAGACATGGTGGCACACACCTGTAATTCCAGCTACTCGGGAGGCTGAGGTAGGAGAATCACTTGAACCCGAAAGGTGGAGGTTGCAGTGTGAGCCGAGACCACGCCACTACACTCCCACCTGGGAAACAGCAAGACTCCATCTCAAATTAAAAAAAAAAAGAAAGAAAGAAAGAAAGAAAGAAAGAAAGAAAGAAAGAAAGAAAGAAAGAGAATCAGAAATCTGCCTTACCCCACCTGCCATGTGATGAGTTCACAGCAAGAAAGTCCTGTATAAACCAAGAAGCAGTGCCCTTACCAGATGCCAAAACTTCCAGCGCCTTGATCTTGGTCTTCCCAACCTCCAGAACCATGAAAAATACATTCCTGTTGTTGATAAGCCACCCAGTTTATGGTATTTTGTTAAGCAGCCTGAATGGACTAAGACACCCTCCTTATGTGGGGGTCCCAGACCAGAGGGCAGGCTCTATTATGAGTTAACTCTTTGGGCCTGTCTCTCAAGAGCTCAGGGCTGACCCAAGAAACAGCAACTTCATTAAAAAACTAGGAAGACCTTGCTGACCCTCTCACCAGCCCTTGCCTGTTAGCTTCCTCTTCTGCTGTAGTTCCTTTTCCTCCCCGCACTAGGGCAAAGAACAGAGCTATGTAGTTATCCACACGCACTGAGCTGTGCACACATGCAATCCAGGCCTCAGAGTTTCATCCCAAATGATCCAAATTAGCTTTGCACCCAAGAATGCAGCCTTCCCATACCCCTCTGCCTTAATCTGTTAGAGCTGCTGTAACAAAAATTTCATAAGCTTAGTGACTTATGAACAGCACAATTTACTTCTTACTGTACTAGAGGTTAGGAAGTCCAAGATCCGTGTCTGGTGAGGCATCTCTCTCTGCCTGATAGATTACAACCTCTTGCTGCATCCTCGTACAGTAGAAGGGGCTAGCCAGCCTTCTGGCATCTCTTTTATGAGGGTGTGAATTCTCTTCATGAGAATGGAGTCTTTATGATCTAGTCACATCCCAGTGGCCCCACCTCTTAATTCCATCACACTGGGGATTAGACTTCAACATATGGATTTTGCAGGGGACACAAATATTTAGGTCATATCACCTTCCTTAGCTTGGTTTTTATGCCTAACCAGAGTGCTTTATGTCCTACTCTGAGCAGCATGAATTTGAGGGGGCAGGGGAATGGACTAATTGACCTCCCGGGACTCTGTTCCAGTCTGTAAATCTGAGACAAGGAAAGGTCATGTCATAGTAAACACTGAGGCATGCCCCCCACTGTTCTTAACCTAGGTATACTTCCTGGAGGCAGGAAGAGGGACTCGGAAGGTTGCAATAAGATAACATCCTCTAATTCGTCACATAGCCCCGCAGAGGATTCCCCCTCCTTCTCCTTCTTGGTTTTTTTTTTTCTTTTCTTTTCTTTTCTTAAACTAAAGTTTGAAGCTAAATCCACTGTGGGCTGAAGGAGGCACTTTAAACTTCACTTGCTTCGAAGTTTAAATGGGAAGACTTGACAGGTATGCTAATGCTCCTCTATTAAGTCTGCAGAAAATGACATTAAAGGTATTGGTTAAAGACACGGCTCAGTGTTTGAGCAACTTAATGAAGTGTTACACACAAGCTGACCTTGTAGAGGGAGAAGCTCGCGGCTCTCTCAGCGTTTCAGGAGGCCCTGGCCACTCTGTTTGACATCTGAGCTTAACACCATCCCCAGACTCATTACTGTCTGCGAGGTTCCGGGAACTGCCAAGGGGGACACCAGCATTTGCTTGTAAAGTCCAGTGACAGAAAGGAGAGGTAAAAATAGTGGCTCCTGATCTTCGGCTTCGCGAGGCCAGAGGTGCTGGTTTGAATGACATGTTCAGTTTTCATAAACACGGCAGTGGTCCCCTGAGGGAGGCAGAGCAGGAGGAAAGGAGAGGCTCTTTGAGTGGGCAGTGTGGACAAGGGCAGCTGAGTGAAAAGGCCAGAACTTCCAGCTGATGTCTGATCGCCAAGTGGGCTGCTGGAGCTTGGAAGGGGGTCTCTGCCAGTAGAGCGGGCAACACCCCAGATCCTTCAGGATGAGGCCACCGGAAGTGTTCACTGGTGCTACAGAGATGTGAACCCCTAGAAAAGGGTCAGACAAATGGGGTTCCCAAGACCCCTCCAGCAACCCTACTCACTCACCAATCCATTTATTCACTCATCCAATGTTATTAAGCTATACATCACTCCTCTCCAACTATGCCCTATTTACTATACAAATGGTGAATATTCACTATACTGGTCTTCTGCAAGTGTCTGGAACATCCAAAGCTCCTCCCTACCACAGGGCCTTTGCACATACTCTTCCCTCTCCCTGCAGCGCTTTTCTTAGTTTTTCACAAAGATGACCACTTTAAGCCTGCCTATGTCAGCTTACATATACTCTTATCAGAGAGGCAGCTGAACAGCTCATGGAGCAGTATAAGGTCCACAGGTTTCGCTGAGTATTGTAATACCCTAATAATGATTTTATTTACAGTCCTTTGTATTAGCTTTTGAATGGCTTCTTCTACCTTCTAAAGTTCTTTCCCATGTTATCCTGTTTGAGCTTTCTAGCAACCTCATAAGGTGGACAGAGAATTTGCTGGCTATTCTTGTGTAGAGACAAGTGACCCATGGCTGGCAGAAGCTGTGAGTGTCCAGAAGACTCAAGTCATTCAACTCCCTGACCAGGACTATTTCTGCGACAGCAAATGGTCCATGTTTTTCTCTTAGTTGGGGAGGTGGATGTACATTGAAGAGCCAGGCTAGGAATGCAGATCCCCGAGCAGCTCGCCTTGGGGAGACGTGGTGGGTGAATGAGAAGCAGCATCAACAACAGCCACCTGCGTCTGTGTCTTCTGCATGTCACTGGCAGGACACAGAAACAGAAACAGCCAGGGCAGCCCCTGCCCACAGAAAGTGCTTACTCTCAGGCTAGGCCGAGGACAATGCACAGAGTGTCCTTGATGAGTCCCTTCTCTTCTCTACTATCTCCTTTTCCCTTCTCCTTGCCTCCCTTAGCCTGCACTGACAGCTGCTGCATCCCACCCCCTGCTTTAGTAAAGTTGGCTCCTTCAAGCGGACTTATTTGAAGGAAGAGCTGCAAGTCTGGGCTTTATAAGGAACCAACTTGTTGATCAACGAGCATCTGTAGAGTGCCTCCTCTGTGTCCTCCCCTCTGTTCAGGCTCAAAAAGTAATGATTGACATTATTGAACGCTGGCTACCGCATGGTCTGTCCTCAGCCACTAAAGCATGTCATTTCCCTTCACCCTCGTAGGAATCATGTGAGAGCTGCAGCCATGCCCCCATCTTTTAGGCGAGGAAACTGTGGATTAGAGAGGTAAATCCTTTGTTTAAGATCATAAACCAGGCTGGGCATGGTGGCTCATGCCTGTAGTCCCAGCACTTTGGGAGGCTGAGATGGGCAGATCACCTGAGGTCAGGAGTTTGAGACCAGCCTGGCCAACATGGTGAAACCCCATCTCTACTAAAAATACAAAAATTAGCTGGGCATGGTGGCAGGCGCTTATAGTCCCAGCTACTCAGGAGGCTGAGGCAGGAGAGTTGCTGGAACCTGGGAGGCGGAGTTTGCAGTGAGCTGAGATTGAGCCACTGCACTCCAGCCTGGATGACAAAGTGAGACTCCATCTCAAAAAAAGAAAAAAAAATCACAAACCAGTGGCCTGGATGTGAATGTTGGTCTGTCTGATTCAGAATCCCTGGGAATCAGAGAGCTCCACACACACCCAGGCCCCACGCTGCACACAGCAATCTGGGCTGACTCCATGGGTTTGGAGTTTGAGATACCAGATCTCAGAGGGATGCTAATTGCAATGGCCTTATGATGCGGTTCCCATTGCCATCATCATGAGTAGTTTTGTTCTAGGCTCTCTTGTAGGCATGTGACAATATCATTTCATTGAATTGTCAATAATAACTCTGCAAGGTGAATAAGTGACAAATTTGGAACACTGATCTTTCCTATGCTGTTCTGACTCCATGTCCAACGTTACAAAGTAAAAAGGAGTAAAGAGTGTTGGGCCTAGCAGACTCACATTCGAATCAAGCAGGGTTGGTTTGTTGTGCGTTTCGAGGCAGGGGTTGGGTGGGAGTGTACAACATAAACGTGACCAAAAAATAATAATAATTTTTAAGGCTAATGAATGGCCTTATAGTTGGACTATTAAACATGATAAAAATGTTTACTAAATTGTTCAACTGGACCACGTGTAGCAAGTGAGGCTTTCAAGGGACGTAGTACAGCGTTGAAAAACACCGCTCCAGCACCAAACACCTGGGTTCAAATCCCAGCCCCGTTACCTATAAGCTGAATGACTTTGGGCACATTCTTTAACCCCTGCACTTCAGAAGCCTCATTTCTAAGGTGAGGGCAACTATAGCATCGCCTCACAGGGTTGCTGTGAGAATTCGAGGGAACACACAGAATGTGCTTGAAGCAATGGCTGCCCTCTGGTAGCTCTTAATGTGTTGGCTATAGTGTTAGTAATTTCCTGAGTCTTTTTATCGATCACCTATTCTGCACCAAACACTGTGGGAAATACAGAAATGAACCTGCCTAGCCTTGGCCTGGAGTGTGCACTCAAATAACTAACACAGCCCAGAATGGGATAAGGTGCCAGTTCTGAAATACAAGTAAAGCTTTTAGAGAAGGAGGTCAGTCCTGGCCAGAAGGGGTATATGATGAAGAAAATTTGAGAAATTGGCAGGAATCTAACAGGACATAGGGGACAAGAAGGCAGTGGGCAGGCATAGTGGTCTCACCACACTGGCCAGGCATCAGCTAATTGGGTGTCTACTTCAGCCTAGGTGACACCTGCCAAGAAGAAAAAGAACTCGGTTCAACTACCATTGCTGTTTCAACAGAGTGTAACTCTCTATTCTATTCCCAGTGAATGTCTTTCTGGCATTTTCATGACCACAAGTCCATCCCTGCTTCCTTTCATTTGGGGCCACCATGCAGACCCAGCTTACCCCATTGCATACAGGACTTTCTGCAAAGGGAAGTGCTCAACCAAGTCTGAGTTGCAGCAGCTTAACACCGAATGGCATCCACTCTTGACTTTGAGTCCACACTTCAGGCATGATTAGAAATGGGACCAAAAGGGAAAAGTTTCTCCAAAGACAGCACGATCTGGAAGATTGAGACCCAGCCCTCAATCTCATGTTGCTCCCATAGACTAGGAGCTCCTCTTCGTTTCCTTAATCTTCCCTTTCCTCTCAAACTCTTCTTAGGCTGGATGCGGTGGCTCACGCCTGTAATCCCAGCACTTTCGGAGGCTGAGGCAGGCAGATCACCTGAGGCCAGGAGTTCAAGACCATCCTGGCCAACATGGTGAAACCCCATCTCTACTAAAAAGACAAAAATTAGCCTGGCGTGCTGGTGGGCACCTGTAATCCCAGCTACTCAGGAGGCTGAGGCATGAGAATCACTTGAACCCGGGAGGCGGAGGTTGCAGTGAGCCGATATCGTGCCACTACACTCCAGCCTGGGCAACAGAGTGAGACACCATCTCAAAAAACAAACAAACAAACAAAAAACTTATTCTCTTCTTGTTTTCTGCCTCCCCTCTTCTTTATTTTAAAAAATAAGTCCTCATGGTACACCTGCTTCTTCCTTTCTAGTTTGTATCATTTCCTCCCTCCATGCATCCCTCTCTTCCTTCTTTCTGGTTGGGTGTCATTGCAGGAATTTGACAAAGAACCCTTTGTGCACCCTACAAACATACACTTACACATGTCCCATCTCCAGCACACTCTCGTGAGCTTCCCTGTTTCCTGGAAGGTGGATAGACTGTTTTGCTGGGAGTAGAGAAGAGAGAGAAAGAGGGACAGAAATAATCCTGTGGCCTGGAGACAGGCTCCTCTCCTAAGGAGAAGAATAAAGCCAGGAAGGAATTCACCCACAAACCTTTTGAAGACATATGGAGGAGAGTGGAGAGATTTTTTTTTCCCCTTCTCCTTCAGGAAAAAAGCTTTTAAAATAAATAGCTGACAGCGTTTCTTATTTGAGTAATTCTTTGCTGGTTATAAATGTGCCACTCTAGAGTACTTTATTTAGAAGTTAAAAAAAAAATGCATTCTCCAAGAAAGAGCTCAGCATTACCCAGGGGAGTAAGGTTCACTCTCCTGTGGCCCTCCTGAAGCCCTGCCTCAGACATTCATATATTCTCCCATAATCTGATCTAGGTTATAAAAATTAAAAAAAAAGAGGAGAGAGGAGAGACAGCTGGTTTTCCCACACATATGACATTTTCCTTTATGCCTGGCTTAACTTTTTTATGACAGGCTGGGTTCACTCCATTGGAGAATTTCTCCCTTCAAATGAACTTTGTGTTTTATGTTTGAAAATTTTTCTTTAGACAAACCTGGTAATTTTTCAAGTTAAAATGTGTACACTTTAAGCACTTAGGAAGTTTAAGGATCCATCTGATCGGCACATAAATCTGAGGTTATTCATGCTAAGCTCCCCATGTCTAACTGCACTCTTAAAAAATAATAAAAAGCAAGTGACATATTTTAACTTCTTTTTAAGTGAAAACCCCCAGACTGTCAGTTTCCTCAGTAATTGATTAGTATCTCGGTACACTCCCCTCTCTGTCCCTGGTGACATTCAGTGTGCAACTGCACTTGCTGTGCTTGAGGTAGCTTGTCATGGAGTGGGAAAGAAACACAGGGCTGGTGTACTGTCTGTCCTTTCTTTTCTAAATGGAGAGATAGATTTTCCCCTGGCTGCTGCCGCCTGCTAGGCCCTTAGGCAGGGGCTCCTCATGGGCCGCTCTCTGGCTTATTGACTTTTGAGCTCATGCAGTGTCTTAGAAAGAAGTAGACTTTGGAAAGCAGGATCAGACTTTAAGCTTGACCTGCCTTTCCTGGCTGAGTCACCTTAGCATGTTTGCTTGACCTCTCTGTGCCTGTTTCATCTCTAAACAGGGGTTAGCAAAAACATCTACACTACAGTAGATACTCAGTGAGATAATGTATGTGAAGGTGCTTAGTAAAGAGTACATCCTGTGCGATTTCATTTGTTGGTTAAACATGGTGGGAAGCCAGATTGCTCAACAGTCTGTGCCTCTCCCACCTTAAATGTGGAACAGCCAGGGTAGAATAGAAAATTGTAACCCTCATGCCTACCTCATCACATCCTGAATCCTAGAAAGACCCTGGGGTTATGGTAGATATACGAGGATAAAAAGCACTTTCTCCACATTCTAGGCCCCTCTTTAACTCATCTGCTCTGAAGTGCAGGAGTATGTAGGACCCACCACAGCTGCATTCCCTGTTCAGACAGTGCCTTTCGAGTTGGACACACTGAGGCTGCATAATGAGTCCCTTGCATCAGTGTGGTGCTGATTCTTCCATCTCTAGTTGTGCGCAGACCTGGTTCCTGGACCGGCAGCATTGGCATCCCCTGGGAGCTTAATATAGATTCAGATTCTCAGCCCCATATTAACAAGACCCCAGGAATTCACATGCACATCAGAGTTTGAGGTGCACAGCCCCAGACCAAGTGACAGAGCAGGACACAGGCTGTAGCAGAGGAGGAACCTGCCATACACCATATCCCACTGCTGGAGGATGGGGCCTCTAACCCTGCGAAGCGCTGTCAGACAAATACCAGCTATGGTAGTGGTAGTTTGGTCCTGTGGGGACTCTTTAGCCTCTCTTCCCTTTTTCTCTAATACATGTTACCAAAAACCACTTGATTTGAGTAAAATCAGATATTCAAGTCCTGAGACTAAAGAGGGAAAATTTAGCTGAGCTCTGAACTGAGAGTCTGAGAGTATCACTAAGATTCCTTCCATCTGCACTGCACTTAGAGTTGCGCTCATATCACATCCATTGATCCTGAAAGTACCTGGATGGGAGAAGAACAGGTAGGCATACAGAGAAGTAAAAGAATCTGCTCAGCGCCACTCATGAGTAGATAACAAGGTGGGGGCTGGAACTCTGGTCTGGTCTATGTAGCGATTTACAAATCTGTCCTGCTTAGATAAAACCCAGATGGAATTTGAAGTGCTTCTTCAATGGAGGAAGCTGTGGATTCTAGAGATATTGGAGAGAGGTTTGTAGTCCAATCGATAGTAAATCAATTAATTTAGGCTTCCAAATAGCCCCACTCACTCAACCAGGGCTACAGACTCCACTCCTGGTGAGGAGTCAAAACGGCTGATGCCACACACCAATCAGCCCACAGCATTGATTGGGCACCCACTGTGGGCACCACACCACACCAGGCACTGCGGGGCAGGAGGCAAGGGGCACAGCAAATGAATGTGATGTGGGAATTATGATGGAGGACGCTGTCCATAAAGCCGCTCGATGTTCCGTAGACAAAGTTACATCTGGTAAATATCTACTCAAGTTTTGTGCCAGCAAAACTGAATTGTCCTAATAAGTGAGTTTGTATTCTTTCTTTTGTTAGAAGATAAACCCTGTGTAACTCAGTGAATCTCTCTCTTTTGCCTCAGCTGCTGGAAAACTCTCAGTAAAGCAGTCCAGGTGGTGTAATCTATCCATTTCAGAGGTCTGAGAACACATACTGCTTCTGCATCCCTCCAACAGCCTCTGTTCCTTTTTGCGTCGTGTTTTCGTGTGAAAACCACTCTGAATCCTTTTCAGGTAATAGGCAGGGCACAAAATCCTCAAACACAACTTTGAGGCATTCATTTAGTTTCGTGTGGTGGAAGAAAGGCACACGATAACTTCATAAGGTATTTGGCCATGGGAGCAAGATGCCTGGGCTTAGAGTTGGGGGACTGGGACCTCAGGTATTCCACTGGCTGGATGGGTGGCATCAGACACATTATCTTGCCTCCCTGGGCCTCAGTTTCCTCATCCACAAAATGAGGCGGCTAGGCCAGCTCTGAAATTCTAGCAAGTGAAAAGGGTATAAAGCAAAACAACAGCAGGCACACATTAGTAGAAATACAAAGAAAATGAACAACATGAGAGTAATTGGATGTTGGGTTCAAGGAGAAAGCTCTTTTGAAGCTTTTTCAATCTATTCTTAGTGTGTGCATCTTCCTGGGTGATAAGGGGACAAGGGGAAGAGGCTATTCAAGTTGTAGCAGACAAAAGGAAAAATAGCCACAAATTCTTTTTCTCTAGCTTCTGATGCAGTGGTGGAGTTCAGAAGTCAATTTCTCCACTCCTTGACTTGAGTTGGCCATCATTAACGCAAAAGACAGAGCAGGGGCTTGAAAAGCTCGTGTGCTTTTGGTGTTGCCCTCTTGCTGGTTTTGGAACTTGGCCACCCGGCTAGCTTGCTACATTATGAGAGTCACATGACCCAGCCACCCCATTAGCTTCAGCCTGCACCAGACGTGTGAGTAGAGCCACCTGGGCAGGCCAGTCAGCCCCACAGACAACCCTCCTGTACGTCAGTGAGCCCAGAGATCAGCCTAGCCCAGCCCAGATGGAATTACCCAGAAGAATCATGATCTAAATAACTGGGGGTTGTTTTAAGCCAGTAAGTTTTGGGGTAGCTTACTACACAGCCAACACTGACTGATAACCCTGGTTGGGAAGGCAATGTGTTTAGAGACATGAAAATTAGAACCAGCAAATTGCAGCTGGAGATCCTGTGGGGTAAGAACGCAGTTGGGGCCTTTTTATCTCCATTTGCAAAACAAGGTGGCTTCATACCCTCCCAACACTTATCCCGGTCCCTGCTCTCCTTTTCCCTTTTTATCCATCATGCTTCCAGCAGGGGCAGGAAGCAGACGTTCCGTTCTTGGCATTACGCACCTGCTAAAGGGAGAGAGAGTGTTTGCTGTGGTAGACCAGACAGGGGAATGGAAGGCCTGATAATTAGCCCATCCTCTGACAAACCCTGGGTTCCAACAAAAGGAGCTGGACAAATCAGCCGAGCAAAATTATCAGCGCTAATCTCCCAGCCCCTCCTTAATGCCGGCCCTTTTGTGGCCAGCACCTGGCAGGGACTGTTAAGCCATCACGTTCTCCCCACTGCCCTGCACCCCCAACCCATCCCCACTCTCTTTTTCTCTCTTTCTCAAGTTGTTACCACACAAGCATCACGTAAGGAATCAAATAGGGACAGGTCCTATTGTTCAGCAAAGAGGCAAGAAAAAAATAATCAAAAAGGCAGGGGACTTAAAAAAAGACCAGAATTATTTCTCAAATAGAATGGGAAAATCTAACATGCCTTATCACTATAGAGAACAAGCACTGTGCAAACACCCAGGCCTCTGACTGGCGTGCCGGTTGCTTTGAATAGACGCATGACATTGTCAAGGAACCTGCCATTGTGTTGCTGAAAGGCACTTGCAACATTGCATAAAAATCAGGCGTTCGTGTCACCCTCAGACTAGTCAAAGCTGCTGTTTTTTCTTTCTCTTTTTGAAAGAAGAAAGAAGGAAAATAAGAAATGTCCCCAGAATAAGACCTTCAAAGCCAGATAAACGTTATTTCTGAAAGGCATCGGAAACTGGGCATCCAAGCAAAGCCACCAACTAAAGAGGTTTTCTATTTGGAGAAAGTTCCAGTGGGCAATGGGGAGGTATGAGGCTGGTGTGGGGCCAGAGTCATGGCTTTTCCTGTAGATGGAACTCTCTGGCTTGAAGTGTTGTCCAGTCCTTCTAGATTCGTCCAGCTCTTGCAGTCATCTCTTCTCTTCTTGGTCACTTCCATTGTGTGGTGTTAAGTGTTCCTCAAGCCCTACAGCGTCCCTCTGGTGTCTTTCACTTTTCAGGGAGAAAATGAAGTTTCCGACCTTTGCAATTCCTGAGGGACCTAAACTCAGCTCCAGGGACCTGGATTGTCTCTGTCACCCTTGAGCCACTCTGGGGAGCTCAGGCTGACCAGGGCTCTTCCTCAGCCTCATCTGCACATTGCAAACAGCCTGAAGCCTTCTCACTATGCCCAGGTCACTGTGTGATGACTACGGGTGAAGGGTTTGATTGTTCCCAATATGAAATACATGAATTTATCTTCCACGGACCAGAGATGCTAGAGCTTGGGAAAGTCATCACAGAAGGGGGTGGCATGTTCTGTCTGACCATTGCATTGAGACACAACTCTTCCAGCCTCCTAAAGCCTTACCACAGGATAAAGTGAGATTCAGGAGTCTATGGAGAAGCCAAGAGATTTGTAAATGCGTATAAAGCTCAGACTGTGTTCTAATCGATTGCTGTTCCTTACAGTTCCAGAAATTCAGCCTTTAAGAAGAGGGAAGAATTTAACTCTAATATTGATCTGACTTCCTGGGTGCCGTTGGGGAGGAGGGTCAGCTGGGAAACCAGTTCTGGGTGGGCAGTGTGGTTGAGGTATGCTCCCTAATTGCAAGCTTTGATTTGTTCAGCTGCTCCTAGATTTCTGGCTTTTAACAAATGGCCCTTGGTCTACACCTGCTGTCCTCAAGGGGAAGATGAGAAGCCTCTTAGCACCTAGAGGCTGCCCCTACAGTATGCCGACTTCCTTTCCCAAGGGGGTAGGTGCAGAGCAAAGAACTGTGGACCTACATGGGTGGGTGTTAGCTCCACTCCCAACCTACGGCATGCTCTTGGGTTGGCCACTTGACTGCTTTGAGTCTTTGCTTCCTCATGGGTAAAGTTTACTTTATTTTATTTATTTATTAATGCCCTACTTGTTCCAGAATGGATTTAAGGTGGCTTATGTGTAAAATGAGGGGATTAAACAAGCTGATCCTTTCTAAGGTATCCTCCCGGCTCTAGGATGCTCTGGCAGTCTTACTTGCCACTTGATGTTGCAAAGTCTGCAGTTCAATTCCAAGTTAGAGGAATGCCAGCTGCCCCTTGAGTGTGAGTGATTCATAGTCACAAAGGGACTGTGGGATTGACTGGGGAGATGTGTGCTTTGTGCTGTAGTAACACTTCGTGCTTGGGGTTTCACATCAGCAAATTAAATTATGGGTATTAACAAATTTCATACTCACACACTTTTAATAGCAAAGAGTTTCTACATTAGGACAATTTCCAATTGGTTCCCTATGGATAATAGTTCTCTTTTAAATACTCGGCAAAATAATACAGCCCCTTACCAGTTCTCAGCTCTGTGGAGTCTGTCTGTGAGCTCCTGCAACTCTGCCTATCACTCATAGACCACAGGAACTTGAGGTCTGAAAAGCCAATTTGGGGCACTTTAATCTAAGAGAGACACTGACCAACAGGAGTTTGTCCTGAGGACTGTTATCAGAGAAAGAAAGATCTGGAAATAGTGCCTTATGGGGAACAGTTGGTGAAGCTGGGGATGTTTCAGAAAAGAGAAGACTTCCTATGTTTGCAGAGTTACCATGATAAAGAGGGGCCACGGGACCACTGTGGAGGTGTCAGAGCTGCTCATTAGTGGAATGGGGTGTCTCGGGAGGTGATGAGTTAGAAGCACTGCAAGTTCCAAACAGAGGCTGGGCGAGCACCTGCAAGGAGGAATGAATGACATCTTCTGTCCAATTTAGCAAATATGTATTGAGCATCTACTAGGAAACAGGTTGTTATGAGGTAGGTGCCGTGGGAGATTGAAAAGCAAACTGTTATTCACTACTAATTAGAATTCTTCTGGCTACAAGCAACAGAAACCAATTGGAGGTGTTAGTCAAAAACATGGCTATTTATTATAAAGATGTAGGGATATCCTTCATATAAAGGTACAAGGATGTTGCTGAAGCAAACCAGAATCAGAGTCTCAAACAACAGCAGGCTTCATTTCTTTGCTCCTGTCTTATATCTTTTCATTCTTCTCTCTCTCCTCTCCATAACAGCTTTCTCTGCTTCTTCTAATTGGAAACATGGCAGTTGACATATTGCAGACCTAACTTCCTCTCCACCCCAATTCTTCATTTTCCAGGAAGGGACCCTAATTGGTCCAACTTGGGTTAGTTGACCATCTGATAAGCAGAGTTCCTAGGGGGCACCACTGTAACCTGTGATTGGACTTAAGTCAGAGAAATTGCCAGAAAGGGGTAAAGACTGGAAAACAATGTTCATAACACAGACATAGCTCCAGGTCTCAAGGAGATTACAATCCAGAGGGAGAAGCAGACACAGAAACAATGAACTCTAGTATAAGACTGACTGTGGAACATGCTAGAACAGACATGCCTGGCCCAGATGGAACCTGGAGAGCAGAGGTTGAGGAATTCTGACAGACAGAACTAGAAGGCTTCATGGGAAAGAGATAGCGTTGTGGTGCAATGATTTTTTTTTTTTTTTTTTTTTTTTTTTTTTGCTGTTGTCGGTATTTTGTGGTCCAATGATTTTTTTTTTTTTTTTTTTTTGCTGTTGTCGGTATTAGTGACAGTGAATTTTTAATTTCACAAATAATAAGTACATATTATAAAAAATAATTGACTATCTCCTCATTGCTAATCATGACACATATTCTTTTAGACTCTGTCCATAAATTTACACTGAAGTAGATACACTTGTATTAAAAAATGATTGTTTTGCATAAATAAAATACTTATATAATTTTACAACTTCTATTTCTCATTCAATATTTTTGAAGAGCTACCCATAATAGTATGTATTAGACCTACCCTATTCTTTTTAACTGATGCATATTTTCTTGTCATATGACTACAATTTATTTGAGTGTAATACAATGTATCTGTTCATCAACTGATAGGAATCTGGGACATCTTTGTACGTACCACTTTGTGCAGTAGTACAACTGTTTCTCTGGATACAGAGAAGTGAAATTGCTGGGTCATGGTACATGTACATTTAAAATTTCATAGCAACTGATGACCTGTACTCCAAAGCAGCTGTCCTAATTTATTCTCCATCATCAGCGTATGAGAGTGCTTCACAACACTTACACTTTACAAACGTTTACCATTCTTGTGGGTAAAAAGAGGTTTCTCACTGTTGCTTTGATTTCCATTTCCCTAATTACCAGTGTGCTGCATACCTTCAGTTTGCCCCCCAGATTCACTCTCCACATTTCTCCACTCCATTTTCTAGGAAGCTGACCTGTCAGGACAGTATCAACAGGATACTTGTTCTTGGTTGGATTTAGCCAATAGAAGATCCAGAGGGGAGGAGGAGAATGAGGTTGGGGGATTTATTCCCTCTCCTCTTCTGCCTTGCAAGCGTGGTGCATCCTTGTGCCCAAAGCCACAGCTCTGTCAGAAAAGCCCCTGCAGAGCCCTTCCAGGTTTTGACTCTCATGTGCATCTTCAGCCTTGGGGTGGTTACAGTTCCCTCTTTATCAAACCATCTATATCCTTGCTGATATTTTGCTGCTTGTTCTGTCAGTTACTGAGAGGAATATGTTAAACCCTATGTGTGTGTGCATTTCTGTTTTTCCCTTTAGATTTGTCCATTTTTACTTCCTGTATTTGAAAATCTTTTATTATGTTCATAGACATTTAAGATTATTATGTCATTTTAAAGGATTGTCCCATTAAATAATGACTTTATTTCTGGTAATTTTTTAGTCTTGAAATCTATTTTTTGAAAGAAATATAGCCACGTGAGCTTTTTAATGCTTATACTTTGCAGTTTCCATCCTTTATTTTCAACCTGTCTTTATTTTTCAACCTGTCTTTATTTTGATATTTAAATATTTTTAAATGCCATATAGTTGGGTTTTTAATGGCTTTTTTAGGGGGCAGGTGGAGTCCATGCTATTATGTTAAAATATATATAACAAAATTACATGTATCACAAAATTATTGGCCACAGGATATTGTATCACTCCTTGCTTAAAATCCAGTCCATACCTTTATAAACAACTCCTTAATTATACTTTCCTCAAAGTATCTAGTTTTGCCCTCTGTTTCTTGCTGGGGCTTTGAGTAATAAAATCAGTGAGGCTGAGCATCTCTTCATGTTTCCATTTGCCATATTAATGTTTTCTATGAAATTCCTGTTCATATCCTCTGCCCAGTCTTTCACGTTAGAATGACTCCTTGATTTGTAGGCAGTCCTCATATACATAACCTCAATCATCATCCCGTTAGACACCTTGCAAATATTTAAGTTTGCGGGTTGCCGTTTGAACTTTGTTCATGGCATCTTTGTGACTGGCGAGTTTTAATTTTTGATGTAGTAGTTATATTTATCAATCCTTTATACTCTGTCAAGGGTCAGCATATTTTCAGTAAATGTCCAAATGAATATTTTTGGCTTTCTGAGTTATGCAGTCTGTGTCACCAACTACTCAACTCTGCTGCTGTAGCTCTAAAGCAACCACAGACAATATATAAACAAACGGATGTGGCTATGTCCCAATACATCGGGTTTTTTAAGAAAATTTGGTGGGCCAGATTTGGCCCATGGAACAGTACTTTGCCAACCTCTGTTCTATATATTTTGCTTATTTTCATCTACATAAGGAGGCCCTTCCTATCCTGAGGTCATAAACACATTATTCTGTTGTCTTTTCTAAACATTTTGGATATTTTTATATTTAGTTTTTTCAGCTATTTGGAATTGATTTTTAGTAACGGATACTAGGTAGAGAATCTACCTCTATTTTTTTCTCCTCAATGAATAGTCAATTGCTCCACTCCAATTTATTGTGCAACTGATGTGAAATGCCACCCTTGTTTATTTATTCAACAAATATCTTATGCCTATTATGTGCCCAACAAATATGTTTCTGGGCTTGGCATTCTAGTCTACCCACCAGTTTGTCTATTTGCAAGTCAATATTGTAGAATTTTACTGTTTAAATATGATACATTTATAGTATGTTTTGATATCTAAGAGGGCAAGTCCCCCTTCCTTTTTTTCATTTAATTATCTTGATTTTCTTGATATTTATTTTTCAATATAGATTTCAAAATGAACTTGTCAAGTTCTATGAAAAATCTTGTTGGGATTTTGATCGGGAGTACATTAAGTATTTATAGATTCATTTGCAGGAATTGACATCTTTGCAATATTGAATCTTCTTTATCAGGCACATAGTAAATGTCTTCCTTTGCCCGGGTTTCCTTTTGTGACCATAATGTCTGTGAACTGTATTGTCTTCTTTGTCCTGTCTGTTACCTATGTGTCAGGGTAGCCTCAGACTAACAGGTGAACTTGGCACTCATCTCAAACTTTCCTTCTCGTTTTCTAGGCTTCTCTAGGAAATCAGTGAGAAATTGGTTGATATGGAAGAGGAGACTTTCTTATTCTAAAATTATACTGCAGCTCTAAGAAACAGTGTTTCCTTGGGTGCATACGACTCTAGGCCACGTTAGCAAATACTTTCTTTTACATTCAGCATCAGGATCCAAAGACAATCTTCTGAGGTTAGGTATTTAGGAGGATATGATTGTGCATGTAGTATCATCCAGCTAAACGTGGTGATTTAAAGACTTTCAACAAATATTTAGTGAGTGAGTACCATGAGCCAGGAATTGTGTTAGCTTCTGGGGCACAGAGAGAATGATCTACAGTCTCAGTGTCATGAATTTCCAGTTCAGGATTGAGGAGCAGGGCTAAGAGTCACAGACAGCTGACCAGGTAATTGTCCTCTAAGAGCAGTGCACAGGGTACTATGGAATCACAGCATGGAAGACTTAGCTGACCTGAGACACAGTAAAGATTTTCTGGAGGGATGATGCCTAGGCTGAGCCTTGATGAAGCAGTAAGCTAAGCCCAGCAAAGTAGGAAGGGCGCTCTGGGGAGAAGAGGAGGTCTTCATAAAAACAGTGAAATACGAAACCTCCTGCTGCTTGCAGTAAAGGAATTATAGGCAGTTTAGCATCACTATAGAGTGCAATGCAAGGAAGAAAGAGGCAGAAGACAAGGCTTCAGAGATAAGCAGGAATCATAGAGTACCTTGTCCAGTACTCCACAGAGCTTGAACTTCTAGTTTTCTGTCTTTTTTTTTCCTGTAGTGTTGATGGTTTTTTTTTTTTTTTTTTTTTTGGAGCCTGGAAATGACTTTGTTGGAGTTGTTTAACAACTTACTGGCTCAGTATAGAGTATAAATTTAATGCACATAAGACCAAAGTCATGGAGACCATTAAGAAGAAATTCAATAGTCCAGTTCAAAGAGAAGGCTGGTCTGAACTAGGGAGGGAGGAAGGAGCTGGGTCCCTAACCCACCATGTGCTACACTAGCTAAAAGCACAGGCCCTGCAGTTGGGAGACCTGGGTTCAGTCTCTACTGGAAGTAGGAACTTGGCTGAGCATCTTTGCTGCTCTAAGCTCCAGGTCCTCGTCTCTAAAAGAGAAATAATGGCACCTATTTCACTAATTTATTGTGAGGATTGAATGAGGTAACAAATGGCTGGCACACAGCAGATGCTCAATAAACATTTGTGGAAGTGCTGTCGAAGGTGACAGAAGTCACAGGCTTATTTACTGCAGATGTCTAAGGAATCCGTGTGTTTAGCTTTATTGTAAAGGAAGGGCAGGGGAAATAAAATGAGAGTACTTGCCTCGTTGGTCCTACAGGGAAAATGTTTGGTAGACCAATGGGGGAAAAGCGTTCTCTTCAAAGTGCTTAACAATTATCTTGGTTTGTGAGCATTTCACAGGTTTTGAAACAATAAGCGTTGGCTTGTGGTTGGGGACAGATCAGTTGTGTCCCCAGCACTGGAGATAACACACAGACCTAGGCTTGGGGGAAGGGAGAAAAGTCATCATCCCCTTTATCCTTGAACCATGGAGACCAGGAGAACCAGGTCCATGTGCTAGTCCGAACTGGCAGGAAATGGGACAGGCTAGATTGGGAAAAACATGAAATTTGTTTGAGAAAACCTGGATTTAGATCTTGGCTGTGTCACCATTATTTGTTCTGTAACCTTGAGCATGGCTTATAATTACTCCTTGTCTCAGTTTCCTCATTTGTAGAGAGGGAATTATAAATAATAATGATGGGATACACATATATATCTTCACATAGTTGTAAAATTCAAAGGAGATGGTGGGGGTGGCAATGCCATTAACTATCAAATGATGTTTAAATGTTAGTTATGATTTTGCTAAGTGAAGGTGGGGCCCGGGGGCAAGGCTGGGTATCTGGAAGCTCCACACCACAGCCCAGCAAGCTTCAAGTTCAGGAAAGAATTCAATTATTGCAGCGTGTAATTTTCTGTTTGCAAAGCTCATATTGTGTATGTAATTGAATCAGAATAAAGAGATCCAGAGGCTGCGGGCTTGGGATAAGGCTTTGGAGCTGGACTCCAGTGAAGCCAGGCTGGAGGGGGGTTAGCTGGAGGGGACTGGCTAGGGGAGGGAAAGAGGGAGGGGACAAGGGCACAGGGAGCAGAGTGCCAGGTGGGCCCCGAGAGCAGACAGGGGACTGCTCCTGGTTTTGCTTGGTTCCCTCGAGCCTTGTTTTCCCCCATAGATCCAGAGGCTCCCTCTGGAGAGGGTTGGAGGGCATCTCTAGGGATCACTTATCCTTGGCTGGACATCTCTGTTCTCTTTTGCTGGAACAAGGAGGCCATGTCCTGCAGTGTGAAGAGTCTCTCCTGTCTTACCTCACCCCATCCTCTTGCATCAGCCTGACTGCCCACTTCCTGTTCAATCGAAGTGAAATTAAAGCCGAGGAAGGGGCCTCTGGAGAAGGGGCATCAGGCCACGTTGGGGGTCGTGAGTGAGATTTGGAGGAGGATGATGAAGCACCCTGGTTTGTCTGGGACTGCCCCAGTTTTAACACTCAGGGGAATCTCTCAATTCTGAGATCACTGGGGATGGTTGGCCACCCTAATTTAGGGAAAGGGTAGATTTCAGAACCTAAGGAACCAGGTGGGGAACTTGGGATACCAAACGGTTCTCTCTTGGCTTCAGCAGACAATATTCTCCCAAGGCCAGAAGGTAGCACACCTGCCAAGTGTGGGCAATGCAGGAGCACATGGCCGCTGCTGGCTTCTCTGAGGTAAGGGCCCATGGGAGAACACAAGAAGCGGAGGGAAGGAGGCAGCTCCAGGAAGGAGGGAGGGAAAAGTCCATCTCCCAGCTCTCTCTGAGTCATCTGTCCCCAAGGCTGGCTCCTTTGTCCCAGCTTGCACTGACTGTCTAAATGGTCCCTCTTGCTTCCTTTCCTGGTGGTCCCTTCCCCAACCGTAGACTCACAGCCCCTCTCTATCTTCTCCACCAGCCCACTGTGTCCCTTCCTTGCCTCTCCTACCCTGGGGGAAGTGAGTGGGGTTTGGCAGTGGGTCCAAGCCAGGAGACTAAGAGATTGGCAAAGTGCCAAGAGCAGGTCTGAGTCCAGCTGCCTAATGCCATTTCCTGAGCACTAACAAATCCGACTCCAAGACAAACAGCCAGCAGCACCTGGGAGAGAAGGAGAGTGGCAGCTCACGCAGAGGGAGGCAGGGGAGAGAGGAGGAAACGGGACTGGAAGAAAGACAAAGTGAGAAAAAAAAACCCACACAGCACACCCAGCCCAATGGCCCAGAATCTCTCCCACATCTGCAGAATCAGAAACACTTATTAATAGCCAGCAAAAGGCAAAGAGGAAGTGTCTCATTGTCTGCTGCTGTCATTCCTCACTCTGACGAGCACTTAAAATGTCAAGACCCCTTTCAGCAGCTATGCACAAGCAATCAGGCCCTCTCGTCGGTCACTGCAGTTTCCCAGCCGCTGCATCTCAGTCCTTACGACTTCTCTCCACGCTATGTTTGCAGACAAGGCATGTGTGAGCAACACAAACAAGCACTGTCTGTTGGAAGGATGGCCTGCGTTGAGGGATCCAGGAGACAGGGGAGGGATGGGGTGAGGGATGGGGGTAGGAGGAGGTGGCCGGATCCTGCAGGCCTGCTCTGGGATGTCAGAGAAAAGGTCATTATGTGGGGACATTTGGAGGACTGAGAGCCTGGGCCTGGGGTGGGAGCAGAGAGTGGAATGTTTACCTTGAACCAGAGGGTGGGAGCTCTCTGCTATTGTGGAAAGGAGATTCCACCTGTAACTTCTAGACAACAAAGGATTGTTTTCTGTTAGTGAGGGTTCTGGTTGATCACTGTCTCTTTTGAGGACAAACAAGACAGAATGCAATGGAGCGGCAGCAGGTGGGATTGAGGTGGGATAGAAGGACGGACCTCCTGATCCATAGTAGTAGCTGTGAAACAAAACTGGGCTGGAGAAATCACTTTCCTTGAGGATGTTTACCTGCTATTACATTGCCTCTGCCTAATGCACTTGGGTGGAGGCCTGGGGTGTGGGTTGAAGCCAGAGGGGGTGGGGGTGGCAGAAGACAGTGGTTGACATTCAGAGCTTTTTCTATCACGTTCTATCTCTTATTGTATGGGTTTGCTACAGCTGCGGCCATACAATGCCACAGACTGGGTGGCTTAAATGACAGAAGCTATTGTCTCACAGTTCTGGAGGCTGAAAGTCTAAGATCAAGGTGCTGGCAGGGCCAGTTCCTTCTGAGGGCTGAGGGGAACCTGCTCCACACCTCTCCCCTGGATTCTGATGGTTTGCAAGCCATCTTTGGAGTTCCTTGGCTTGTGGAAGCATCACTCCGACTCTGCTCTCATCTCTGCATGACATTCTCCCTCTGTGTGGGTCTCCATGTTTAAATTTCCCCTTTGTATAAGGATATAGTCACGTTAGGCTAAGGGTCCGCCCTACTCCAGGGTGACCTCCTCTTAACAAATTACATCTGTACAGACCCTATTTCTAGATAAGATCACATTCTGAAGGACTGGGGCTTAGGACATCAACATATAAATGTCAAGGTGACACAATAAACACATAATACTTATCAATCAGAAAGAAATAAAAGGGCATCCAGAGGGTGACCTAGAAAGCCAGGAGCTGGAGAGAGAATTCCAGCACCTACATCCTTTGTTCGACAAAGATACGTTGTTGTTATTTGTTTCTGTTGGAGCAGCCAGGACCTGTTTCTCAAACTCAGATCTTTCCCATAGCTCCCTCTTTACTCTCCCAAAACAGAAGAACAGAACAGCTGGAGCCGACAGTTCTAGATGTTCCCTTGGAGGGGAGCCCATGGCCACCTTAGCCTAAAGGACAGCTAGTGACCCAAGCATTCTAACCACCAGAAAACTCACAAACGGGACTGGGGACACTCTAAACTCTCCATTGCAGGTTTCAGGAAAGACTTGGCAAATCTGCTCACCTATGAAAGGAAAGAAGGTGAAATGATTTTGTATTTTGTTTTCCACTGACCTGGCTATGACACAGCCGAGGATCTGGTGAATGTTCAAAGAGAAATTAGCCTGTTGTTGAACATTCTCCATAATGTCCATCCAATTCAATTAGTTAATAGAATCACAAAATGTCAGTGCGGGAGTACAGGGCTAATTCAATCCGAGCTCATTTTGTAGACGAAGAAAGCAATGCTGAAGAAAGGTAAAGAGTTTCCCCCACACACAATCAGGCTCCCGAGTGGAAGCACTTAGGTTTGCAGGCTCCCAACCAGGGCCCAGGACAAGACACTGCCTGGCTGGAGGCAGGGATGGGTGTGGCCTAAAAGAACACAGCTCCTGCCCTCAGGGAGCTAACTCTCTGGTGGGAGGAGCAGGGCCCATTGCTGCTGATCACTGGCAGTGGGGAGTGCTTGGTGCGTGCCCCTGCCTCCCTTCTGTGTTCCTAGGGGCTGGGGCTGTCTCTCCAGCAAGGCATAGCTGAAGCTGATTAGCTGATGTGCAAAAGGAAATCCAGACTTGGGCCTTTAAAGCACTGAGCTCACAAGCAGAAGCCCTGTGAGCAGGAGAAGGCATCCTAGTGTAGCCCAGCCTTCCTGCTCTCTCATGGCAATCCCCAGCCCCTCCAGCTTCCTCCAAACCCAGTCACAAACAGAGAAGAGGCCAAGAGGGAGTGTTTGAGAAGGTGTGAAGGCCCACCCACGGCAGCTAAGGCCAAGCTCAGCTGTCTGTAGTTTCCTCAGTCTCCCCATTCCCCCTTGCCTGGGCCAGTGGACTCAGAACTTATGAAATCCACAGTTTCCACTCTGTGTCAGCCTTCCCCTCCCTCTCCCAGACCCTGGCAGCCACTTATTCCTAGGCAAGGCCAGGAGAGCCCCTGAAGGCAGGCTGGAAGCCATCCATCTTCACTGAGCTCTCTGGTTTTCCAGGAGCCCCAGGGTCCTAAGTCATCCCTAGAGACACCCCAGGTCTGGGGAGGGAAAGGGGGTTAGAATGATGGGCTGGCTGGCTGCCTCCTCGGCCTCCTACCCCTGGGATTGGGAGGGAATTGGGCTCATCTTCTGATCTGAGAGGAAAGGAAGCACCAAGGGAATGGGATTTGAGTTTCAGAAGGGGGCGTCAAAGGGATGAGGATTTAAAAATAAACAGAAGAGCCAGCAGTGTCTTTTTAGCGATAGCCATGGTAACGGACACTGCTGGAATCGTAGCCGGCGCGGGGCCTGTTCCTGAAGCTTCAGAAATGTATGCAGTGTTACGCCATCTTCCAATCCCCTTTGTCATTGTTGCTGTTGCTGTTGTTTTAAATTCTCCAGGATGAGGAACCCAAACCCAGGAGAGCACCCCTACATTCTCATATGCACATCCAGGCCCCTCTCCTCCCAGGGTCCCTCTACACATGCGTTCACAGAGCCCTGTGTACACTCAGGCGTGTGCACCCATGCTAACACAAAGACACGCCCTGCTGTGCTCATATGCTGACACCTACAGAAACATAGATGTGTGCCCGTGTATCTTCTCACATTCCTACGTATGCTTAAAAACGCATACTACGGTAGCCAGGCGGAGGCTGGAGTCTTGAATCAAAGCCTCCTGATGCTCTATCCAGCCTCCAAAATCATTTTCGTACGTGTGGGCACTCACAGTTTAATCTGACATCTTTTCTACACATTTGCATACTTGCCCACAGGAAGTCTGTGGTTATGTGCTGTATGGATGTCTTCACACCCAAGGTCTGGCACAGATGTGGGAACACACTTGTATGTCCAAGTACATATGACTGACGTATCTCTCCTTACCCAACCTGCTTGACTATATGTGGAATTGTGTTCCAAGTCAGCTCCCTCAAATGTATGCACTTGAGCAAAAGCAAATGCATGCTTGCCTTCCCCTGTTCTGACCACATAATGGTTTCTCATAGCCAGGAGGGCACACTCGTATGTTCAAGCACAAGGACTCCAATGCAGCCTGGCAAAGCCATGTGGTCTAGAGTTATCATTCCTCCTACTTGGCACTTTCCCCTCACTCTCTCTCCACTCTCTTGCTGTCACTTTAAACTTCAGCAAAGCACACCGAGTCAATGCCTTTCATATGCCCCACAAAAGGTGGGGGAGAAGAAACGCAGACAGTCACAGACAGCCCTAGACTCAGCTTTGAGGCCCTTGGCTTCCTCAGCAGGCAAAATCAAGCAGAAATGCAATACCAGAGCCAGTATGTTTTTAAAAAATTGCACAAGTCTCCCAAGAAGGCAGAAAAATCAAAGCTTCATCATTTAAAATCCCCACACAACAGAAGAAGAAATAAACACAGAGCTCTCAGAAAAGGCTGAGGTTCCCCCACTTCTCCTTCCCAGAAGAAAAGACAAACAGAAAACAAATCAAAAACCAAATCTGGACTGAAAGGAGCAATTGTCGAATGGGTAGCTCCAGGCTGTCTTCTCACCCTAGGAAATATGTTCCCTGACCGCAGAACAGGAATGAGAAGGGGCTCTAGCAGGAGTTGGTCAGAGGGGCAGCCTGCGTTAGGCTGGCCCAAGCAATGAGATACTTGTTCCTGGGGAATGGGGCAGGAAAAATCTCAGACTTTGGAGGCAAACAGACTTACGTGTGATGCCAGGTCTCCGGGTCTCTCATTTAGTGGGCGTGTGACCTTGAACAAGGCCATTGGCCTCTGAGCCTCAGTTTTGTCACCTGTAGAGCAAAGATCAATGCAAGGTCCTTACTTCCAAGTCTGGTTATGAGGATCAAATGAGATGCCATAAAATTATTTCACAACTCAAATACATGTCTAGCAAATGGCCAAGGAAAGATCTCTGGATTCTAGAACAGGGGGGGTCTGTAGACTCTGATCTTTGGTTACAACAAACGTTCAGAACATGACCAAGGAATGATCTGTGCCCCCACTCTCGAGGGAGGAAAAGCATCTAAGAGAAAGGGAGTGTGGGCATCACTGGCTCCTTTGTCCAAGTGCCTGAGGGTTGATGGTCTTTTTCTAACGAAGACCCAGGTCCTTTCTCCTGATATTGAAGGTCTCTCCTCTCAATAAATGAATAGGCTTTTTTTTTTTTTTTTTTTTTAGAGATGAACGCTTGCTCTGTCACCCAGGCTGGAGTGCAGTGGCGTGATCTCGGCTCACTGCAAACTCTGCCTCCCAAGTTCTAGCAATTCTCTTGCCTCAGCCTCCCGAGTAGCTGGAATTACAGGCACATGCCACCACGCCTGGCTAATTTTTTGTATCTTAGTAGAGACAGGGTTTCACTGTGTTGCCCAGGCTGGTCTCAAACTCCTGAGCTCAGGCAATCCACCCGCATCGGCCTCCCAAAGTGCTGGGATTACAGGTGTGAGCCACCACACCCAGCCATGAATAGGTTTTTATTGCTCACCTACTCCATGCTTGGCCACATACCAAAGCTCAATGAGGGACCCATGGCCTATGTTTGGGCTCCTGCCTGCTCCTAAGTGCTGAACTTCACTTAAGGAGAACAGACTTTCACCTGGGAAATAGTAAAGCATCCCTGTCTTAGTCTGCTCAGGCTGCCATCACAGAATACCACAGGCTGGGTGGCTTCACAAAAATTTATTTTCTGGAGGTTAGAAATCCATAAACAAGATGCTGGCAGATTCTGTGGCTGGCTCGGGTTCTCTTTCTGGCTTGCAGACTGATGCTTTTTCCCTGTGCCCTCCCACGGCCTTTCCTGAGAGACAGAGAGGTCTCCAGTGTTCCTCCTCTTTGTATAAGGCCACTGGTTGGTTCTACGTGATTCAGAAGTCACCGTTATAACCTCACTGAACCTTCATTACCTTCCTATAGGTCCTGTCTCCAACTACAATCACATTGGTGTTAGGGCTTTGGCATAGGAATTTGGGAGGAGGCTGGGCGTGGTGGCTCACGCCTGTAATCTCAGCACTTTGGGAGGCCGAGGCGGGTAGATCACGAGGTCAGGAGATCGAGACCATCATGGCTAACACGGTGAAACCCCATTTCTACTAAGAATATAAAAAATTAGCCTGGCGTGGTGGCGGGAGTCTGTATTCCCAGCTACTCGGGAGGCTGAGGCAGGAGAATGGCATGAACCCAGGAGGCGGAGCTTGCAGTGAGCTGAGATCGCACCACTGCACTCCAGCCTGGGCGACTCTGTCTCAAAAAAAAAAAAAAAGATTTTGGGAGGCGACACAATTCGGCCCATAATAATCCCTAGCCCTCACGCCACCCCTCACTGAAGGTGGATATCAGTCAAAGCAGGCCAGGCCAGGAGAGCGCTGCCTGGGGTAAGTGTTTAGTATGGGAAAGCCTAGCGGACACTAGGCCACTTTGCAGCAAGGAGAGAGCATTCGCACTTCATTCTTGGGTTATGCACACCTAGCTGCAAACATGACCAAGAACAGTCTAAGAAGACTAGAACCCAGCGGGCAGATGTCAGAAAAGGCCAACTGCTGGGTCACATAAAGAAGGGTGTTGGAAACCAAACAGGAGCGCTGTTCTTCCTTTGAAGAAAGTAGCAGTGCAATCACACATAGTGCTGTGCAGGACCAGACCTGAGACTCCAGCAGATACCTATTTGCAACGTCCCTCATCTCTTTGAAAAAGCACCTACATTCCTTTCAATGTCCAGCTCAAATACCATCTCTTCTGTAGGTCATCCCTAGCCCCAGACACACACACACCCCTCACAGGCATTTGCGAAAATCATTGCTTTATATTCTACACATTCATAGTTGTTGATGCCAATCTTTGTAGCAGCACATTCAAATTGTCTATTACATTTTTGGTCATTTCCCACTAGTTACCGTGTAAGCTCCTTGAGGGCAGGAGTGTGTCCATCTGGTTCATAACTTTAACTTCATTGTATAATGTGGAGCCTGGTACTAGGGTGAACAACTATCCTGATTTTCCTGTGACTGACTTGTTTTCCAGGATGCCTGACTTTCAGTTCTAAAACTAGGATAATACCAGGCAAATGGAGCTAGTTGGTCACCCTACCTGGCATAAGGTAAGCACTTGATAAAATAGTTGATATGCAAACACTGCAATAGATAAGGAGCAGGTCCAGGAAAGAATTACAGAATGATCAATGTGATAAGGATGGCGGTAGGAAGCACCGTATGCAGACTTATTAAAGATAAGGCTTTATTGGCCTAGAAGGAATAAGCTAAAAGGATATAATCCAAATCTATGTCATCGTGAGCTGAAAACACAAACAGCTTGAAGAATTTTGAATATATTATGGTTCACAGGGTCATAATGGGAGAAGCCAGAGCATTTGAGGGCAATCTATGGGTTTTTAAGGCTGTTGTACAAAAGGACAATATATTTGTCAAAATCTCTTAAAGACAGAGACTGGATTGCATGGCTCATGCATATAAATATGCATATAAATACGTGGGTGTTTCCCCGAGTATCAATATTATTTTTCCATACAAATATTATTATAACAGCATCAAAATGAATTTTTAAGAATGTTTAAGAAGGAAAAAAATAGTGGGTTAAGCCCAGACCAACAACTCATTTTTTTGTATATTATCTTTTAGTCCTTGCTCTTACTTTTACATAATTATAATCAGAGTGAACATACCATTTATATCCCATTTTTTAAAACCATAGACTGTGTGGGAAACATTTTCTACATTGTTACTAGTCTCAACAGTTATTCTTTGTAATGGCAATGCAATAGTCTGTAACTCACTTAACAGTTCCCCTAGTGTTGGCATTTAGATGCTTCTAGTTTTCTACTAATGAAGATAATCCTGCAATGAATAGCTATGCACGTGCTTCTTTTTCCTTCTTCTGTAATATTTCCTAATAATAAATATCTCGAATTGAAATTACTAGGTGGAGGGATAGAATAATGTTTATGACTCATCCATGCTTTCACCAAACATTTTTTGAAAACCTACTCCAGGCCAGAGACTGCGCTAAGCACGGGGGGTACAAAGATGGAAGAGTTAGTCTCTGCCGTCAGAAGGTTCACAGTCTGGCGGCAACACAGACACATAAACTACACAGTTCATAAATATTCCAGTTGTGGTAAGGGGGGCTACTGGGGTCCCAGGGAAATGATTCTCACTGAGCCAAGCAAGAGGCACATGGTTGAGCAAGCCATTCCAGAACAGGATCTACTTGCCCTGCAAATGCAGGAAATGTCAATCTGGAGGGCATGGTGGAGAAGGAAATTCCAGACAGAGAAAATAGCAAGATCTAAGTCATGACAGCAGTAGAAAATATGGGGTATTCCAGGAATTGCTGGTGGCTTGATCGTATCAGGGCATAGACGTGCCTGCAGAGAGGGTCTGGAGAGGCTGATGACAGGAGATAAGGCTGATGGAGACAAGGCTGAGCAGGAGGTGGCCCACCTGCGGACCGTGCCATGAGTTTGCATTCTACCTTTAAGGTAGTAGGGAGCCAATAGGGATTTTAAGCACACTCTTGATACAGTTTTCCAATTTGCTTTCCAAATTATGCTCATTATAAGAAAACCCCTTCTGAAGGTTTTTTGTACTATTTTTCCTTGGGCTTCCTCAGGGCTCTATTCTCATTTCTGCCACAGAATGAGGGTGGGGCGGGTGGAAGAGAACAAATAAACTCTGGCCTGAGGCCATTATAGATGAGTGGAAATGAACATATTCCAAGGAGCGTGTGTGTGTTGGGGCGGGGGAGTTGGAGGGGGAGAGTTAATGAAGATCTTCATGACTGGAAGCAAAAGCAGAGAGGAGGGTACTATTACATGGAGATGCATAACACCTGCCACCTCCCCCAAAAGCCAGGCCAACAAAAACCCAGACTCCTTTAAGACGTCTTAAACAAAGGTCCTGGTCCCCACGCCCTTTTTGGAACCTTCACTGAGAAGCATGGCTTAGTCACATTGGGAGTCATATAGGAAGATGGGTGGTGACTCCTTTATCCTTTATCCCTGAATTCCAGGAGCCTCTTGAACTTCCCATCCCACTGCGACTTATCCACCAGAGCCCCCAAGGGCAATCAGCTGCTAGCTTCCCCTGGCTTGTTCTTTCTTGCTCCGACGTGCCCCTACATTCCCCAAACACACCAGACCCATGATGGCTCCAAGGTTTTGAGCAATTTTCTTCCGACTGCTGGGATTACCCTTTCTCTACCTGGTTGCCTAACTCTCCCTTGTTTTCTGAGTCTTGGCTTAGAGTCCACGTTCTGTGAAGTGTTCCTAACCCTCTAGGCAGAGCTGGGTCACCACAGGACTTTGCATGTATGGTCAACCGGATTGAATTGTTACTGTAACTGTCTTTGTCTCTTTCTAGACTGTGCCCATCTTCAGGGCATGAACCATGCATTATTCATTGCTGATCCCTGGCACCTACCTAGGGCCTGATACCTAGAGGTGGCAACCACTATTATTGAATTTATCCAAATATTTGTTCCTGTCACCGAACTATGTTAAAGGGAAATAATTGGGCAGAAGGAAAAGCACTCAGCTACAAAGGACGCTGCATTCTGTGCTGTTTCACGGGGATGCATATGGGATGTTTGAAGCCCCTATAAAGCACAGAAGTAATGCGAGCAGCTATTTGTCCCTTTCTCTCCTGCCTCTATCTGTTCTCTCTGCCTCCCGTTATTCTTCCCCTCAGCTTTCAAAGACACAAAGAGGTATCTACCCCAGGTGCCTGCAGGCTCACCTTTTTTCCTCCCCTTGGGCTGCAGGAGGGGAGAAGCTGGGCCAGCAGCAATGCCTTTCCCTGTCTGCTTCTAATTCCCATCCCCTTATTAAATTCAGGGCTGATTTGGGCTGTGTGAGCTTTGTTGGACCCCCTGCTGCTGGACCAATTCCTTTTCTTTCTCTCCTCCTGGTGACTAATAGCTGCTCTTTCCTTCAGTCTGTGTGCGCCTCCCTTCTCCTCCCCTCCCGTTCAAAGGCAGTGGAGTCGTGATGCCTCCTCATCCACTGGACTCCCCGAAGCACAGTTCTGGGAAGCAAGTTCAAGCCCCCCAGGCCAGCTCTTCTAGGGTCTGGGGCATCTCTCTCTAGGGAGGTATTGCTGTAGAAATAGGAGGATGGCTGGCCCAGAGGGGATGGAGATGGAGAGGAAGGAGGAGGAGGAAGAGAGAGGCCGGGCAGTCTAGCACAGGAGGGAGGGAAAGTAGGCAGAGCCTGCAAAAGGATGGAGCACTCAGGGCAGATCACAGAAGCCCCAGAACAAAGGGAGAAGGAACATGATAGAAAAGATGCAGGCGCGAAACAACCACGCGGAAGTGAGGCATGAAAGGCAGTTGGGTGACGTGGAAAATGCCAGAGAGCAAAGCCACAACCAAACAAAACGCTAAGACTAGAGGATTTGCAGCCTCGTCTTAGGAGGAGAAAAAGTGCCTTGGAAACAGTGCTGGAGGTTCTGTCCAGGGACCCCTTGGCCCAAGTTGGGGAGCAGGATGGGACTCAGAAACCAAAGCTTCAACAACAGAATCTAGTGCCAGGCGGGGCCCCCTGGAGGCTGAGTATGCTCACACTCACGCATGCGCATGCCCAGAGCATGTACCTGAGGCTGGCTAGCAGGGGTTCCGTTCCTCACTCTAATGGGGTCCAGCCTGCAGGCTGGTGGCTGTAGAAGTACAGGTTGCACTGACCACATACCCAGCTGCATTTGCCACATGAGAGGGGATGACGGTTCCAGTGAGGCAAGTATCAGAGCAGGAGTCAGGAGTGCAGTGTGTTGCTGCTGACCCTTAGCTGTGTGCCTTTGAACGAGTTGCCATATGTCACAAAGCCCTTTGTTCTCACCCATGTTCACAGTCCCAGCCCTGCTGTCCATCATGAGTGTGACAAAGAAACTGATGAAAAATAGACACAGAAGCGCTTTGCAAACTGTACACTGCTCTGGAAATAAGAGTGTCACCTTCGCAGCCGAGGACTCACAGGAGGGACCAGAAGGAGAATGTGGATGACCCCCCACCAGCCGCATCTGTTCCAGAATCTCTCCCACTTTCTGTTCTAGCCATTCTGAACTTCTGTTGGTTCCCAATCCTGGGCCAGCTTGCTCTCTCTCTCATTTCTGAGCCTCTACACATTGTTCCCTCTGCCTGGAATGTTTCTGCACCTTCTCTTTGCTCAGCTAACTCATCTGCTTTCTGGTCTCAGCTTACATGCCACTTCTTCCAGGAAGCCTTCCTGGAACCACTATGTACTTGTTTTGTGTTTCTGCTACATGCTCTTATGGAATCCTGCACTTCTAGGGGTATGTGTGTGTGTGTGTGTGTGTGAGAGAGAGAGAGAGAGAGAGAGAGAGAGAGAAAGAGAGAAACTGTCTCTGAGTTAGGGGGAGGTGGGTGTGAGTCCCTCACAATGCCATTTATAGCCCACTCCTGAGCCCCAGACCACTGTGGAGAACAACCATCGCTGAGTGTGGGTGCTCCACCACCTGTCCACCAGCTGCCACTCTCTTCCAACTCTTGGGGAGCAGCCACGGGAGTCTGAAGCATTTTCTGGGTCACTGCCTAGCAATTGGTAACAGCGGCCTTCCTTCCCCACACTTGTCTCTCGCTGAGTAAGCTCTGAAACCCCCGCACAGCACTGACATGCTTCCGCCTCATTCAGAATGAATCTGTTGCTATGGTTGTGTGGGGAGCTGTGCGTGCAGCGTGTGAGCCAAGCCAACTGAGATGGGAGCTCTGGGCTCTCTCACGCTCGTCACCAGTGATGTCGGGCACACCTTTGGTGGCATTTCTCCCTTTGTCCTCTTCTAGAGTTTCTGCATCACGCATTGGGGCTGGGAGATATGAGTGGGTCCAGGCTCTGCCCTCAGCTGTGGGGGTGGGGGACACTCTGCAGAGCCAGCCTTCACTTTATCCCCCTCACTTTTCCCTAATGAGATTATCTCGCCTCGCTGGAATCTGACTACCAGTCCCTCACATCATTCAGTTCTCTGCACAATATCACCTCCTCAGAGGCCTCCTTGACCGTTGCATCTAAAATAGCTCCCCTTCCCACTTCCAGCTCTCGCTGCTCTGTTTTTCTTCATAGCATGCATCACTGCTGTTATTGCAACACACCCTTTGTGTGTAAATATCTATTATCTGGCTGCCTCATTAGAATGAAAGCTAGAGGAGGGCGGGGACTGTGTGGCTTTGGTTCCTACTGAGCTGTCTATTCTCCATTTGCCCTCTGCCCCCTCCAGTCCATGCTCCACTCTTCTGCAACCTGCTGTGGCCCCAGGAGGCTGACCTCTGCCAATTGCACCTCCCACGCTCTCTTGATGACTGGTTCCTTGTTGGGTGTGTCCAGTGTGAGCATCAGAGGCCACTCCTTCCCTGCTTTGACACTGTGGATCTGGCAGGAGGGTCCTTCTACAGCTACAGCTGCTACAGCTCTTGCCAAACAGCCTCTCTTCCATGATTCCAGTGCTCATGGGCTCCAGTAGCTCCATTTCCCCTGGCTGTCTTGATATTGCAGGTTTCTGATCCTTTGCCATGCCTTTTTGGTCCCTTAGCCTGCTCATACCTTTGTAACTAGTTCCTTCCTTGGAGCCCCTTTATCTGGACTGTCTGAAGGGAAACATATCTCCTACTGAGACTTTGATATAGTTATGGTCCAGCACAACACATATTGCTGAGTGGATAGATAAATGACTGGCAGGTGCCCCAGATTGATGCCCAGGCTTGGCTATGGAGGATAGGAAGGAAGGCAAAAGAAAGCTCAAGGGAGATATGGGTGTCTCTAAATAGGACAACCCCAAAATTGTTTCCTGATCAAGAGCAGTACCCACATTTTTAAAGGTTATAAGTGGGAAAATTTTAATCTCCCTCAGTGGCCTGTTCTTATGACTCACATCTCTCCCTGATAGAGATTTAAGGTAGGATGGAGATGTAAATGGAGAGTGGCCAGGAAGATATCTTTCTAATGCCTAATCCAAATCCCTTTTATTATAGTTGGAAACTCCTTATTCTTGATCTAAAGATAAAAGTCACCTCTCCCTGTTACTGTTCTAGGAAATCATTATACTACATTAGCATGTAGTATTCTAGTATGTTAATATTTTAAATGGGAAGTGCAAAGAACACAGGATTTGAGTCCAGGGAAACTAGTGTCTCAGTTCTGACACATTATGCTGAGAGACTCATTTACCCTCCTAAGTATCTGTTTGTCACCCGTACAATGGGAGGGATGGTAAGCCTTGCGCAGCCTACCTCCTGCCCTGCATTTGTGAACACCAATGAAAAAACTGTGTAAATGGGAACATTCTGTATCCAAATATTAGCTGATGCATTGTCTTCGACATGTTTAATCTCAGGATCTGGGATTCTCCTAAAGTTCTGTTGTCCAAATTCTCCTAACACTGAACCAAATTCTTCCACGCCCCAGGTATATACATTACACACATTACCAAATTCTTGATAATGCATATACCTGGGGTGTGGAAGTGGAAAGGGGAGACCTCAGTTTCTCTTCTATGACCTTAAATGATTATGTTGGTGACTCAGCAGACCCAGGGAAATGGCAATCGGCTCAGGCAACAGCCTGGGTTAAGAGGCTTGATGTCACAAGAGGATCCTCTATACCCTCACTGGGAAACAAACTCCAATTTTCAGCTGCTGGCTGTCTGAAAAGCCCAGGTGCAAGAAATATTATTCATGGAGGATTATCTGAAGGACATGTAGCCCATCTACTCCTATAGGTACACTCGATTTTATCTCTGGATCAAGCCCGACGATCAGTGCTGTATATTTGGACCAAATGGTTTTCGCTCCTTGTGGAAGCAGATTTCCTAACTTGTGTTTAGGCATACTGATTTAAGTTTGCACTGAAGAAATCCTTCAAGGAAAGCCACGAGTCTAGCTATTACATTTAATGTCAAAATGGCACTTTAAAAATTGCCTATTAGATCTAGATGTCCCTTTTTGAAGTTCCACATGGGCAACTTCCCTTAGCTTCAGCTTCTCCAGAGAAACTGGTATAATTTTCACTAATAGACAATGCCAAATTTGCTACTGATGGCTTCCCCTTTGTCTTTGGTTGCTAGGAAGCTCAGACTTTATGACATGAATTTCTGTGTTCTAGCTAAGGTCTCCTATTCTTGTTCCTCCTTTATTTCGCTTCATCCCAATCATCAATCTCTATTTGTATCTTATTGTAGTATGTCATTATTACAAGCTATCTCAATTTGTTTTTGCAACTCTGTAAAAAAAAAAAAAAAGCGGTGGCTCAGAATATACAGAAAGATTGACAAAGTGGTCTGATCAGTGTAAACAAAACAAATGAATGTATGTATCAATTAAGAGATGGACACCAAAGACATTTCTTTATTAATTCGTCAGACATGCATTGTGATTTGCTGAATGTTTACTACAATACTAGGTCCTAGGATACGAAAGCAAATAATGTTCATTAATTCAACAAGTATATGTTGGGACTTGCCAGGTGATGGAAACATAGCAGGGAACAGCACATTTGCCCTCATGGTACTCACAGAATGGTGGAGAAGACAGGCAATTTAACCAAAACCTACCCTGAAGTGTGAGGATGTGGTTCAAGAAAGAAACTGAGTGAGTAGGAGCACCTAGTATGGAGGACTTAATTCTGTCTAGAGTCTGAGGGATGTTCCTGGGGAAGAGGCATACAAACTGATCTCTGAACAGAGACAATACATTTGGTAGGCAAAGAGGAGGAGATAGGGAATATCCCTGGAAGAAGGAACAACATGTACAAATGTCAGGAGACAAAGGGGCCATGCCAACAAGACAGTGGATAAACAAAATAGTATTTCATTGCATGT
This sequence comes from Homo sapiens, assembly GCF_000001405.40. Taxonomy (NCBI): domain Eukaryota; kingdom Metazoa; phylum Chordata; class Mammalia; order Primates; family Hominidae; genus Homo; species Homo sapiens. Next base: position 116,077,244 of record NC_000011.10, read on the forward strand.
TTCATTCATGCGATGGAATACTACTCAGCCATAAAAAAGAGAAACTGCTGACGTATGCAATAGCTGGAGGACTCTCAGAGGTTACATACTGTATGATTCCATTTCTATCACATTTTTAAAAGAAAGCTATAGTGGTGGAGAGCAGATCAGTGCATGTTAGGGGCTAGGGAAGGGGGGCACAGTGTCACTACAAAGGGACAGCACCAGGGAGTCTGGGGGGTGATGGAATTGTTTCATGTTCTGATTGTGATGGCAGTATATACATCCTATGCGTGTTAAGACTCATAGAACTTTACGGCAAAAATTAAGTTAACTTCAGCACTGGCTAATTTAAAAAGTGAAATGTAAAGTCACAAAAGAAAAGTTCACCACTAAAGAGCTCAAAAAAGAAAATGAGAGTGGAGAATGGCAGGCAGTGAATTGCAACAGGATCTGCAATGCTTTGTTACTGAAAATTTTGAAGGAAAAAAATTCAGCCACGCCAAGGCCATGTTTGCATATGATCTCAATGGTAGTGGAGCCATGGAAGGATTTTTAAGTATGAGAACGACAGAATCAGATTTGCATTGGAAACAATCCCTCTGGCTGCAGTGTAGACCGTGGATTAAAGAGAGCCCCAGTGGTTCTGGGGAAGCCAGTGAGGGGTGGTTGGTGAGGTTCAGGTAGACAAAAAGATGGCTTAGAAGAGGAGGCAGAAGAGAAATGGCTTTGCACACAGCAGCCACCCCTGCGCAAGTCCAAAGGGAACGGCAGAGAAGGAGACAAGAGACCCTGGAGGGCCTGAGGGGCTGTGGAGGGTGGCCCTGGCCTCCCTGAGCAGCACTGTGGCATCTGCCTGTCTATCCAGAAGGCATATATGGGGCATCCCTTTCCTTGTCTGCCACTCAGGGTGGAAGCCCTTAGTTTTCCTTCTAGTTAGTTGGTACCATCTCCCCAGCTTTGAGTAACAGCGACCTCTTAGGGCTGAAAGGAAAGCAGGCACCAGCAGTGGGCCTAGCCTAGGAGAGGAAAAGCTGCCCACTCCAGAGCCTCTGAGCGACTTTTTTCTAATCCCCTTCATCCCCTTCCTCTCTGGGGCCAGTTTAAAGTTTGAGAGAGACAGGGGTGGGGTCCAAGGGCAGGGAAGGGAAGGAGGAAGGTGAGTTGCATTGTGTTTCCCCCCCAAGTCCTGCTGAGAAATGGCTTCCTAGCGCTTTATCTGCCCTGGATATCGGCTGCAAGGATCTTATCAAACTGTAATTACCCAGCCTGGGTCTGTGCTAATTGGTTCTCTAGAGTAAAGTTACCTCCAATCTGTGTGTTATGGGTGCACAGCGGGAAGTGATTTGAGCCACGGAGGCTGTCTGTGATGGTATGTCAGAATAGCTGTGGTGGCTGCAGGAACATGGAGCTGGGACCCAGCTTAGAAGGAAAGAATTGTTCCATGGGTCCCAATTCTAACCGAAAATGACCAGCCATCCTTATGTTATCTCGCTCCCAGGGACCTCTTAGGAAACAGTGAGAGCTCATTTTCCTCCATCTCAGAAAAGAGGGAAGAGGGAAGGAGAATGAAAAAGAAAACAGAAAAACCCTATTTAACCCTGTTGGCTTTCCTGGCTCCAATATTCTTGACAATCATCTCAAATTAGGGCCTCCAGCCACTATCTCATTTCCTCACCACCCACCTCTGTAATCTGACTTCTGCCTCAACCTGCAACAGAAATCCCATTTCCAAAGGCTTCCAAAGACTTGGGATAAAGGAATCTGAGGGTTGTTGAGAACCCACTAGGAAGATCACCTAGTCCTAGTCTCCTCTCCATGGTGGCCTCTCTAAGGAGAGTCTCATCCCCTGCTCTTACAGGCCCTCAACCATGCTCAGAATGGCTCAATTTGAAAGAATTTTTTATTTTTTAATATTGAGCCCAAACCTGTCTCCTTACAGTCCCATCCGCCCCTTGTGTGGCACTAAGCAAGCATAATATTTCTTCAGCTGTTTCCCCTAAAATATCAGCTGACAGCACTTCAGCTGTTTCCCCTAAAATATCAGGACACCACCACGCACTTTGTGTCTCAAGAAAAGACCTTGGGGCCAGGCGCGGTGGCTCACGCCTGTAATCCCAGCTCTCAGGGAGGCAAAGGCGGGAGGATAGCTTGAGCACAGGAATTCGAGACCTGCCTGGGCAATGTAGCGAGACCTCGTTCTCCACAAAAAGGAAGAAAAAAAAAAAAGACTTTGGGGATCACATGAGACCCTCCCTTCTTCACCTCATTCATGCATAGCTCATCCAATCAGCTCTCGGCTTCCAATCCACCCCTTCTCTCCACCTCAGCTGGCACTCCTCTGCCCAGGCATCAGCATCTGAACAAGATCACGCAACAGCCCCATTGGTCTTCCTGCTTCTTCACCCATGACACCCCACAACCAGTTCTCCACACAGCAGCCAGAGTAACTTATGTGTAATACATTTTTATTGTGGTATGCTAGATATAACATAAAATTTACTACTTTACCTATTTTTAAGTGTACAATTCAGTAAGTACCTCCCCATTGTTACGCAACCACTACAGGCAATTTCCAGAACTTTTGCATTACTCCACACTAAAGCTTTATAATCATTAAGTAGTAACTCCCCTACTCCATTTCTCTCCTCAGCCCCTTTTAACCTCTGATATACTTTTTGTGTCTCTGAATGTGACTACACTATGCACCTCATTTAAGTGAAATCATACAGTATTCTTTTTGTGTCTATTTCACTTAGCATCATGTTTTCAAGGTTCATTCATGTCAACCTATATCAGAGTTACATTCCTTTTTATAGCTGAATAATATTCCATTGTATGGATATACCAATTCTGTTTACTCATTCACCCGTTGATGGGCATTTGGGTTGTTCCTGCATTTTGGAATAGAAAATAGAAATTTCATCGTGTCCCTCTCCTTATTAAAATCCTCCATAGACTTCCTATCTTGAACTTACCATAAGTCTAAAACCCTTACTCTGGACTATATGACCCTATCTTAGATGGCACTGCCCATGTGAGAACCACCCTGACCAGCCTCCAGCCACACTGGATTTCTGTCTATTCCTTGAACAAGTCAAGCCTGTTCCTGAATCAGGGTCTTTGTACTTGAAGCTCCTGCCACCAAGACCCCTCTTCCCTCTGCTGTTCCTTCCTGTGGCTTGCTCATTGATGCATTCAGATTTCACTCAAATGTCACTTACTCTTCAAGTCCTTCTCTGACTGGAGCAGACTTCCAGCCTTTCCTACTACATCATGATGTTTTATTGTTATTACACACCCTGACTACCTGAGGTCTTCTTGTATGTTTATATGCCTCCCCAAATGGAGTGTCAGCTCTGTAAAAGCAGGAACTTTGCCTTGCTCACACCATCCCCTGTGCCAAGTACCGTGCCTGGTTCATATTCAAAGTCCATACCTGTTTGAAGCAGCTTTCATTCCTCTGCTGGTGTTTTATCTCATGATGAGTACTCCTTTCTTTGGACATTCTTTTAATTGGCCTTCCTTCTCACCATCTGAAGGTGCTACAGTGGGTCTGTGTACCTCCCAAAGTATACACCTGGAATGATGTGACATTCAGGTCTGAGGAGACTGTGTCTTTCCCAGACCAGTGCTTTTCAATCCTGAGAGTGCATCAGAATCACCTGAAGGGCTTGTTAAACTACAACTTGCTGGGCCCACAGCTGGGTTTGCTTTTCTAATGGGTTTCCAGGTGATGTTGATGCTGCAGGTCCGGGGACCACACTTGGAAACCACTGTGAGACTCTTCCTTCTACCATATCTGTAATGGTGTCCACTGATATCTCATCGACCCCAAAACTGTAGCCATTGGCCAGCCCAGATGGTTCCTCAGTGACTCATCCAATCCATGAGGTCACCTGAATCCTCACAATAACCTGATCTGGAGCCTGTCTCCTCTGTCTTCAGTCTCCTGAATCTATGGCACTGACACCAGCAGCTGCCCTTCCTTCTGGAACTCCCCTCCCAGGTGGTTCTGCACTATCCTCATTCCCCTGCTAAGTCTCTTGCTGCTCTTATGTATCGACTGGAGGCTCCTCTTCTTCTTTCTACCCCTTAAACATAGGTTTCCCCTCAAAGGAAAATCTGAGTTTCTTCTTTTAGAGAATAAATTCATTCTCCTGAATGTGTTTAACACTTTTATGAAGATGAATTCCAAATATCCATCCACAGCCCTGACCTTTCTCTGGAGCTCCAGATCCACTGTCCTCATAAAATCCAGTGTACAGCACCTGGGCATTGTCATCAGGCAGACTCAAGTTCAAATCTCACCAACCTCAGTGTCCTCAACTATAAAATGAAATTAATATCTTCTTCATCAGATGGCTGTGAGGGCTAAAAGAGATAGTATATCAAAAGCACATAGTGGCCAGGCACGGTAGCTCACACCTGTAATCCCAGCACTTTGGGAGGCCAAGGCAGGTAGATCACCTGAGGTCAGGAGTTTGAGAAGAGCCTGACCAACATGGTGAAATCCCATCTCTACTAAAAATACAAAAATCAGCCAGGTGTGGTGGCACATGCCTGTAATCCGAGCTACTGGGGAGGCTGAGGCAGGAGAATCACTTGAACCCGGGAGGTGGAAGTTGCAGTGGGCCGAAATCGTGCCATTGCACTCTAGCCTGGGTGACAGAGCGAGACTCCATCCAAGAAAAAAAAAGCACATTGTACACTACAGGAGCTTCACAGATGGTAGGTATCACTATAATTTAATTTATTCAGTTGACGTATTCAATATTTAAGTCTGTTAATTCCTCAGTCCCCACCTAGCACACGCCTTGGCACATGGTGGACAGGTGATAAACATTTGCTAAATGAATAAGTAAAATTCAGCTTAGCCCTAAATGAACATATCACTTGTTTGTTCCCACCCTGCTTTCCTGCTACATTTTTCTATTTTCTTGTCACTGCCACTCTATTCTTCCAGCTAGCCAGTTTCATGAATTTGTAGTCATTTTGACTCCATCATTATCTTTATACCCTAAATGCAAAACTATGTAGAGATAATAGTCATGATGCTCCCCACCTACAGCCTTTTCTGAGGCCCTGCCTAACAGTACCTGGCTTTTTCCATAATGTGACCCAGATTCTGGCCCCACCGCATCGTCACCACCACCATCAGACCATAGCAGATGGGACTAGGAGATGGCACCTGAGCCAAGACCTGGTGGCTGTTCCCATAATGTAACAGGTGCGAACACTGAGTCAATCAGATCCCCTCTGGTGGAAGTATGAAGAGGCGCATATTGAGCAGCTGAGTCACTTAGCAGTGGGTGGGCTGTGGGGTCATGGTTGATATGGAAAAGCTGGAATTATTGAGAGAGAGAAAAAAGTAAGTGATCATCGAAAGGCAATGGAAGAGAGAAGAGAGTGGAATAGCTATGGAGGGAGAAGGACTGATTCTAGGAACTGGAGAGAGAGAGAGAGATCAACCTTGCAGTCCAAGAGAGGAAAAAGACAGAGAAAGAGGACCTGGCCCCACAGATCTTCCTGGGTTTCTCAATGACTTTGAGGTTCGTTTCTAATTCCCACCCCACGCATCTTTTAAACAGCTACCCACCCATCACCTTTTACTCTACTCTATGACGCGCTGTCAGATAGCTTGACCAGTGCCCAAATTGTGTTGATGCTTCCTTCTCCCTCCTTTCCCCCATCTCTTCCATTCCATCCTCACTGCCATCATGAAGCCGGGAATCTCTAGTTCTTCCAACTAGTCCCACTGGAGGCTTCTGACCTCAGCTGGCCAATGCTGTCTGGCTCCAGTGCTTGTCTTCCAGCGTCTGTCCTTATGGTGCTACTTCCTCATCCTGAAGCTTGTGGTGGCTTCCCGGTGCTTCTTAAAATCCAAGCTCAACAGGGGTTCAAGGCCTTACATCTTTTAGTTCTCAGGCGAACCTATGATACTATCTCCCAACACGAAAGCCTCACACCAGCCAGTCAACACCCCTCCCCATGATGCTGTACCCCCACCACTTCCACATCTTCCCCTTCGCATCCTAAAATACCTTTGTTTTTCTTCCTTTATTTTCCTTCCTTTATTTCTTCTCCTGTGCTTCTCTGTTTCTATCTCCTTCTCTCTTTCCTCTTCTTACTTAAATTCAACTTCATCTTTCAAGGTTTAAGTCCAGTATTATCTAACTACCCCTGGACCACTTACTTGTATGTCAGGGATATTGATCTTGCTCACCTCCCCAGCTCCAAGCTCCCTGAGGGCAGAGACTATACTGTACCACTTCCATATGTCCCATGCCACCTAGAATGTTATATGTGCTTAGAGAAGATAATGTTGAAAATATCTTGTTCAATTGATTTCAGTTATAAGATTAACAAATGTGTATATAGATGGATACTTATTTGAAATAAGTAATGTCAGATGTCAAACAAACCACTGTATGTGAGGTGGGGAGTATTTTTTGGCATCCCACAAAGCATCCTAGGAGTTTTGTTTTCTGCTATTCTTCTGCACAGCAACATTTCTGGCTACTGTTATCCTGCATATTCTTCAATAGAATGTAACTTCAGAACTCATTTTTTAAAGAACTCTTTAGATTATAGAACGACATCACCTTCTAGTCATACAAATTCAATTAAAATTCCAAAAGCATTTATTAAGCACACTGCAGGAAATTAAAAAAATGATTAATAAGACCTAACCTCTTCCTTCAAGATGCTCACAATCTGGTTAGCAATAGGACAAATGCACTAATGACTGCAGTCAAGGCAGGATAAGACACGTGCCATAAGAAAGGTCAAAGTGCCATGGTGGGTCAGAGGAAGATGCTCTAGAAGGTAGGGAAGGACCTGCAGTAAAGCTGGAGGACAAGGCATTTGAAATGGGCAAATACTTGGAGGGACAAGTAACATGGGGTGTGTTGGGAGAATCTTGAATGGCTGGCTTAGTACTCAGTGCCTGACTGCCAGAACTCTGCCTTTTGTGAAAAGGGAAAACCTCCATGGCCAAGGAGTTTTGTCAGTGCTCAGCCACCAAGCATTTGCTGACGTGGACTTGGGTGTGACAGATCGGGGGAAAGTGTTTTGTCAAACTCCCTTTGTATGCAATAAATGTTCCACCTTCTCTTCACAAAGGCAAAAAAGCAGAATTTTTTTTATTCAACGAAGGTTTGAATGTGATTATTACATTAATAAATGTTATTACATATTCATTAAATACTGATATAAATAATGAATGAAATCGTGTATTTTTTTATCACATGTTGAAAATATTGCTTTCTTTACTCTTCCCCCATGTCTGAAAGGGACAGAAATGAGGTTATTTTCTTGTTACCCACCAATTAATTTCCCCTTTAAGAAGTGGAGATATGTATCTAACCCAGACAGGCAGAGAGACTAAATGAGCTCTGTATGGCCATCACATTATCTTTTGATGTAAGAGCTGGAAGAGATCTCAGCCGGTGGTTGCAGAAGCCGTCTCACACCAGCCCCCGGAGAGTGGATTGTGTGCCTTTCTTCTCGACTCCAGGTTCATTAACTTCAGGGTGACAGGTTGAAATCAGCCATGGTAGGAGTATTTACACCAAGGAAATTGGCAAAAGCTACAAATAAGGGCTTTTTCCCCCTGTAGAGCTATTCAAATATTGACCGGCTCATCATGTACAAAAGAGGAAACTGAAGCCCAAGCGGTGAAGTGACTTGTCCAAGGTGAAGGTCATGTAACCATTTGATCATGGAACAGGCAGGATTCAGGTCACCTAATGCCTATGCATTATTACTCTTTTCACTGGGAAGCTGCAGTACTGATTAGGATTTGAGGGTGCCTCTAAATAGATAAGTATGTAGACAACGACACAGATTATTATACAAAAGAAACAGATGCCATGGTCTTCAAGTTAATAGCTTGCCAGGGCTAAAAGAGGAACATCCAAACTTCTCTCCACAGATGGCTCTTTTGTACCCCGCCCCCCAAACTCCTACCCCTTGAGGGGAGGGGTTCCTGAGAGTGGGAAAGCAGGAGAGGAGGAGACTTCAATTTCTTCCAGCTTCACATTGGAGGAAGTGACGGAAGGCATCTCAGCCAAGCGCCTTGGTGCGTTGGACTCCTCTTTGCTCTGTAATTAGTGTCTATTTGCCTCCTTAACTTAAACTGGTTTTTAGCAATTTAGAGCCAGGGAGCCCATGTTATTTCAGTGAAGTGATAAAAAAAAAAATGGATATGTAATTGAAATCCCGTTCTACTCCTCTGGGAACCTGGTATGTTGCTTCACTCAGCTGAATGATAAAGATTCGGGGCCCTGATCACAGGCAGATAAGTAGGCTGGTTGATTAGGATGAATCCCACAGGTAATCCCTAATCTACTAGTCTGTTTGTTAACTATCAGTCTTTTTAGGATATTTGGTTTGCATAATATGATAATATAATAATGCACAAGCTCTTTAAAGGTGAAAATGAACCCAAATTGAAGACAAAACAGCCACAGCTGACATCTGCCCTCCCCAGTGCAACAGATCAATTATCAATTAGGCACAAATTTTTATTGAGTATCTATTGTTTGCACAGCACTAGGTGAGGGATAGAAGAGGTGTCAAATGTTCAGACCTTGGCCGTAAGGACCTAGCAAAGGCAATAAGGCATGCCCACAGGAAATTAATATTGCTGTAAGGAAGTGAATGCTTTGCTACTAAATGTGTGAATCAGACCAAAAGAGCTGCTGTAACGGGAATTTGGATCTTGGCTAAATAGAGCCATGCAGCTCTGCCGAACTCCAGAAGTCTCTCAAACTCCCCCTTGTAAAAAGCGCTGAAGTGTTGGGCCCAATGTCACCTTCTGCAATTAAATGGTATCTCTTTATAGCAATGCCGGCACTCAGCGTGCCCTGCTCCAGCTGGTACCAGAAATGTCTAGAACCCAGCCTGGCTCCTCCCTGCCTTTTGGGATAGGGCCTGTGGAAGTGGACTTGAGTGGGTGATTTTTCTGTTTTCTCTGTTTCTACTGTACTTCAATAAATGTACCAAGAATAGCCACCACTTCCTGACTGTGGGGTGCCAGACACTGTGCTAGGTGCCTCACACACGGTGTCCCAATGTAATCCTCCTCCATATGCATAAGCATCTTCAATAAAGAAACTCAGGCTTGGAGAGGTAGGGGGACTTGTCCAGGGTCACCTCACTGACATTCTGACTCCAAAGTGCATGCTTTCCCCGTTAACCCTGTCAAGGTAACTCAGTAATTCCCCAACCTAGTCACATATCATAATATAGAGATGCCTGGGTTCCACCCTACAGATTCTGATCCTCAAGATCTGGGGCAGAGGCCAAGTGCCTGAATTTCTAACAAACTTCCCAGGCTATTACTGCACACCAGTGCTTGAGAATAGGTGCTATTACCTATTTACATGCTGCTTCCTGTTTCCTCCCTCCCCCAGCTGGAGAGTACCTCATGGGCAGGGATTGTGTCTGAGTCACCTCTTTGCCACCGATAATCAATGTGGTACTGGGCACAGTTTAAGTGCTCAATGCATTTGTCTTGAAAATGCTGAGTAGCATTGCACAGTTTCACTCTCCTTGCTGGCATTCTACAGGTAGAATATCAGGTTAACACACCTGCTACCAGTTCCCCAAGACTCAGCTCACGTAATGCCTTGGGGGTCTAGTTTGCAATATGAGCAACATGCCTGCAGCTGCAATGCACTCCCAATTACCCACTCGGGGATCCCTATCTGCTGGGTCCCCTGCCACCACCCCTCGCTCTGTCTGGTGTTGCCTGTTCAGGGAAAGCTGGCTGGATGTCACTTAACATAGTCAAACATAATCAGGAGAATGGAGCTCACAGACAGATTCAGCAGGACATTCTACAACAGCACAGCACTAACCACTGGACAATTCTTGGTGTGAGGTTGAACTCTCTCTTTCCTCCCCAGTCTGTATGGAATTGCCCTGTGAGCTATGTGGAGGCACAAAATGTTTGATGGATAACAACCCAAAAGATTGTTTCCTAAGGCATGTTCCTGGTAGTGTCAATATCCACAGGATGTTAATAAAGGATTCTGCAAAATTTGGACCAAACCAGGTTAAACAAAAACAGTTCTCCCTATTATAGGATTTTCAAGAGATGCAATATGCTAATCTGCACTCTGATTATCTATATATATTATGCAGCATTTCTCAAACTTTTCCTTGAATTCTTTTTTCCCCTGGAATTTGTTTTTCCTTACATTTTTTCACTGATGTTCCAAGGAATATGCTTTACAAAATCATGATTGGGTACAATTTTCCTTGCTCCAACCCCCAATGCCTATTTTGCAGATGAAGAAACTGAGAGTCAAGAAAGGAAAAAGCACTTGCCAAGACCTCATAGCTGGTTAGTGCTGGATGTAGGCACGGAACTAGGGGATGCTGAGATCACTTCTGCTCCCAGGATCTCACCTCAGGTTACCCTATGCCTGCAACGTGCTTCATTTAGCCAAGACCAGTGTCAGACTTTCAGCTTCTGGGACACATTCTCTCTTCTCCAGTGTCCAGCCTTTCACTACGCCCAAAGATGAGACACCATGAGTATCCACAGAGCACTCGGTCCTTCCTGAGGTCTACAGCTTGCTGAGCTGTCAACATTGCACTAATTCTAGCACACCCTTCTCCCTCTCTCCTTTCTTGCCCTCTCCTTCCCTTCTTTGCCTTATCTCTTTCCTTTTCTCTTCTCTCATCCTCCCAAGCTTACTACAGTTCCTGAGCCTCTCACAGCCCAGGGAGGAGCAGCACACAGGAGTCCTGGATTTCAAGGAACTGGAGGCTTTGAGAGGAGAAGAAATGTGTCTGAATCATTTAGCTAGCAAAATGACAGACCCGGGACTTGAATCCAGGGCTTCAGTCTTATTCTGCATCTTTGACTACACATCTCTGGTGCCAGAAAGCTCTATCTCTGCTCACTATGTGGTAAGTGAACACTGTGCCTGGCCAGGCCCCTTAATAGGCTGAGAAGCTCTTTGCCACCCAGCTCGAGCAGGGCTCGCTAACCTCACCCTCCAGGGATGGGGAAGCAGAGTGAGTGATACATTCCCCCTGGTGTGACTACATGTCTAATTCCTTCTCAGGGCCTTCTTAAGCCCTTGGCCTCAATTATGTTCCATGACCAGCAAGTGACACAAATTAATTATCTGCTTGGAAAAGAAGGGCTTTCTTTTATCTGTTTGAAAGTGGTCACCTTCTCATTTCAAGGATTGGCCTCATAAATTCCAAGGAAGGACAAAGAAGATGGCTACCAGCAGGAGGGAGACAGCAGAAGAAAGGAAAGAGATAAGGCAAAGTGAAGAGGGAGAGGGCAAGAGAGGAGAGAGGGAGTACAATGTGCAAGAGTTAGTGCAATGTTAAAGGCACTAGCATAGACAACCTTAGACACTGGCAGGGCAAAAAGGAGGGGTGCTTCAAACTATTAAGGGAGAATAGATGTCAAGAAAGGGCTTTCATATTTAAGCTGAGTATTAAATGGTTCAGAAAATATAGGCTTCATGAGGACAGGAACCATCTTTATTTGGTTCACCATTGTGTCACCTGTGTCCATCATAGTGGTTCGCATATAGTAGGTGCTCAATAAACATCCATCTATTCAATGAATTAATTAATCAGTAGACACTGGCCAAGCAAATGAAGCAGGAAAAGCCATTGAAGGAAGATGGCAGCATGATTAAAGATGATTAGAATGACCAGCAGTTCTCCACCACTGGCACATGGCATATGTGTTGAGGGATGGAGGGATGGTCAGGAACTGATCTGACTGGTCTGTGCTGCGTGTTCTTGATAATAATGAAATGACAGCAAATTCATTTTACATCTAAAATCCCATTTCATCCTCACAGTCACTCTGTGAAGGGTACAAGAAGGCTCAGAAGGCTTACAAGTTCCCAGAGCAGGAACCAGTACTTGATTATTAACCTAGATCCTGTGATCTTTCTCTAGTATCTGCTTGGGGATGACCCCTAGCCCTCAGTACCTTTCCTCCTCTGAGCATCCTCCAGGCTGGGTTCAGAGCACAGACATGTGTTTTCATAACAATAAGTGGCAAATTTTCTTTAAAAATATTATCTGATTCATTCCACAGGCAAATAGGTGATCATGTTTTCATCATACATTCTTTCCAACTCCCTGTGCCTCTGCAGCTACCCTCATTCAACTAAGGTGGGGGTTATCTAAGGGTGGCTACAGAGAAGTGGGTGAGGGCTTTATGCTGTTTCTCTTGTTCCAGGCTAAAGGGAAAGAGAGAGAAATGCTTAAGATAAGCTTATAGACAGACATGGGCTCCAAGAGCTGGGCACACACCAAAGCACATTCTACCAGGAAGTATTTTAAGGACAGGGTGCAAAGGCATTAAGGGCCAATCCCTGGCCAACAGATACCTGCACCCAAGTGATGCAGGAGGCCAGGCAGGGCCAGGAGAGCGAATGGTGTGGGAATAAATTGTTCTTCATGCATGCTTCCTGCTAAGGCCATGGGACGTGGTGATACAAAGGTGATTTAAAGCCAGACAAACCTACTTTTAAATCCTGGATCCGCCATGGGCTAGTTAGATGAACTCAGCTGTTATATCAAATGCATGTAAAGGTTAATAAGGGTCACATACAGAATCTCATGTGAACCCCATAGTACTGGTTGATAGTATGGGGGTAAGTGTTTGTTATAAACCCCATTTTTAGATGAGCAAACTAAGGATCAGAGAGTAATTTGGCCAAAGTTACCCTGAAAGCAATAGATCTAAGACCTCTATGCTCAAAATCCCATGACCTGTCACTATGCTACACTGAGCCAGAGAGGCCAAAGCCCCTGAGCAGCAGCCATGAAGAATCTTAGCAAGAACCAGAAATCCAAAAGCCAGGGTACAGGTTTTAGATCCTCAAAGTCTTGTGCTAAGGGGCCTAAGGAAGGGAAAACTGAGCCTCATTAACATAGAGGTGGGGACCCCAGGACTTCTGGGATGCCTTCCCAGCTTCCTGGGTCCCCTGCCCACTGCCCTTCTCTCCCAAGCTGCTGCCTAATTACAGAGCTGTAAATGCAAATTATTCTAATAACTGGTGCTAATTTATACACATTTACATATAATTTGCAATTCATTTGCTGTCCACTTGTAGTCAAACTTCACTAATCCAGACCAAAGTGGGGAAGCCTACTCTGAAATGAAGAGTCTAGGTTATAGAATAATTCAATAGCTTATCACAGTTGAGTTTTATCTTAAGCAGGAAAGCCTGCTTTAAAATCAAACATGCAAGGTAAAAATAGGTATTGCCAAAATTCTCCTTGAAAATCTACAAGAGCTGGGTTCTCAGAAGCTCAAAAGCCAAAAAATTAATTCCTTTTATTTCTCTTTGATTTTGAGCTGTGGAAGAGAGGACAATAGGTAAATAAAAGGCTCTCTCCCTCTTTCTCTGTCTGACTTTCTATGATGAAATTCAGGAAGTTGAAGTTCATTTATGTGATGCGACTCCACTGACTCAGTTTGAACTAGTAAAATCTTCCTAGTGCAAAATTTTCCATCCTTCAAAAAATGTAGATTGGAATTAGTTAACTGAAGTATGAGAAACCATACAGTAAATTGGGCTTAGATATCTGTGGGTCGCGTAATCAATGAACACAATTCAGGGAGTGCAAATGTGACAACTGGGTTTGTGAGGTGTACACTGGATGGTGGCGTTGAAGAAAGAGGTATTATGTTTAAAAAATAACAAATACACACACACATGTGTATATTGTCTAGAAGTGAATCCTGAGTAGGGATTCTTGCCCAAGTGATTTATTGAGGAAGATTGATTGGAGGATGTACTCTTAGGAGTGAGGGGGAAGGAGAAGGCAGGAGAGATGGGGAGCTAAGTGAAAATGTGTCTCAGCTAAAAGTAGCTTTAGACTTGCTTCTGATGCCATGGGCAAGCTCTAACCAAGAGCTCTAAATCCCCCTACCCCAGAGTTAGCCCCACCTTGGGGACCTTTGACCCACATGTGACAGTCAATCATTGTCTGAGATAAACTCCCAGGGACTGTGGTCGCCCAAGCCAGCTGGCCAATATCTGCAGGGGCTAAAGAGCATCTGGGTTGGGCACCAATAGTGTCTACTGCAGTTCACCCTTTGCACAGCTCCAATCCACTTTCTTCTTTCACTAAGTTCACTCCACCCAGATACAGCAACCTCAGAATTCTGAAAGATCACAATTTCCTTGGAGACATATTAGGTTGGTGCAAAAGGAAGGTTAATAGATTGAACCACAGCCCTGCTGCATGTGCCCAAGGCCATGACTGCTGTTCATGATCTTCTACTTCCACCCACTCTAGATTCCCCTCACATTTAGCTAGCGCTTCTGCTGGTCTAAGGGTCTTGCCTAGCGGGTTGACCTAGCTTGCGCTGTCCATGTAAGGAGCCTTCCAGTGTCACCTGATAAAGGGATTGAGGCAGAATTTCTAAGACTGGAATATGCTGCCTCCAAAACACAAAGAAGCCAAATAACTGTTATGCTTATTTCTTAATGATAGGAGGTACACGGAGTAATAACTTGTCCTGGGGAGGGGCTATCCCTAGGCTATTAGCTCCTTAAAAACTTCAATGATATGGCAGTACCCTAAGTCCCTGGGGTTTATCACCAACCCTCTAGATAGCATGTATCTATCTTACAATGGCATCCAGTGTATTTATCGCTTCTTCTCATTGGTCCAATTAACATGATAGCATCAATAAAGTGGACCATTCTGATATTTTGCATGGTGTCCAGAGAGTCCGGGATACTTGGGACTATGTTATGAACAGAGAATTATCATTCTCCCTGAGACAAGATGATGAATTTATATTGTTATCTTTTCCATATGAATACTAACTGTATTTGATCTTTCTTGCTGATGGATTAAAAAAAAAGAACACATTCACCAGATCAATAGCTACATACCATTTACCCAAGGCCATGTTAACCTGCTCTAGTAAATATATGACTGGCATGACAGCTACAATTGGGACTACTATTCGGTCAACTTTGCAATCATCCACTGTCATCTGCCATAATCTATCTGGGTTTTGCAGGGGCCAGACTGGTGAATTATATGGGATAGGAACAGCCTGTCCCATACAATGACAGGAACCACCTCCTCAGTATCTTTTAAACCAGTTAGGGTGGCACTAATCTTTGCCATCCTCCCTGGAATGTGATATTGTTTTTGATTTACTATCCTGGTAAAGAGAGGAAACTTTCAGGATATTCTACTGGCCTTTCCTATTCAATAGTTCTTATTCTATAGGTCAAAGAACTAATGGAAAGTTGTATCTCTTGCTAAACATGTCCAATCCAATTATATTTCAGGAACCAGAGAAATGACCACCAGGTGGACCATTTTGAGACATGCCAGGGCCAGAACTCCATCTATCACCAGGCCCTCTCTGGCCTCTCTAACAGGAGTGTCATCATTGTGCTTGTGTCCCCCAGTATCAGCATCAACTCAGAACTTGTTTCCAACAGACCTCAAAAGGCTCTGGGTATTTCCTCTTTCCAGTGCCTGGTTATGCCAGTAAACAACTATAGGTCCTTTGGGGACCTATAGAACTGGGGGAATCACTACTGTGCCCACTTACTGTGGCACTGCAGGGTCTCTCTTTGTGGAAATTTGGCCTCCCCTTTAGTCAATGGCCAATGAGCTCTGGGTTTGAGAACTGGCTCAGCTCTGGAAACCAGCAAGACATCTTGACTTTCTTTAGAAAGGTTGAAGGTGGTCTTACGTTCATTCATTATTGATCTCTTATGAATTTACACACACACACACACACACACACACACACACACACACAAATAACTTTGCTAGCTGCCCATCTATTTTACCTCTAGGAACACCATGATTTACATACTATTTCCAGAAATCTCTGTAGTCTGGGCTCTTCTAGCCACTGTTGCAACCTTGCTGCCCTTACAGTAATTACATCCACCACGCTTCTGACACTTAGGTGCTACCACCTGGCCTCTGCTGTGCTGGGATTTTTACCATTTCTACTAGGGAGCCCAGTTCTGAAATACGATCTCTTCAGTCCTACCCAAACCTCTCTGCTGACGCTGGTGTCCCTCACTCACACATTCCTAATCACCCTAGTAAACCGAGTGATCTCCAGGCCTTCCTGAGAAACCGTTTGAGGGTGGATTTCCTCGTATTAGATAACAGGCCCACTCTAGCATGCCCACTTCTCTGAGCCTTTTGGTCTCTTTCTGCCCAGTTGGCCATGGCAGTTCCGGCAACTCTGTTTTGTTTAATGTGGGCCACTGTTTTCTCCAAGCTTCCAAGCACCATCTCAGCAGTGCATTAGAAGCATAACCTGGGGCCCTCACCAGGATGTTCTATCCTGTGTCATGGGAGAGTACCCTGCACTGAAAACTCTCCCTATCCAGCTTTATATTCTGGCCCCTCCCCAATCTAGGCCCTTTGGATCCACCCCTTGTTCCTGGCCCCACTGTATTGTAGCCAGTTCCTGCAGCTTTGGAGAGAATCCTCTAATCCCTCAGCAGGCCCAGCCCTTTCCCAGTCTGGCTATGCTGAGATTTGACCCCAATTTGTGATCTGGTGGCCAGAAGGGGAGATGGGGGCAAATCCAGAGGGTAGCAAGTACTGGCCTGTTAGAAGGCCTCATGTAAGGTCTCTGCATCATTTTCAAGCAAGCAGGAGCTTCTATTTTAACAGGGGCAGTGGGCCATTTATGCAGGCCCAAGAGGTCCAGGGGACTCTGAAGATTTAGTTCTCAAGCACAGCTATCCAGATATTCCCATCCCAAGTGTCAGTGTCCCACTGTCACAGCCCCACTGTCAGCATAAGTGACTCACCTAGGCTGAGAATTCAGTCTTCTTTGAAGTTCTGACACTTCTACAGTTACACACTGAGCCTGGTTTCTAGCTCTGCCTGTCCCTGGCTGTAGGAATGGAAGGTTTTTTTAAACGCCTAGCACTTTGCTTTAAATTGTTAATTAGTAGATTTGAGCCTGCCATTTTCTCTCTTCAACAAATCAGTGGTGTTTAGCAAAACCCACCCAGTTCCACAGTCTGTATAGTGACGTCTCCCTAAGCTCCTATTATGGACTGAATTGTACCCTACTACCCTAATCCATATGTTGAAACCCTGACCTCCAATGTGACTGTATTTAGAGATAATCACCTCTCTAAAGGCCCTAAGTTTAAATGAAGTCATAAGGGTTGGGCGCTAATCCAATATGACTGGTGTGCTTACAAGAAGAGGGAGAGACACCAGGGATGTATGCACAGAGGAAAGGTCATCTGGAGACACGGTGAGAAGATGACCGTCTGCAAGTCAAGGAGAAAGCCTCAGGAGAAACCAAACCTGCCGATACCTTGTTTTCAAACTTCCATCCTCCAGAACTATGGGAAAACACATTTCTGTTGTTTAAGCCACCTAGTCTGTGATATTATGGCAGCCCTAGCAGACATCTTCCCAATTCCCAAGACACTGGGCCAGCTGGTACAGCCCCTTTCCAGTTCACCTAGGTAAAGATGTTAGCAATCCCACTGCTACAGCCTGCCAGGGACTATCAGCACTTCGCCTGCTTCATTGCAACCCAGTTCTAGAAACCCATACTTTGTGTCATTCTTTTTTTCTTTTTCTTTTTCTTTTTTTGTTTGTTTGTTTGTTTGTTTTTTAGGACCATGCTCAATACCAGATGTCTCAGGTCAGGCTCCTCAAAAAACAGAGCCTGATACGAGGACCCTTGTTAAAGCTTTTTATTAGGGTGGTAAATTCAGAAGAAGGGGATTGAGGGAAATTGTATGAGTCTGTTCTCACGTTGCTAATAAAGACATACCTGATACTGGGTAATTTATAAAGAAAAAGAGGTTTAATGGACTCACAGTTCGCATGGCTGGGGAGGTCTCACAATCTTGGCAGAAGGTGAGGAGAAGCAAAACCACGTCTCACACAGCAGCAGGCAAGGAGAGAATGAGAGCCAAGTGAAAGGAGTTTCCCCTTATAAAACCATCAGATCTCGTGAGACTTATTCACTACTACGAGAACAGTATGGGGGAAAACCACCCCGATGATTCAGTTATCTCCCACAGGGTCCCTTCCACAACACGTGGGAATTATGGGAGCTACAGTTCAAGGTGAGATTTGGGTGGGGACACAGCCAAACCATATTAGAAGCAAAACAGCACTAAAAGAAAAGCTAATGAGGAATGTGCCCTTGGCTGACAACTAGCTTCAATCTGATCTCATGGGCAGGTAGCGCTGCAGTGTGAATTCCTCAGAGCTTGTCTCACCTTGAAGCAAGAGAACTGTCCTTTTACCCCATGCCAGTCAGTCATCAGCTGAGGTCTGCCACTGGGGAAGGAGAGGTGAGAGCACAGTCTCCATGGGGAAGCAGCTTACATTTGGCCAAGGATGGCACTCCAGAAAAGGGTGCACCTGTGAATTGTTATGCACCAACAGTTACAGCAGCTGGGACATGGGGTCATCAGCCAGTAAAGGGAGTTTTGGTGGAGCACCTACAGCTTCTACTACAGATAGGTGTATGATGGATGGAGGGAGGAAGGGATGGATTGATGGATAGATGGATGTATGGGTAGACAGACAGATGATAGGTAGATAGATGACAATAGATAGGTGCATAGATAGGTAGATCACATTTTGTAGGAATTAATAGGGCATGAGAAGTCTGCAAACATCAAATCCATCTATCTCCGCTAAATTGAAAGACATAAATGGCCTCATTGCATTACGCACCTCCTAAAATACCTTTTTGGGCACCTAACATATGACTGCACACTGATGAGGAGGATTAGGAAGAATATACGACAATGCCAAGGAGGATTACTGCTACAGGTCAGGGTCCTCAGGGAGCAGACCCTGAGTTGGAGATTAGTGTGAAGGAAGAAAGCTAGAATGGGCAGAGGGAGAAGTTGGGCTGAGATGTAGTCTCATTAACAGCCTCAGCTGATGCCACCACAAGTCAGAATGGCATTTCAAAGTTGTGCCAAGCTGAAATGAGTGGTCCAGGCTTTCATGTCTTTGCATAGGCCAATCACTGGATGCAACCTGCCCCAGGAAAGAGGGATGACCTCGGACAAGATGGCCCTTCAATGAGGACAACTCCTGAAGAGGGCTGACAGGTGAGGGCTGTCTACCGACAACCCTTGCAGCAGCTGGCAAAATAAACACTTCTGTCCTTCAGAATGTTCTAGGCTGCACAGCACAGTGTCCAGTATAATCACCTGACTTCGTCTAAGGGGGAGGGAAGGCTCCTGTGAGGAGCTGGCAGCCAGCGGGGTCTGAAGGATGAGTGGGAGTTACGAGGTGCAAGGCGCCACCCTGCTTCCTCTTCAGCACAAGATTAGAAAGTTCTCAATTAGGCTGTTTTACGCTGAAGACTTTTTGGAAAAGAAGCAATTAGGCACCATTAACTAGGATACCTGTTCTCTCTCTTTTGTTTTCCCTTTTAAAAACAAGCTGGAAAATATGCCTTCGTTAACCCGCTTTTCATTTGGAAGCCAGCAGCAGAGCTTCTGAGTGTGTCAGCCTGCTTGAAGATGAAATGGAAAAGAGCTTGTCAAACATCTCCCTACAAGGGCAGGAAAGGGAAGTCGGTAGGGGAAAGGTTGGGTAGGAGGATTGCTCAGACTCAAGAAACTATCTGCAAGGCACTAATTGGGCTGCCAAAATGTGCCGAGGCAAAGAGGAGAAAGGCAGATAAACAGTTTCGTAGCAAGGGGTCAATGGTGAGGCCAGGCAAAGCTGCAGCAGAGCCCCTCCACCCAGCAAGAAGCTGGGATTAAGTGGGTTTCAGAATGCGGCTGGGGCAGCTCACAGGGGCTGTGAGCCCTTGAACTTGCTATTTCAGGCTGAGGTCCAGGTGACCCTCCTCCCCCAATCCCATCCCCACCCCACTCCTCTGCAACATTACTGTGGGGGAAATTGCTGGTGGAAACAAGGGAGGTACATTACTAAGCTTGGTGTTCCAGGAAGGAGCTGAGAAGGGAAGGTCAGGGAGAGCAAGCCATCCAGATGGCAAGGCCAGTGCCACAGAAGAAGGGGAGAGGCAGGAGTGAATGCTACTAGGGTCAGGCAAAGAAGGTCACTCACAGCTTTTGGGCAGAAGAGAAAGCTTGAGGTAAAGTACAAGGTACATGAAGGTAAAGAAAGAAGCCTGTTTTTCCAGCTCATTCTCCTCTCTCTGGTCCCTAATTTCTACTTCTCTGCAGAGAGCAGAGCATTCTTGGCAAGTTAGGTGTGCCGTGCACACCCCTTCTCCACCATTCCCCAACCACATTGCCCCTGCTGTTGCCCTCTGGCCTCTACCTTGAATCCACAGAGGACAGCAGGCAAAGCTGGTCTACTCCACTCATTGCACCATCCTCCTCATCTTCCTTGGTCCCTTTAGTGAGAGCAGTCCCTAGAAGCCAAGCCATAAGAGCAATTCCATGATGGCCTCAACATTTTAGAAGAAAGAAGTTCTGTACGGGGGTCTAGCATCATTCATCTCTTCAATTCTCAAAAAGTATTTAGGTGGCTACTGTGCCAGGCACCATGTTAGAAATAAACAACATACAACTCCTTTGAGTAGGAGAAATAAAGCTGCAAGCCAGTATCTATACCGTAAGTGAAAACATGCTATGCAAATGCAGAAATTAGTCCTGCTTGGGGTTGGGGAAAGAGGAGGGTTTAATAGGAGTTGTGGGCTTTTAAGGGTTAAGTAGATAGACATTAATGAGTCAGAAAAAGAGGTGAGAGAAGAGACTACAGCAGGAACAGTACACTGGTATAGAGGCTTGAAAATTGTTTCATGTATGCATTCAGAAAATGGGGAATCAGAATCTGGGAAAGTCAGAATATGGTCTGTGTGGGGAAATAATGGAAAGTGATCCTGGAAGGCTGGAAATGTGAGCCTAATGGTTTTAGATGTGAAAAATCAAAGACAATTTTTAGGAATTAGTACAGTTAGATTAAGATTTTTGGAAATACCATAATGAAATGGAGAAGGCAAGAGAGGAGGCAGTTAGGAGCGAGGAGGCTGTTGAACTAGTCAGAGCAAGAATCGATGTGGGTCTGGCAGTGAATTCCACCAGTGAATAAATGGTTGTCAAATAAGCACAAAAGGGGGTTTTGAACCACCTTCAAGCTGGTGGGGAGGGAGTGGTTAAAGATGATTGTAGTAATGCTGATGAAATGAGCTATTCACCTTATGCACACAGGAGATGAGGGAAGTGGGGATTTGCAAGCACAAGTGGGAAAGACATGTTATGGTCTGGATTGTGGTCGTATCAAATGACCTCTGCTCTGTGGCCCCTCCCCTCAACTTTTTCAGGAAATAAAAGGCTGGAACCAGTCCCCCTGAGAATGGGATGAGAAGAGAAGTCCTCATAGAAGTCACAGAAATAAGACAGAGCTGACATGTTCACTGTGGTCTCTGCCCACCACCCCAGCCCAATACCTTGACCACACATGATTACTTAATGAGGTGTCAAACATCCTAGTTTGTCCAGGACAGTTCAAGATTGTACTTGATATTCAGGCAATATGATTAATCCAGTTCCTTTCACTCTCAAAACTGGCCCAGTTTGAATGATAAAATGGAAGTTGACCTTACCAATCAACCGCAGCCTTCTTTCCCACTGAGCCCAGGTGCAACCTCAAAATCCTTTTCTACACAGCCTTCTTTCTAGGCAACAGCTATCAATCAATCAGGTATTGAAATCAACTTGCCACCTTTTTGAAAGAAGAAAGAACATAGGTCTAATATTAGCTGGGCAAACACAGGCATGCAATTTGACCTCTCAAGCCTCCATTTCTTCATTTGACAACTGAAAAAATAGCATTGCCTACTCACAGAGCTAGTGTGAGCTTCAGGTGAGGTAGCACATGGAAAAATGCTATACAAATGGCAGTGTTTTTAGAATTACTCAAAGGACAGAAACAGCTGGCATGGTAGCGCCTCAGGGGTCTTGGCACCATCCTCCCCCCTACCCCAGTAGGAGACCATGAGCCTCCTTGTGAAGGAGGCTGTGGTAGCCAGCAGCTCCTTCTGAAGTTTAGGCCTCTCTTCCCCTAATCCTCTCTTCATTTGGAGACAAACAACAAACCCCTCTGGCACCCCCACCCCTCAGATCAACTCCATCAAGAAGCGAGGCTTCTCTTTGTACTACAGCAAACACACGTCTCTTATTGACGTTCCCCTGGGACCCTCTGTGGCAACACATGCGTAGCTTTGAAGTTGCGAGTGTGTTTAATGCGCAAGGGCCCCGTCTCGGTTCAAGGACAGTATTTTAAGTCCCTGAGAAGAGAGGAACAAAGTTTTGATTGCAGAAAGAAACAGATCCTTAACAGACTTGAATGATAAAACATCACAATCTCATCCGATTGTAGCAGCCAGCTCTGAAGAGGGAGTCACGGAAGAAACAATTGATTGGGAAGCCTGACTTTAATCTCAGCCATAAGCCTGTTCCTTGACCTAAGCTACTACCACTTCCCTGACTTGTGACAAGCACAGAACTAAAAACGCAGGGTGCAAGCTGCTCAGGGCAGGACTGCTGGGGAAGCAAACATAACCGCGGCTTGGAAAACTTCAGGACAAAGGCATCGTGTGGGAAAATGGCCTCCTTTGAAAGATTACTGCCTGAAGGAGGTGTCACCTGATCAAATAATAAAATCCTGAAGAGGGTACAGCTCATCACTTGACCTGGATCCATCTACAGAAGAATAGCCATCATTTCACCTTTTCAAATGAGCTTAGTTGTTTCAGAAACAAACCATAAACTTCACTGCAGGTCCAGCGAGAGTCCAGGCTTCAAGAGGGAAGAAAAGAGCCACTCTTCTGGAAGCAACTGAAGGAAAGAAATATGAGACAGATAGCTGTTGAGAATATTGTCTTCTCACGGATTCCATGAGGATCTGGCCCAGAACCTGGGTGGAAAACAGACCAATCATCACCAAACCAGCTTCACCAACAGTGCTGCAGGCAGTGACCTGAGAGATGCCCGGACCAGGAGAGAGGCCACACTGGGAAGCCAAGGTGATCTTAGTGATACCTGGGACTCAGGCACTGCCTATCATTCTGAAGAGCAGGGGTCAGGCCAGCAAGCTGGGCTCATGAGTAAAGGCAGGTGGAGAAGATCATCTAGAGGGGTCATCAGAAAGTTTAGGTCTCAACTTTTCAGTTGGAGAAATATTAATATAATCACCCCATGTTCCCAGGGGTGATCAGTACTAGGGGGATGGTTTGCATTGAGCTAAGAGCATCTTATTCATCTGTGTATCTTCTGGGACAAGCACAATGTATGGCATATACCAGGTCAATGATTTTAACCCTGTCTACTCATTAGAACAGCCTAGGGTGCCTTACTAAAATACCAGTGGCTAGGAGCCACTCTCAGAGCCTCTGAATTAATTGGTCTGGGAATAGGCCCAGGCATGAGAGTTATAACTTCACAGGTGATCTAAAGTAAAGTCAAGGCTATGAACAATTGTACCAGATCATCAATGAATGGCAGCTGAACAATGGAAGAACTAATGTGGTATGGTTTCGCTGAGTCCCCACCCAAATTTCACCTTGAATTGTAATAGTCCCCACATGTCAAGGGCAGGGCCAGGTGGAGATAATTGAATTATGGGGCAGCTCCCCCATACGGTTTTCATGGTAGTGAATAAGTCTCACGAGATCTGATGGTTTTATAAATGGGAATTCCCCTGCACATGCTCTCTTGCCTGCTGCCATGTAAGACATGATTTTTCTCCTCATTTGTCTTCCACCATGATTGTGAAGCCTCCCCAGCCATATGTAACTGTGAGTCAATTAAACCTCTTTCCTTAATAAATGACCCAGACTCAGCCAGCCTGCCGCTATACTTTATTTCTAATTCAGAGAGTTCATTCTCAGATCTATCCAGGGTGTCCTTCGAATGGCTCCCCAAATCCAACCAAAGCCTCTTCTTACGAAGTCATCGACATCTGTCTCTCAGGCCAGGCTTCTTCAAAACAAAAGGCGCTTCTCCCTCGCCAGTGCTCAGGCTCAGCAAAGGCTCAGGCAGGTAGGTCTTTACTAGCAGAGTGAAAACAGACTAATACACAATGAATGAATGGAAGCATTGGAGGTGAATGACAGCACACTCATTCACAATGGCAGCATCCCTAATAGGACTGCTGGCACTAGCCATTGGCATGGGCTGGTGAGAAAGTCTGCTTAGGAGGCCAGATTATCCATCAGAAGGCTCCCTGTTTAGCCCAACATAAGCAAAGGGACATTGGCTATTCCTGAAAGAATCTTCACAACAAACCACTATAGTTGCTTCATATCCCCTCATTCCTGCTAAATTCTCTGTAGCATGCTATTATGTATATCTCTTCATTCAATGCTTTTAACAAAGCAGAATCATAGGAAGAATAGGTGTTTTTTAATCTACGTTTCATGAGTGACTAAAATGACAGTCCCGGCTGCCAGATTATGTAGAATGTCCCAGGTCACGCAGTTTCCTTGTGGGGAATCGAGGGCTCTCTGTTTACTGGATGGGGTTAACCTAGGAGCTGAGGGTTAACCTGGTAATCTGACCTCTTTTCTGCATCTATCCTAC
The DNA here is from genome assembly GCF_000001405.40 of Homo sapiens. NCBI lineage: Eukaryota > Metazoa > Chordata > Mammalia > Primates > Hominidae > Homo > Homo sapiens. The sequence goes on from NC_000011.10 coordinate 116,101,783, forward strand.
CCTGTGCCTCATTACATAGGCACACGCATGGGCTGGGGCAATACGATCAGGCATTTAATTAAGCAGATATCAAGCTCAAGAGGGCCCTATTTCCTCTACTGTGAACCTAGGAGCAATGATAAGGAAATGCAGGAGCCTGAGGGTTGAAGCACAAATTTAATAAACATTTCCGCCGTTGCCTGGAGCCTGATTTCTGTCAAGGCCCAATGACTTCTTGAACTAACTTGCTGAGTGATTGCAAACTTCTTTGAGAGCCTCATGAGGGATGGCACTCATTGGAGGTTGAGCATGTACACAAACACAGGCCCAACTGGATGGATACCCTAGCGCTCTCTCTCTCTCTTTCTCTCTCTCATTTGTGCACATGCACACACCCTCCTCACAATGCCATAATGTCTATGTAAATTGGATCTTTAATATCCTTCAGATAAATGGCTTCAGAAAGAACATGGATACAATACTCTGTCTCTGAGTTAACATGTTAGGCTCTGCCTCCCAAATTGGCTCAGAGAAATTAGCAGGAAGGAAGGATCAGACGAAATAATAAACCTGCTTACCTGCTCATTAATTTAATCTCCCCCCCACCACCCTCTCTTCGTCTTGTGGTTTCACTACCCATAAAATAACTAGATAACTTCGAAGTCCTAGATGAAAGAGAAACTAGGTCTGGAAGCTCTAAGATTAAAGGAGAATTTGTAGGATTAGTCTTTGATTTTTTTCTGTTTCTCTCTCTTTCTCCCCCTGTCTTTTATTTTTTTTTTCTTTTTATCTCAAAGGTGACGGAAGAGGCTTCCCTCTTCTTTTCACCTCTCTGCTGAGCTGGTCAGCCTGAAGCCTCCCCTGGGGGACAGAGGCAGAGCTCACAAGGAACTTGGGACCTGGGACAGAAAGTGCAGAGTAGTAGGGCTCCTCTTAGTGACATTTCCCACAAGACATTCAAGGGCATCTGTTGTTTGAGTAATGTATGGGCACAGGAATCTGCTTCCTCCTTATTGTTTGAGTAGGACACCCTCTTGCAGATTCTTGGGTGCACTTCCCTATACCTCCTTTCCCAGGTAACTCTCTCCCTTAAAGAGCCTGAGATGAGTAGAAAAGACCCTGACCTACCTGGCCTGCACAATCTTGGGAGATTTCAGTGATTCCATTATGTCTTCCCAGTCCTGAGAGCCAGACTGTGAGCATCTCCAACATTGCTCTACAAGACATGTTTCAAACAGTTGCACCTAAGTCACAACGCACCCTCCCTAGGGCCACTCCTGCCCCTGGTTATAACTAGCAAACACAAGCCAGCCTGCTGCTGTACTTTATTTCTAATTCAGAGAGTTCTTTCTTAGATCTATCCACTCTTCTCGGGAGCTCCTGGCATCTCAGGGTAGTGAGCACCTCCCTGAAAGCTCTGGGTGACCAGTCTTTATTCATTGCACGTGTGCCTCCTCCCCAAAGTCTAGCGTGAAGAAATCGGACAAGATACAGAGATCCTCTACTCCACCGGGGGAAAGTGAAAACCACACAGTTTAAGAGAGATGGGAGAACAGAGAAGCAGCAGCAGGCTCTGTTCAACAGATGGGCAGCCCAGGGTGGCGAGGGGGAGAAATGTGCCCCAGAGCAGCAGCTTGTCCCGGTGCTCACATAGGGTGTCCTTCGAATGGCTCCCCAAATCCAACCAAAGCCTGTTCTTACAAAGTCATCGACATGTCTCTCTCAGGCCGGGCTTCTTCAAAACAAAAGGCACTTCTCCCTCTCCAGTGCTCAGGTTCAGCAAAGGCTCAGGCAGGTAGTGACAACAAAGAAGGCAAAAGGCCAGGGAGCAAGTGCAGTGCTGTAAAAATGAGATGGGAGTTGAAGCTTCTCTAGGCATCTGGATGCAAATACCTATGAATTTTCAAGCCCCATATGCAGAGGTACCCCTGTGGCTGATGTGCCGCAGCCCTGTTATCCATATTCAAGCTCACAGGCCTCACTTTTGGAAGGAAAGTTACTCTAGTCCAGAACAGCAGCACCCAGGAGTCTTAGTCTCATAACTTCTTCATATTGAGGCCCCAAGAGCTCATGCTTGTGTAGGTTTTGTCTATTGATATTTACTGTACTAGATATTAAAACTGAGAAAAGTAGCTGGGTGTGGTGCTTACCCCTGTAATCCCAGCTCTTTAGGAGGCTAAGGTGAGCAGATCACTTGAGGCCAGGAGTTCAAGACCAGCCTGGGCAACATGGTGAAACCCTGTCTCTACTAAAAATACAAAAATTAGCCGGGTGTGGTGGCAGACACCTGTAATCCCAGCTACTCCGGAGGTTGAGGCAGGAGAATCACTTGAACCCTGGAGATGGAGGTTGCAGTGAGCCAAGATCACACCACTGCACTCCAGCCTGAGAGACAGAGAAAATTACAAAATATTTGTTAATTCATTTAAAAATAACATCTATCATACGTGAATATATACAATAGTTTTTTAATTTTCCAAAACAAAATTAGTGAGAACAGTGGCCTTGTTTTATATTCACAAATCTCTTTAATGGCAGCCTTAATAGAAACCAGCTAGATTCACGTATCTGCTTCTGGACGCACCCTGTTGTGATAGGCTGTTTTGTTGAAGTTCATAAAAAAAAATACAGCCTCACACAGATATGTATTTGGAAAGGGGAGGAATAGCTTAATAATCTTTTCTGATAATTGTGGGTATTTATGGAAATTACATTAAAACTCAAAAAATGGTGCTTTCTTAAAGGTTACAGCTTGGAATGAGAAACCTTTTCATATAATGTTACATTAAAATCCATTGATCTATCTTACACTTGAAATGGAATTTTTGCATCATGGATTGATCATCTGGAAATATTGGTTCACTGAGTTATACAGATCTTGCAAATGTTGATACATTTCATGATGCAATATTGGAAATCCACATTTGTCCATATCGCCTCAGATTGCGTCAGAAAAGTCTTTTAACTATTTGGAAGTTCCCAGTGCAAGGGCCACTAGGATTCAGCCCTTGTTGGAGAAGGTGCAATTACAGCCTGCTGGAAGGCAGAGAAGTTCTCTGGGTTGCCTGGACCCAAGCTGGACCATAGTCAATGAGCTGAGGCTGGGAAACAGGAACTGGAAAACAGGAAACCCCTGCCGAGGCACCTAATGAAACATACAGGGAAGCCTTCTTCAGGAATGTCGTTGAGCTAACTGGTAAGCCAGCTAGGGAACCTATGGAACTCCCCAGGAAGGTGCCTCCTGTAAGGCTGCCCACAGGGAAATGCTACACCATGCAGGAGAGCTCCCTGGGAAGCCTTCCTCTGGGATACCAAGGGAAACCACCTAGGAAGAGGTGCCAGGCTGCTGAGGATGAGCCCTCATCATCATTTTACATAGCAATTGTTGGAGATTAACTTTATAATGTTCTGTTTAGGTGTTATTTAGTAGTACCATGGCTAAATTTAAGGAGATGTTAATATACCCAGCAACAGATACAATAACTCTTGAGACTATACATCTGTTTAGGAAAAGGATGAGAATTTCACTAGTTCAAAGGATAGCTATAACTCATTACGCAGAAAGACAGTTGTTTCAGTGTCAAACAGAAGTTCAAGTGTGTGCAGAGGTTGTGTAAATAAAAGGGTGGACTATGCCAGTCATCAAATTATTGCTGCTCAGCTCCAAGGCTACCTTCATTCCTGCTTGTGATACTGGAATGTGTCTTACTGGTCAATTGGAACTTTTTGTCAGTAGACAGCACTGGAAGAACACTGGAGGAGGAAAGGGCTTTTCTTCCTGGTTCCAGTGATCTTCTCAGCTTTCTCCTTGGTGCATGGTAGCCAGCAGTGCATGGGATACTAAGTGATGTCATGTTTATTGGAGCTGGCATCTCCCCCATTACCAGCTTCCCTTGGCACCATGGAGAGTGGCTTTATGGAAAGTTCACCCATCAGTGCAGCTCCTCCCTGGGGGCAGCCTCTTAGGACCACAGAGAGGGGCTTCTTGGTGAACCCTGTGTGTGCCACAGCTGGGCTTCCCAGCGTGTTCACCAGCCTCCATGACAGCTTCCAGCAAATTCCATTGACCATCACAAGCAGTTTCCTGTCTGCCAGGCCTGGCCTAGTGACTGTGGATGGGCTGTGGCCCAGAGTAGCTTCCTGTCATGCAGGGGGCTACCATGATACCAACTCCAGTGAATTCTGACTCCCAGCCCCCACTCAAGTTTCTTCCTTTATTGGAACTCTCCCTTAGTCTTACGGTGTTCTTTAGAATTCTCTTTTATTCTTGCAAATAGTTCATTCTTTATGTTAAACCTTCCCTATTTATATGCGAGGTGGTTTTTCTCTCCTGACTAGATCGTGACTGATACAATAGGAATACAAATTTTCACAAATTCTAATATGCTTAAAAACTTCAGTCTTATCTATGGCAACAAACACTGTCAGTCATTTTCCCTGAAGTGACAGTCTCACTTTGTTTATCTGTAAGAAAATATTTTCCAAATACTCAAGTCTGGTTAGTCATAAATTGTCTATCACTCATCATTTCAAGTAAACGGGTGTTTTATTAAGAAAGTGGCTAGTTCAGCTTGCAACTCAAGTGCACATGTGCTTTTCCTCAAGATGAACATATTTAGCATAAACTGTTTTTGCATACTTCCCATTTTATTACACAGAATATTAAATAGGCATGTACTCAAAGGTCAAGATTTAAGAAAATTAATATTTTTACTGCCACATCAGGGCATTCTTGAGTAAAAGTGATTTTTTTATTCTACAATAAAAAATTCTAGAATAAAAAATTGCAATCTAGTAAAAAATATAATGTTCAGTATTAAAGTTTGGTGCCACGGCCTTGATTTGGGCTAAGCAGTTTACAGTTTTACCCATTGTTGATGGTGTGCCATCAGTGTAAATGTCAACACAGTGAAAAAGGTAAATAGCATCATGAAAATGGTTTTGATCTCACAGAACCCTGTAAAGGACCTAGGAAACCCCAGGCATCCATGAGCCACACTTTTAAAGGTAAAGTATATATGTTTGGGCATCAAAAAGACCTGAGCCTGAATCTTGACTCTGCCAGTTTTTAACTAGATGACCCTGGACAATTTGCTTAACTATGCCTTGGTTTTCTCATATATAAAATGGGATTCATAAGACTGCCTCCTTCACCGGGATATGTAAGAATTAAATGAGATATAGTATGGGTATATAGCATAGTTCCTAGCATACAGTAAGTTCTTAATAAAAAGAGATTATACTGAAGAGAAAAGAGGAGGAGTGAGAGGAGAAAAAAACACAGAGTCCTGGTCATTTCAGAGTGGAGGCATAAGGAGACCATTATGGCAAAAGTGAGGTTGCAAAGTTGTGGTGGGTAAACCCGGAGCCTTGAGTTCTTTCATCCTGTCCCCAAAAATTCTTGAAGGAGGAGGAGCCAACTGGGTGAAGAAAGAATCCCAAGTGTGGGCTCACCCACTTCTGGATGCTTTTTAGAAGGTAACCCCAGAAGGGCTTTATATTTCTTAGGAGAATTTCCCTTCGCCCCTCAATAAAGACAGCCACCATGTGAGAGATGGGGGATGGCTAAGACATCTAACTAGAGTCTAATTTGGGACTCTAACAAAGTGCTTCATGCTGCCACTAAGGTGCAAAGCTGGTGTTAGAGTACCAGCCTGGTTACAGTACTGAAGTTCACTCCTTCTGTTCTGCGGCATTCCCCCTGGTGTGTCAGGAGACACTGCAATCTTCTCTCAGAGAAGTCAAGAGAGAAAAATCTGCAACACAAAACAAAGGCACCTAGGTCAGATTCCGCAGTTGTATCTTAATTATTCAGGAGTTGCTTCCATATTTAGCAGTGCTCAGCTCCAAAATATGAATACTATCTTATGACTGCTAGGCAGGGTAACCCACAATTAGCCAGGCTGTTTACAGTGCCCTCTACTCCCCTTTTCCTTCCCCAGCCTTCTGAGAAAAAGGACACTCCGTAACAATAAATGTTGTTGTTTTCAGCTAATTCCTAACAATAAATACAACTGACTTTTATTGAGAACTTGCTTCAGTCTAGGCATTATGCTAAGTGTTACACACACGACTTCATTTCATCCTCAAAACAGTTTGAGCCCATTTTAAAGACAAAGAAACTGAGTCTCAGAGAGGTCAACTGGTGTGTCAAATCTGCACAATTAGTGTCAAATTATTTTCTATCTGACCTCAGAGCTGGTGTTAGTAGCACTTTTCTCTCCTGCGTCTCAATGTAAGTGAATTTTCACAGTAGGTGAGTGCATTTCCTCCTCCTTCCATCTGGCATTTGGGGTCACAATTCTTCCTTGCTAGTTTGTCTTGCTTCCATACCATCCTGAAACCAAGTGGTTTCCTTCAGTGCTCAGTTTCTTGTTGATAGCTTTGTATATATTCCTCAAATAAATTCTCACTGCAAAAGTCTTTTGGATTCCTCCTCTCTTCTTGTTGACTTTCCTGAGTTCAGCTTGCTCCCTTGCAAGCGATCCACCATGCTGTTACCACCACAGCCTTCCTAAACACACCCTTCCTTCCCTCACTTAAATGCCCTGATACTCCCCAGCTGTGACTAAGACCACATTCTCCAGCTTGCTATTCCAAGCACTTGGTTGCCTGCTTCCAGTTAATCTCTCCAAGTTCATTCCTTCCTCCCCTGCCTGTCTCCTGTGCTTCAGAATCCCTGATGGACCCTCCAGCCTCCACAACAAGGACTGTATGGTATTTCTCTTTGTGGCACTGGTGCCTAACGCCATTCTTGGCTCATGGTAGCTGTGCAGAACATGTTATTGAAGAAATGAATGATGGATGCATGCATGGATGATTTTTAACAGCAGTTATCTTATGCCTCCTTGAAGCCTGCTTAGTAAACATTTGCTGAAGGATAGCTTCCAAAACTTTTGGATTCACTTTGTCACTGTTCTGAGCACCTTAGTTCCAGATTTTAATAGCTAGGCCCTCCCGGTCATCTTCATCCCTTCCCACTTTCATAAGGAGTGGAGAGCCACAGCCCCTCCCACCAGGATCAGCTCCCCATGGGCTGCACCACCCTGTCCCAGGAAACCTTCCCATCCTCCTATGTTTGCATTATGGAAAGTCACATATGTGGAACATTGGCTTCTCCACGGAGTTCCCATCTCCCTGCAGGAGCCCCCAGACTTCCCTCCCCACTCTTTTCTGAGCTGTCATCTCTGTGAAGGCAGCCTTTACAGAGTAAGCACCATGCAGGCTAGGAGTGCTCCCAGATCCACTTGGACATTTTGTCTTGGGTTGTGTGGAGGGAAGTAGCAGAGAGACGTTGCAGCAACAAAGGGCTGAGTGCAAGCAACGGAGAGGTGGAGAGTAGGCATTTGCTTCTTAACATCATATTGTCCCTTCAGAGATACTAAGGCAAGTGGCTTATCTGGAGGCAATGTAGCCAAGGCATCTCCAACATGGAAGGTGTTGTGGAGCCAGAGGCCCTTCACAATCACATGGAATAGCTGTCTATCAATCGGTCAGCACCCGTCAGGAGCCCAGACCTATACTAGGCTGGGGGTGGGAATGGGCAAAAGAGACACCAATGATATAAAACAGGTAAGTCCCACCCAAGGACAATATTATCCAAAATGAAGACATCACAGCAGACATAAGGCAGCGAGTCCTGCGATGGGCATTATTCCAGGAAGGGAGAGAGCACTGTGAGTCATGGGGTGTGCTTGAGCTGAGGTGGTGAGTCATGAGGTAGGGGTGGTGCTTGACAGGGAGTAGGGGCATGCAAGTGGGTAGCACTTTACGGGGCTTGCATGTAGCCAGGGTGTCTGCCTAATCTGAGCCTTGGGTGTGCACAAATGGCAGAAGGCTGAATTATATCATGATTACAGCTTTTTTTCTTTAATTTTGTTTTTTTAATTGACAATAATTGTACATATTCATGGGATACACAACAATGTTTCAATACACATGATGTATAGTGATCAGATCAGGGTACTTAGCATATCATCATCTCAGACATTTAACATTTATTTGTGTTGGGATCATTTAATATCCTCCTCCTAGCTATTTGGAACTATGTATTATTGTTAATTATAGTCATTCTACAATGCTATAGGACACCAGAATGTATTCCTCCATGATCACAGCTTTCTAATTCTTTTCTGATAGACCGTCTTATCTGGTCTCACTGGCCAAAACGCAGCCTTGGAATCCTCTAGGATATCACTAGCAGTTATTGTGAGTTCCAACCTGAGAATCAATTTATTTACAATTCTTGAACCCATAGCAACAAGAATAAAAAAGAAAGAGAATTTGGAAGTTATCTCATGGGGGGAATAAAGGCAAGTGTGAAGGTGCCTTAGGGAGGGGAAGGAAGAGATAAAACAGATCACTGCTTCGTTTATGCCCCAAGCACTCAATGCATTTACCAACCAAAACATTTTAACTGCTTATTTTATGCAGTTGTTTGCTATCTCAACCATGAGTCCTTCGAGAGTTAGTTAGGAATATCTTATTTTCTCTTCTATACCCAGCATTTAGCACGATACCAATATCGATAGACAAAAAATATCAATAAACATATATTGAATGAATAAGTGAAGGAATAAATGAATGAATAAATAACTGGTGGTCCTGGAGAACAAAAATGGTGATACCACTGACAGAAATGGAAGATCAGGAAGGAGAGCCAGAACACTGTAACAGAAAGCAATATAAAAGCAGGTTTCATCTCAACATGAGAAAGAACTCTACAGAGGCCAAGAATATCTCAAGAAGCACTTGGCTTCATGGAAAGGTATTCACAGTGAGGATAAAGATAGCTGCCATTTATCTCATGTTCACCTTATGCAACCCTCACTGCAGCCTGGTTACACAGGAACTATTACCATCCCCTTTCTACAGGTGGAAAAAATGAGTCTCCAGGAGGCTTTGTAACATGCCCCAAGCGACAAAGCTGGTAAGTGCAGAATACAAGCTTTAAACCCCAAATGATTCCAGGACCTCACTGTAATTGCTGCCCCTCAACAACAAAGTTCAGACCCTGGGAGTGCATATCTGATGGCTTCATGACCTCATCCTCTCACTCCTCACCCTGGTGTTGTGTTGCTCTCACATTGTAAACAGCCTCCTCCCTCAGACTTCCTCTTCAGAGACCAGCCCATTCCCAGGTGGAGAAACACTCCTCTGGACTTGATGCTGGTGTGTCTTTGACCCATCCTCAAGGCAATGGGGGTGGAGAGGCAGGGGGTTGCTTCAGGGGCAGGCCTAGACCTCTGTGCCACTTGGAGCCTGCTATTCCAATAGGGCCTTGCCTCCTCCTTCTGATAGCTTCCCAGGGAATGTAGGGATTCACCTTCCACAGAGAAGTTCGGCCCTTGCCCAGCTCCTGAGAGTTAGCCTCTCAGCCCTTGGAATATCTGCCCAGTAAGAGCACCTTTGTTTTTACCTGAGGTCCCTGGTCTCAGTCTCAGATTGACCTCTGGAGGGGCAGGAGACTGAGGTAAGCCATGCAGGAGCTCCATGCCTACATGAGCAACCCCTGATAAAAACTAGACACCAAGGCTCAGGTGAGCTTCCCTGGTTGGCAATGCTTTGTGTGTGTTGTCAACATCATTTCTGAGGGAATTAGGAGCTGTCTGCTGACTCCACTGGGAGAGGACAATGGAAGCCCACACCTGGAGCTCTACTGGACTATGCCTCTGCACCTTTTTCCATTGCTGATTTTCACCTGTAACCTTTTGCTAATGAACTGTAGCTGTGAGTCTAACAGTTTTGCTGAATTCCACGAGTACTTCTAGTGAATTACTAAAGCTAAGAGTGGTTTTGGGGACCCCTGAATGGCAGTCTTCTTGACCCCCATTGTTCCTGTCTGTTCCATCTTATCCCCTTCTGCTTCGGAGCTGACCCTGGCTCTCTGCCTATTTCCTTGCACCTGCCTCTTGGACCTCTCTGCCTTCAAGTTTGCATTGCATTGTGGGATGGCACACCCAGTATCCAGCAATCAGCCTAGCCAGGCCCATGGCCAGCCCTTGCTCCTAGAGAATCCAAACCCAAACCAGAGCACTTATCTCTTCCCTCCCCAGGGAAAGGGGTCCGGAGAGTGACCCACCAAAGCTGAACAACTGCCTGACCTAGAGACATCCAGAAGAAGAGGTGAATGATGAACCCGATGATCTTTAAGCTTCTTCTCAAATCCTATGGTGCTCATTCTTGGATGTGTCCATTTAGTTTGGATATTTTGAGTTTGAGGCAATGACAGGATTTTCAAGTGGAAGCGTCCTCTTGAATGCTCACAGAGATGGCTGGGGAGATAGAGGTCGGTGGGAGAATATTCTCATGATCGGGCCCTGCTTGGAAGATGAAAAGCCTGCAGGGAGCTCAGACTGCATACAGAGGCTTAGGAGTCCAGGAAACCAACTAGTTGAGCTGCCTTTCATAGCATAGCTGTGGCTTCCCAGAACTTGCCGGGGAAGGCTCCCCTTTCCTCCCTGCCAATTTCTCCACCCCACCTGGCACCAAAGGGCCTAGCCTCCAAGTCACAATTAAAGCTGTGCAACGATGCTAATTGCTGTATCTGACCTCCCTTCGGATAACAAGGGAATCCCTCTCCCTAATTAGCCCTGCCGCTGGTAGACCAGCAAAGCCAAATGTTTATTATGGGATGAATGCTCTTACCGTAGATTTTGACATATGCTGTGGAAAGATGTTGGATAAATAAGACTTCAGAGGCATGGGTTGCTTAAATAATGAATACCCACTGCTGTGGGTGATGAGGGTGGAGGGGAGTGAGGCAAAAAAGAAGCAAAGGATCCTGGATCCATGCTCAGAGCCCGGGAACAGACTTGGTTGGGAAAGAAGCAGAGGGAGGGATATGGCAATGCCAGCAGGAAGGCTAGGGTGAAGAAGAGAGTGTGCTGGGCTCCACACTGCACTCACTGCTCCTGTTGTCCTGCAGAAATGCCGTCCCATCCCCCACACCCACTCACTTCCATTCATAGTCCCCTGGGAAGCAATGACAAATGGCTTGTGAAACAAAGTCAGAGGGGAGGTAGGAGAAATTTCCTCCCCACAAAGAATAAAGCCGGTGCCTGTCTGAACAGGCCCTGAGTTTACTGTTGTTGATGTCTTGCTTCTTCCCAGGGGAGTGGAGAGTGAGTACGTGGAAGCCTAATCTTGCACTTGGGCTTCCTGGGGTGGCCAAGATGTGCAGAGAAAATCATTGCACCCAATCAAGGACCCCCAGCCCATGACGTTCTGAAGCACTGAGGAAAGGAGAATGCTGGTTTTATGGTTTCCATATATACCCTTCAGGTCTAGCTCTGGTTGAGCAGACCACACACTATGAAAGAAAGGTCCTTAGATGTGACTTATGCCTGGATTTGGAAAGACTCCGCTCTTCCCCCATCCCATGGGCTCAGGCCCAGAAGGCTGATCCACAAGCAGATCTCACAAAGATGGCTGTGTCTCTTTCAGTTCCTCAGTTTCCAGTCAATGAAAGAGAGAGACATCCTTTCATCTCAGTGAATGGGGTTTGTCCAACAATTCTGGGTAGATGTCAGGGAGGCAGAGGGACTCCCAGTAACTGCACAGACAGCCAGGCTCTGGGGAGACCATGCTTGTTTCAGACACATGGTCCAGCCTTTGACCTCCACTCCTCAAGTCCACACTTCAGCTACTGGTCCTCTGCAAATAGGGTGGCTCATGACCCTCACCTGTTTCTCTTCAGAACAAGCCCAAATCTCAGTGTCTTACAAACAGCAAAGGTGTGTTTCCATTAATGATACATGTCCCATATAGGTCAGCGGAGGCCTCTGCTCCACTTGGTCACTCAGGGATCCAGGCTTTGGAATTTGCTATGGCCGAGAGGAGACAGCTGGAGGGCCATTTGTTGGCTCTTCTATGCTTCAGCCTAGAAATGACATGAGCTGCTCATGGACCAGACCTAGTCCCATGGCTCCACCTTAGTGTGAGGGGGCTGGGACACATTGGGGAACATTTGGGAAGCAGCACTATTTATGCCCCAGACCATGTCCAAGGGGCTGGAGCAAATTAGCTTTCCTAGTAGTGCCTTTGAGCCTCACCTTCCTCTCCTCCACACACCTGCACAGGATAGGACCAGAGGTCCAGTGGGTACCAGTCTAGATGGCCCCTCGATTTACAGATGGAGAAACTGAGGCCAAGCAGGTCGTGATTGGCTTGGTTACCAGCCCCTGCCAGGCCACCTCCACCAGCTGCTTTCCAGGGCAGTAGTGATCCTCCAGCGCTCTTTCCCTTGGCCTCTCCTTGTTTGTCCACTGGCGCCTTCTCCCTTGTAATTTTTATTTTATTATTCTCCTCTCCTCATTCTGAGGAACTTCCAAATGTCATTCTTTCTTTAGTTTTTCACCTCCACAGAGCCCTCCTTTTCTTTGTCTCCCTCCCTCAGGCAGGCTCTTTCCCTGTGAAGGGCTCTTTTTTTCTCCTCCTACAGAGCACACTGACCTTTTCCTCTTCTCCGTAGGACAAAGCCCGGCCTGGCATGCTCCTAACGGGAATTGGCTCTAGAAGTTCCGGTAATTGCTCTGTCCTTATTATTGAATCTGTGAAGCCAGTTTTGGTCAGGGCACCCCCTCCCTTTCACCCACTCACTTGCTGGAGTCAGACTGCAGATGGGCTGCTAACGAGGTGACCAATTAATAAGCGCTAAATAACCCCAAAATGGTCTTTTTCTCCCTGGCCTGATTTTCAGGCCCCTTTGTTCCTCCTTGGGAATCTGTCCTCTATGACAAGACCACAATGGGGACTATTCCCAAACCTGACCCTGTGAGATGCTGACGCACTCAAGCCACGGTCACAAGACCCTACTGCCCAACTCCTTTGCTCTGGGGGTTATGGGAGCAAGGAGGGTTCCTGCCTCTCAGGAATAGTAACACAACTACCCTACATCATTGACCACTTACTGTGTGTTATATAACCCTGGTGAAACCTTTCATTTACTCATTCCTCCAAACAGACATGAATTGAGTACTTCTGAGGTGCCAGATACTACACAGGCCAGGCAGTCTGAGCCTTAGACTTGGGCGAAAGGGACCCTCACCTCAGGGCTTCATGCTTTGAAGCACATTCCTGATAATTTTCCAGGCCCTTCTCTGGTGCCTGGTACCTATTGATGCTGCCAGTGCTGACCAGGTAGGGACTCCTGAGCCCTATGTGAGCCCTGTTCCTGTTTCTTCCCACCCCTCCCCCCCTCCCCTCCCCATCCCCCAACACACACGGCTGACCAGATGCTCTGAAGCAATTCTAGGAGACTGGACTGGTGAGCACATTGCTCCCTCTGACTGACAGTATTTCTTCCATGTGGTCCCATGAAATATTGGCACTAGGATGGTGCTGGCTTCCTCACTCAAATTGCTTATATAGACAGAGGCCCCACGGCAGGGGAAAAAATGTGCCCAGGACCCTACATACCCTCCTGGTGGCCTTGACACTAGAGATATGGTGGTGAGAAAAACAGAAACAATCCCTGTCCCCATGGCAGTCATAACACAAACATCAATCAAATGAGGACCAGAGGCTATGATCAAAGGTATCTGAGACTCCACAAGGGAACTGACCAACTGAATGAAGAAGTTGCTGCTGTCAGCTTCATTTTACAAATGAGGAAACTGAGAAACAAAGATGTTGGACTCCTGCCTGATGGCCTGTGCTAGTAGGACCAGAAACAGACTGAGGAACTTGGTTCCCTTGTGTCCCGTTAAGTATAGGACTTCCTCCACCTGCTCAGGCTAAAGGAGGAAAACTCTGGCCTAGAAGCAGGGAGATGGTAGTTTTGAGGACAACTTTACCAGCAAGTGAGAGAAAACTCAGCACAAGCTGATTCATACAAAAAAAAGAGAGGAGAACTAATTGGCTCTTAAGGAATCTCTTAAAGGGTCCAGGAGTGTTTGTCTTCAGGTATGGCTGGATGCAGGTGCTCAGATGATATATTCCCAAGATCAATCACCTTCCCTCTCTCCACTATCCTTTTTTAAAATTGGAGCATAACTTACATACAGTAAAATGTACAGACCTTAAGTGTACATTTCAATGAATTTCTACACAAAAAAATTACTACCCAGATCAAGCTACAGAATTTCCAACATCCCATAAGGTTTCTCTTTGCCTTACCATAAACAACAATTCCTTAAGGGTAGGCACTGTGCTAATTCCTGTCACCATTGTTTAGTCTTTCCTATCACTGGTTTCATATAAATGGGATCATAAGAAGGTATTCTTGTATGACTGACTTTGCACAGTCAAAATCATGATTGTGCAATGTATGCCTCAGAAGTTCGTTCTTTTCATTGCTGAGTACTATTCCATTATATGCATATACCACAAATTATTGTTCATAAACACATAGACTGTTTTCAATTTTGGCTCTTGTGAGCAAAGTTGCTATGTGCATGTCTTTGGGTCAAAAAAAGCACTCATTTCTATTGGGTACCTAGGACCAGAGTTGCTGAAAAACAGAGCCTATGTATGTTTAGCCTTTGTGGAACTTTCAAATAGTTTTCTGAAGCAGTGATCACTATTTACACTCCCATTAGCATTTTTAAATTGGACTTTATGTCTTTTGCTTACTGATTTCTACGAGTTCTTCATATATTCTGAATATTACAGTGCTTTGTCTGATACATGAGTTAAAAATATCTTGTCCTAATCTGTAGCTTGCTTCTTCTCTCTCTTAATGGTGTAGTTTTATGAAAAGAAGCCCTTAATTGACTAAAGTCCAACTTAACATTTATTTTGTGTTTACTGTTGTGCGTGTACATATTCATGTATATCCTATTGAAGAAAACTCAGATGACTCCAAAGTCATGAATATGTTCTCTCTTGTTTTCTTCTAGAAATTTAATTGTTTTAGCTTTCACATTTAGATCTATGATCCTTCATGCATTAATTTTTGGAAATGATGTCAGATAGAGGTCAAGGTTCATTTTTTTTTCTGCATGAATATCCAATTAACCCACACCATCAATTAAAAAGTGCAACTCTTCCTCTCCTGAACGGTGGTGGAGCATTTGTTGTAAATCATGTGATTGTATATGTGTCTCCACTTTCTTTCCTCTTTATTAGCCACTGATGTGGTCACTTCGTGTGGTGGCAAGATCATCCCCTGTAACCCTAGGCTTACATCTAATCACCTTAGCAGTTCCAGGTGAAAAGCACACCTCTTTCCCATCAGTAGTCCCAGCATTGCACTTGGCTTTCCATAGCAGTCTTCCATCAGTCCCTACGGTCAAATGCTGAATGGCCAGGGTTTGGTCACATGCCCATCCCTGAGGGTGGGGCAGAGGATGCAGAGAATCCCACCCAAACCTCTGGACTGGAATGGAAAAGGGGTGGTTCTTCAAGGAAACTTGGGATGCTGTTACCAAAAGAAAGGGAAATGGATGCTATTACCAAAAGAAAGGGAAATGGATGCTGGGGCAAACAAAACAAATACTACTTAGACTCCATGACCATTGGGCTCCTCAATCTTTGAATCTGTCATTCTCCTGTGCTAGCTTAACTGTGGGGTGCTTCTGGACACCAGACACTATGTGAAGCACTGCAGGTGGTACAGACTGCTTTAAGATTTTGTACACAGCCTGCCTGATGACAGATAAGATGAAGGAAAGCTGAAAAATGCCCCAGCATGACTGAATCTCCTGGCTTATCAAGGGACTCTGGCCAGTGTTGGGCGCCTCCGAGTTGCCACCATTAGGCTACCCAGGGAAGGCGGGTCCGTAGAGTTTCACATCATGCCTCATTTCACCAGGTGTGATTTCCAATGAGACATCGCTCCACTGGGGACTAATGATGCGGGGAGAGTAGAGCAGGGAGGCTGTGATTTCCAATATGCACCAGCCAGCCATTACTAGCAGGAAATGGATTTTTGCTGGGTAATCAAAGTCAAATCCCTCACTTTTCCCACCCCTAAGTGCCCCTGCCACTGGCCCCCATCACACGCAAGGTGACTTCACTCTGCCCTGTTCCCTGAGTCCTCAGCAAACCAAAGTCCAAGCCGGGCTCCCCACCATTCCACTTTCCCCTCCCAAGGAGACTGGACATACCCTCTCCTAGGATACCTGGATTCCTGTGTGGGAAGGCAGGCTGTGTGGAGAAGCACAGGGAAGGAGGAGGGGTGAGGTCACAGGAGGGAGGTCTTCACCTGGCGGGGAGTGCAGGGGAAGTAAAGCAACAATGTCAGAGGTTTAATCAACCTTTGAAGACTTCACAGTGTTTGGACAGAAGTGTGTGAATAATATTCATTTGGATTGGCACCTGTGCACACCACTGAAAGGAAAATAGCGTTTTGTCGCCGTTGTGATGAGGAGCAAGCAGTCTAGGGAGACAGGCTGCACATCCTGGCAGCTGTGAAGGTGGGGGTTTTTTTCCCCTTTTCTTTCCGACTCACTGTGACCCTCTGACTCCTTGAAAATCCAGTGGCTCTTGAGTCAACGCCTGACATTCCTTTTTCTACTTCTCCAGACAGAGCGGGGACAAGAAAATACCTGGCAAGGGCATTCAGCCAGGATGGGAGAGGGCCTGCCACCAGCCCCCTGGGTGGCCATGAACAAGTGGGATTGTGCCTCTGGGCCTCAGCTTCCCTGGGTGCCATAGGCAGATAATCTGCCTGTCCTTCCTTACTCCCCGCTTTGGTGTGAGGGTCACAACAAGAGAGGTAACCCTGAAAGTCAAGAGGGTTATTTGAGGGTGAAGCCATTCCCCTCCTCCTGAAAGAAGCCCAGTGCCTTCAACCACTAAGACACTTGCCTCAAGTGGCATCTAGGGACCCAGTGTCTTGGATGAGTCCTTCCTCTCTTATTCCTCAGTGTTCATGCAACTTCACCATCCCTCATCCTTATTTCCCTCACACCCAGGACAGTCAAGTCTCCAGGGTAAAGAAGAATCTCTATACCCCAGCCACGGACATTGTTGAAAGCTGGGAATTGCCAGTCTTTGCTCTGGGCTCCTAGCCCAGCTCCCCAGGCACAATGGATTCTGACAATCATTCCTGTGCTCACGCTGCCCCATACCATTAACTCTGTCTCTTAGGGACACTGCAGCCTCCTGTAGATCAGAGTTCTCCTTCCTATTGTTGACTGATCCATCATGGCCATGAGGCTGCCTTGAAAAGACATGCCGGTGCTGAGAACTCTAGACCTCCCTAGCCTGCCTGTCAGGGTTCTCCTGAGCCTTAGCATTTTTCTCTCCAGTGAGCGCTCTCTCTTCCTTCCTAGGGTCCCCCCTGACCCTCATCTCTTCCAGCCTACTGTTCTACTGAAAACCTCCCCTGCACCCTCTACCTCTCTTCCCACCCCCTTTCCTCCCTCTCCTTCCAATCTTTCTTCCTTTATCTTCCCCCTTTCCTTCCCTTCTCCCTGATTTTTCTCACCTATCCACTCCTTCTCCTCCCATCTTAGGCGGTCACTCCTTTTTTCTTCCCTACCCCACATCTCCTCGGTTTTTCATCTTCCAAGACAACTCTCTCTAGAGAACAGCCGAAATTCCTCTTCCCAGGCAGCGCCAAAACAATTCTAGTGTCGGACTTTCTAAACTATCACCACCGGATAGTTCTTAAACACACATCTCACACCATGCGCATGGGATCCAGGACCTGCCGGAAGGTCTTGTGGTTGGCGGTGACACATGTGCCACACACAGCACAGACGAGCCCACCACACTAGTCACACAGGATGGGACTGTTTCCAGCCCCCACATTCCATCTGCTGGCAGCAAAGTGGAGCTACTGAGATTTAGAGTGGACGGACCCTTATTAATCACCTGGGCCCCAAATTCATTGCAATCCCCATATCAATACTCATAATATAGCTTGTTTGCTGTTCAAACTTATATATTTTTGAATATTAATGCCTAATATTATTTCAGTTGCTTCTATGTTGGTTGGTTGGTTGTTTTACTATCTATACTATCATGTACATACTATACTATAGTATGATATATGATACTATAATATAGATACTAATAAATATTAGCATAGTAAATACTAATAGTATATACTATTAGTATAGTAAATACTAATAGTATATACTAATTAGTATAGTAGAGAGTATAGATACTAATAAATATTAATATCTATATTATAGTATCATATATCATACTATAGTTTAGAATATAGACTATAGTATAGATAGTATCTATAGTATAGTGTAGTATCTAGATTATAGTATTAGATAATATGTAATATTAGATATTAATGTCTATCTAGAGAAAGGACTAAACTGGAAGAGCCACAGAAACCCTAAACAAAAATAAGAGAAAGAAACTGCTCTACAGGGTATTAAAAATAGTTTAAAACCATCATAGTTAAAATAGTCCATTATTGGCGTGGGAAGGGAGAGATAGCTCAACGGAAAAAATAGAAACCAGAAATAGGCCTAAATATAAAACATAATTCAGCCTATGATAGAGGTGTCTTTTCAAATCAATGGAGAAAAAGAAGGACTTGATCAGCATTATTTGGGGGAATTGTCTAATTCTGTGCTGTCTAGTACAGCAACCACTAGCCATAAGTGCCTCCTGTGCACTTGAAATGCCACCAGTCCAAAATATACACTCTATTTTGAAGAGTTGGTATGAAAAAATGTAAAATAGCTCATTAATAATTTGTAGCTAGATAACGTGTTGACATGATATTTTGCATATAGTGGGTTAAATAATATATCTTATAATTACTTCTGCCTGCTTTTTACTTTTTTAATGCAGCTAATAGAAAATATAAAATTATATACGTGGCTCACATTGTATTTCTACTGGATAGCAGTAGTGTAACCATATGTAAAAAGTAAAATTAGATCTCTATCTCACTCCTTATACCAAAAATAAAATCCAAATACATCAACGATTTTAATGTAAAAATGACATCCTGAAAGAAAATACAGATGATTTATTTTATTATTTTATTTTATATTCCTGGAGTAGAGAAGATCATTGAAAACACAAAACTACAAATCTTTTTAAAAGATTGATAAATTTGATATAAAAAGTAAAATTGCTTCTGTACAAAAAGACCTTTAATAATATCAAAACACAAGTTTAATAGGAAAAATATTTGTAACATATAATGGCAAAAAGTTAATTTGTTATGATAAGAAAAGCTCCGACAAACCATTTAAAAAAAAACAAAATATGAACAGCCCTATAGAATTGGCAAAGGATATAAATTAGCTATTCAATGAAAAATAGAAATTAAAAATCATCAATCTTGAAACAAGTGGTAAACCCATAATGACAGTTGACTTGGGGTGATCTACTTATGGGAGTTCATGATATAGTCTCTCTACTTTTGCATGATTGAAATTTTGTATAAAAAATCATCAAAGTGCATATAAAAATGCTCAACTTCACAATTAAAGAAATGAAAACTTGAAAACAGAATATTATTTTCTTCCAGCAGATGACAAAACCTGAAAGATAATAAAGGTAGCAGGATACTAGCTTCCTCATTGTGGTGGTATAAATATGTGCCACCTCTTTAAAAGACAAATTTGGCAATAATTATCAAAATTGTCAATGCATATCCTTTGACCCAGAAACTGTACTTCTAGGAATTTGACCTACAAAAGCATAAACAAGTATACAATAATAGTCAATGCAGTATTATTACAGTAGCAAAAAATACCAACCAAACAACCTAGAAGCAACTGAAATACCCATCAACAGTGACTAGAGAAGTAAACGTTGACCAAGCCATGCCATGGAATTATGCAGATATTAAGAATGAAGTAGACCTATGTATACTGGTATGGAAATATCTCCAATCTGTATCAGTAAGTGGAAAAAAAGGAAATTACAAAAATTAACTATGATATAATTCTATGTGTAATTTTATAAAGATATAATTATGTTGTAATCACAACAAGCATTTCTGGAAGAATCAGTCATATGTTAAAGTTAGTTACCTCTCAGTGGTGAGAAGAACTCAGGAGTAGGGAAGAAAACTGTTTAATTTCTGTTATCCTTTTATGATGTTTGAACTCCTTTTTTAAAAAAAACATGCTTTGAAAAGATGTCCAGCATCACTAATCATTAGAGAAATGTGAATCAAAGCAACAATGGGACACCTCTTCATATCCATTATCATGGCTATTGTAAAAATATATATATAACAAGTGTTGATGAGGGTGTGGGGAACTGGAATCCTTGTACACTGGTGGCAGGAATGCAAAAATGGGACAGCCACTGTGAAAAACGGTGTGGTGGTTTCTCAAAAAATTAAAAATAAAATTACCATGTAAATCAGCAATTCCACTTCTGGGTATCTATTTGACATAATTGGAAGCAGGTTCTTTCCATTTGTACACTCCTGTTCACACCAGCATTAATGCACAATAGCTAAAACATGGCAAAAACAAAAGTGTCTATCAACAAATGAATGGATAAGCAAAATGTTGTATATACATACAATGAAATATTATCCAGTCTTAAAAAGGAAAGAAATCCTGGTACATACTACAACCTGGATGAACCATGAAAACATTATGCTGAGTGAAATAAACCAGGCCCAAAAGGCAAACATTGTATGATTCCACTTATGTGAGATACCTAGAGTAGTCTAAATCATAGAGGCAGAAAGTAGAATGGTGGATGTCAGGGGCTGGAGGAGAAAGGGGAAGACGGAGTTATTGTTTAATGTGTACAGAGTTTCAGTTTTGCAGGACGAAATGAGTTACGGAGATGGATGGTGATGATGGTTACACAACATTGTGAATATATTTAATACCACTGAACCGTACACTTAAAAATGTTTAAGATGGTAAATTTTATGTATATTTTACTACAATAAAAACAATTGAAAAAAGTTCATCTACTATTTAAAACTTTCAAAGTATGGTTTTAAAAATTATCTAGTCTAACCCTTCATGGTTCAGAAAAAAAATTGAAACCCAAGAAGGGGTGTGTTTTGGTTGCTATTAACAAATTACTCCTGAATTAGTAGCTTAAAACAATAATTTTATAGCGTTTGTACTTTTGCAGGTCAAAAATTTGGGGAGAGTTTGACGAGGCAGCTGTGACTTAGCTGCTGCAGTCACACATGGGCTGGAACTGCAGTCATCTGAAGGCTGGGCGAGACTGAGTGGCTCACGGGGTTCATTCCCCACGGCCAGCCTGGCCACTGGCCGGGAGCTCAGTGGGGCATGGCCTTGAACAGGAACACCTCTCCAGCATGGCACTCTCAGGGCAATTGGATTTCCTACATAGGGGCTGTTTTCCCCCAATGACAGTGTCCCAAGAAACTCAGGCAGAAGTTGCACAACCTTTTCCAGCCCAGCCTGGAAAGTCAGACAGCATCAATGCCACTGTTCTGTATTAGTGGAGTCACAAAGCCACCTAGATTCAAGAGAAGAAGACACAGATCCACCACCACCACCTCTCACTAAGATGAGTGTTAAAGAAGTCTGTGGCCATGTTTAAAACCACTGCAGGAAGTAAGTTACCCAACAGAACAAAGAGTGGCAGAGGCCAAATCGAGAGCCATTGAGCGCATCCTCAATGTGACCTCCCTGCCTCCAGCTCAAGCTACCCAAACATACAGACCCATCCTAGCAGGTGAGATCATCTAGGCCCAGTAGCTGATTCCAGGACTCCAGAGTTCTTCCTCAGCTCCTTGTCCAGCAAGGCCCAAAAGGAGACTTTGGCCCCATTTTATGCAAATCTCTCATTCTCTAGAGGTGTCCTCTGGGCAGACACACAGGAGCAGACAGACTTGCAAGGAACTCCTATTGTCATCCATTTATTAGTCCAGGTAAGGAACACTGGGGACTCCTGGTGATAGCTTCATTACTGAGTCATGCCTGCCTCCCCTACCCCACTCGCTCTTCCCTCTCCTCTACCCAATTTCTCTGCTCACCCCTTTTCTTCCTCTTCAAAAGCTGTTGGCAGAAATTGTCAGGCAGTTGATCAGATTTATTCAATTTAGACTTAACAGACCTGGGACTCCTATTTCTCCTTCAAGTTCATAAGGTTTTTGATTCCATTTACAGGTTTATTCATTTATCAGATATTCATTTCAATTCACTTTAAACACCGGACATGGGGAGATGGGTTCAGGGGAGATGCTCATCATTCATTGCTGGGGCTCCTTGGAGAGTTGTTGGCTGTGCCCATTCCATGTGGGCCGTGGCATTTCCAGGCATGGAGTGCTTTAAAGCGACAGGACACCAAGTCTGCATATTCCGAGCAGGGTGGGACTCTCAGGTGAGCTTGGTCCTAGTGGCTTGGTGCACTCTTGGGTGCCTATGGGATCCCCCAGACTGGGTGGTACTTCCATTTTCTAACTTAGCAAATGCCACCTTTTCAGATCGGGAGCTTCTTTGCAGTCTCATTCCTTAGGGGTAATAGTGAAAGGCCCCATTAGTGTCTTCTTGCACAATCCCAGATCAAGAGCCCCAGGCTCAGCCTCTACTACCTGCTCCCATTATTATGCCCCTCCATATATCTCAGGAGAGGATGCTGCCCCAATCCTCCTAGAGTTAAGGGGTCTCCAGGCCTCCAAGGAGAAGCAACAGGAAAAGGAGTCACTGGGGAGATCCCCTTTGCTCTTCACAGGGAGGGCCTACCAGCTGCAGAGTCACCGCACCCTGGGGCCCAGAGCCCACCCACCACCATCAGGAAACTCCTTCACACATCTTCTCTCCACCCTCCTGCAATAATTTAAGCCCATTCATTCTCCATCTGCCATCTGTCCATCATATTCCGGAAGGAAAAAAGGGGAAAAAACCTGTTATTTGAACAACATTATTAAGCCTTGTTACTCTGATTAATTCCCCCCACAAAAGGTGTGCCAGATTCTTCAGCATTCCTCTGATGAACATATGCCTGTTTCCCTGTCCAAACTCCCCTAAAAAAAAAAGCAGACCCTACCATGCCCCAGCCCTGGTATGTGGGCTGGGCCCAATCCATCCCCTGCTCCCACGTGGGCCTCTGGTTCTGGGTGGGTAAAAGACAGAGACAATGGCACTCAAGGACCCTTGGCCCTGGAGATGAGAACACAGGGAAATGGTGTCCAGTAGCAGGGGCCATAGGGAATAGCTGGGAGAAGCGGGACATCCCCATGTAACAGAGGGGTGATGTCCTGGCCAGACATCTGCTAAAAATCAATAATTGTCCTCCCTGTCTTTTACTCTCGCAGACCATCTGAACATCCCTTGGCCCTGATAGCCCTCTACAAATTTTCTTTTCATTTATTCCACCCAGAACCAGTTCCTCTTGTTTGCAACCAAGAACTTGCCCTCTACTCCAAGGAACAGGAGGCCAAGACATTCTGTCCCTAGGACCTGAGCAAGCAGCTGACAGAGGATGCCCCTGAGGTGCCAGGCCTGCCCCACAGCAGCCCTCCTGACAGCCAGGCTCCACCCCTGGGCACAGGCAAGCCGGCATGGGCACCGGAGGCCAGCACCTCACTCAGCTGCCCAGGCAACTCCATTCCCATTCCCATGGCTAGTCAAGCTGCTGGTGGGTTGACATTGCGCCCTCACTTGTGAGGGTCCTGGGACTTGAAGAGTCTCAGAATTTTTTGACAAGATGACATGTACAGAGATAAAATAGCTATAGTGCTTCCTGCCTTTAACCTTGAACTTGCCTCATACATCCTCCAAACACACACATGCACACACGCGCACACACACCATCTTACCTCAGAACAAAGACAGGCAGAGCCCAAGTTCAGGTAAAAGCTTATGGGAGGTCAGCAATGCCAACCTTCCGCTCCCACCTGAGGAGGACTCTGGGAGGTCCCTTAACCTCTCTCAGCAACAGCCTCCCTGGAAGGAAGACCAGGAGAGGGACCTTCCTTTATCTGCTCTGTCTGTGTGGAGAGCTCGGGATCCAAGAGGACATTGTCCTGAATGCTGTACACAACAGACGCTGCACACAGCTGGCCCTCCTTGTCCACCCTGGGGCTCTGCTGGAGAAAATGAATGTCCTTCGAGAGGCTGCATATGAAATGCAACTGTTCCATCTTGCTGACCTTCTTAAGGAAATAGAGAAGACAAATTTTTTTTTCTTCTTGTCCCTGAAACAATATTCACATGAGCCCAGAAAAAAAAAATTGTGATGTGACTATTTCTCCTTTCAGATAGCTTGTTCCAGAGACGTCAAGAAAAGAGGTAGGGAAGGGGAGATCAGAACTTGGAACTTTCTGGAAAGCAAAAAAGAGAGAAAGCATAAACAGCATATCCAATTTGAATCAGGAGGTGCATTCTAGATCCACCTCTCATTTTGAGACCATAAGCAGTCCTTTAACCTCTCTGGCCCTTGGTTTACACGGCTGGGAAATCAGCATAGTAGATGTGCCTCTGACTTACAGATCTGAAGAGGGGACTCTCTTGGTAGGCTATGCTTCCTTTATCTCTATAAAACCCTCCTCACTCCCTGCAGTGCCCATC
The DNA here is from genome assembly GCF_000001405.40 of Homo sapiens. Taxonomy (NCBI): domain Eukaryota; kingdom Metazoa; phylum Chordata; class Mammalia; order Primates; family Hominidae; genus Homo; species Homo sapiens. The sequence goes on from NC_000011.10 coordinate 116,126,148, forward strand.
AGAGCAAATTTCACTTTGTGGATATTCAATATGTATGCATATATTTATCTAGATCCTGCCTTGTTCTAAAAAGATTTGAAGTGCCTCGTGTGTTCAACAAACGTGTACAATGAATTAATCAATTAATGGGCTAATGGATGTGAGAGTGCTTTGAAAAGTATAAGATGAAACAGATATATTTCTTTATGAGAATAGTGACCAAGGAAGGCTGAGTGGTCCTTTCAAAGAGCAGAGACCCTCCTAGGAACTCTGTCCCGGGGAGGGGCGATTTTATCTTAAGACCAGCTGATGGGCCAATTGATCTGTGAAGGTGACACTATTCAGCATGACTTTTTAAAAGGGATTCCAATTTCCAGAGTTTTTAAATGCCACCCTGAAGTTCCTAGCAAAAAGTCATCGGTTTCTGTAGGACAGTCAGCCTCCAGACTCAAGCTATGAGAAGGGGCTTCTCTAAGTACCTTCTCCCATCCACCCCAGATTGTCCCACCACCCGCTGCCTGGCCCTCTTAGTAACTTGTGCAGGGTGAGCCCACCCTGGTCTTCCTATGAAATTCTCAAGTCACAACTAAAGGTTCTGAGGGACTTGAGTCTGGGCCCCAGTGACATGGGATTGGGGACTGGGGGGACTTGGGGGACTGGGGGGATGGCTATATGCAAGGCCCACAGTGAGCGGCAGCTCTGCAGAGCTAGCGTAGTGTTTAGCCAGGTCAGTCAGACACTGTGCCACAGCAGGGCACTGAAAATGACTTTATAGTTATTGTTCCTCAAATTGGACACCCCCTCAGAGCTCACACAATATGAGATGAAACAGCCTGCGGGAGGTTGCAAGGAAATGGAACACTGGCAGAGGGGGGTTTTATTTCCCCCGACTAAGGGAAATGCTGCAGACACCATGCCTTCCTGCTCCTCCCTCACTCCACTGCCATCAGCTACTCTTCAGACATTTTTATCTGGATGGGTTCACTGTGTCTCCAGGATTGAAATGGACTATATCCCCAGACACCTGCCCACATAACTGGTGGGGTAAATCCAGCACTTTGGGAAGGAAGGAGGGGTTAATTAAGGGGAAAGGAAGGGTCGTTGCTGCATGAAGTTATGTCTGCGTCTGTATATATTAACACATGGGTATATGTCTTTGTACACACAAACCAGCATCAATGTCTGTTTGTGAATTTGTACGTGTGCATGCGTATGTGCATGCATGTAAATGTGTGGCATGCACTGTGTGTGTGTGTGTGTGTGTGAGAGAGAGAGAGAGAGAGAGAGAGAGAGAGAGAGCATGGCTTCCAGTACAGTGCTGTCTGGGCTCTGCCTTGCAGCTCTATGCCTTATTTTTGCGGTTCAGCCAGAGCCCAATCATTACCATCAGCTGGAGACATCATTTGGTGTCATTTGGCTCTGCAGAGCTCCTGTGCCAGTGAGGAAACCCAGGAGGGTAGAGTTGTCTTAAAAAAGAACAAAAGTGAGAGAGAAACAAAAAACAGAGGGAGCAGAGGGAGGAGAGGGATGGCAGGTTTCCCAAGCAGAGACAAAGAAATGTGTGTGGGTGATACTGCAGGTAAACTGAGGCAGGCCTGAGGGGGTTGGTTTGGGGAGGAGGCTGACCTTAGGACAAAGTAAGGCCTTTACCTCCTTTAAAATATAGGAGAATTTCTATTGTCTTTGACCCATTTGAAGTCATACCTTCCCACGTAACATTTCACAAAACAGCGAACCTTTTTAAAAAGTTCTCCAGAACTTAGGAGAAAGGTTGCTGGGGAGCATTGCCTCAGAGAATATGTCCAATTTGAATGCAATTGGTTCCACATTTAGCTTTGCTTTGTACCTGCCTCTGTGCATGGGGCTTGAAAGAGCTGAGAGTGAGAAGTATGAGGAGTTCCATGTTCTGAAGGCAGACCACAGTCTTTAAAGGTATGTGACTTCTTGGTGAGCTCTGGGTTTCAGGCTACTGGCTTCTGTCTTCATTTCACAGCTCACCATGCCCTGCATCCTCCTACCTCCAAGGACAGTGGCTTGAGTTAGAACAATGGAAGAGATTGGCTGATTGGCTGGTTGGATGGAGGATGGATAGGCAGGAATTAGATAATCAGTCAAAGACGATTGCCTGGGTGCAGAGGCCCCTATGATTTATCATGGAGTTAAAGCTGGAAATAGTGTCTTCATTGCCCCCACTCCAGAAATTTCTCCTTCCTTTGTAAATTCTCAGTGACAGAGTATTCATAACTGCCTCATTAACTTAGCCTTGACTGCCCAAGGAATTCTTAGGCCTTAGTTAGCTAGCATTGATGAAGACTCTTAGAAAGGACAGCTCTTTACCTTGGTAATAATGAACATGCATGGAGCATTGGTATAAAACATGGAGCTAGACATGGTCTTTAATAAAATCTACCACTACTTAAGACTGTTCTCAATTTCCTGTTTCTTTTCATTTAGACAAACGTGGAATATAGTTCTGCATTAAGAAGAGGAAAATTCACTGAAACTCCAGCAGCAGGGATTAAAGCATAGTAGAATAGGAAGAGCTGATGTGCATAAACTGTGGTTTGCACATAATTGGTACCCTACAAATGTTGAATAGATGAATGAATAAATGTAATTCAGAGGAGGTAATCAAGAAAACACAACACACACACACACACTTTTGTGTATATTTTAAATGTACTGGTGCTGCTGGGCAGATGAATGAAATATATGCCTGGTCCCTTAGACCAGCTGCATCTGGAAAACCAGGGTTCTTGATAAACACATGGATCCCCAAGCCCAAAGCCAGACTAAAAGAAAAATCAGTATCTAGGTGGTGGGGTAAGACCCACAGACTTATATTTTCTACCAAGCATCTCAGGAAATTCTGAGGAACAACCAGGTCTGGGAATTGTTGGGTTAGATGTCCTGGGTGCCATGTTAGAGTAGCCTAGTGACATTTAGACCACTAGTTGATGCTGATATTGCTGCAAAAGCACTGGTGTAGGGAGCAGAAGATGTTGGTTCACACCTGGCAGCCAACTGTGTGTTCTTAGGTGAGGCATTCACCCTGTCTGGCCTGGGTATTAGTGGGGGAATTTAAATGGGTGCAAGAGCACATTGGAGATGTCCTTGAGATGAAGAGGACCTTCCTCCTGGCCCCTCAGCCTCCTCTACCTATATGGGGATGAAGTTCAAGAAGCAAAAGGCACCTGGATACAGGTCCAGCAAATGCATCACATACCAAGCCTCCTGAAAGAGTGGAAGGACCCAGACCCCGATCCCAGTTCCCTGCCCCTCTGATAGTCACCTAGGTCTCCCGGAAATGGCACCGAGGCGAAGCTCTAAATCACGTGCAGAATATAGTCGTTCTGTTTGCCTTTTTCCGCAGTAGATCCGATGATTTAAATTAGGTCTCGATTCTTGTTTAAATTATAGTTTACTGTTCTGCACCCTGCTCAGAAGTGAATTACCTTAAGCAGCGGTATTAATAACATGGTTATAATTAAGCCTCATTACTGCAGGCAGTTTGCTGAAACAAATTGCTTCTTCATTATTATTATAGCACCTTTGGTAAAAAGACATTTCCCCAGAATGCGACCTTGATGCTTTATATAGTAAAAGCCAAGATATGATAGAGATGTAAGGATGAATTAGCATCTTTTGCCTTCTCTATCCGGCTCATTAGAAGGAAAAGAACGCAAGTCAAATCCAAACAGCCTTGATGGCAATTTTAATCTGTATGAAATGGATAATGAATAGTTTTGAACTTTCTGCGACATTTTTGTAATGGTGTTTTATTTATATGATGCTACTATTAAAATGAATAAATAAAGAAATACAAACCGAAGAGCAGAGACAAGAAAAGCCAGGGAGGTCTCACCAGACAGCCAATGGCATTGAACTTGAGCTTGTTATTATCAATTGGTTTGAGAGTTTCTGGCCCAGAGCCTGTTACACTCGGGGAGAGAAAAGGAGAGGACGGTCTATTTATTCTAATTCTGCTGCCTTACTCTGGCCTCAAGGCCTGGGAAAGAAAGGGGCCTGGAAGGAACGACCTAGAAAGTTTGCAAACCAAGTTTGAAACGCATGCAAACTTCTGAGAATGTGTGCAGCCCTAGGTAATGTTTAATGCCCTCCGGGGCTCTGAGGTTTTGGTGGTGCAGATCCCGCCCACTCCTCACTCAAATGTGTACCAAGGAGAGAAGCACATCTTTGCAGGCTATAGGACTTGGCTGGGTCATTTCCTGTTTTGCTTATTAATTACTCTTTCTGGTGATAATTAGGACTCTGAAAACTAATTTTGTTTGGTGATTTACTCTCTTTTTTGTAATTAGATGTGGTGATTAGAATGTGCTTCGTACCATATCAGAGTTTTCTTAGAAAGAGGCAAGCAGAGGCTTAGCGGACAGGAATTAGCGCACAGGAAGAGCGGCCGCCTCCCATAGGATGAGTAGCAGCCGCCATGATGGGCCAAGACCCCCACAGCCCCCAAGCTCCACAGGCTCCATCTGAGCTTCCTGCCTCCTCCTTTCTCTACTGCCCGAGATCCTGACAGGGTCTAATCCATCTCTCCTGACTTTATCTCCAGCTAGAGACTTTCTAGCCCTTGTGGTCGGTGGGGCCATAAAGACACTCTTTATTGGCATGCTATGTTTCTGTCACCCAGGCTGCCCCCAACAGAATAAGCAGCATAATCAGCGGAATAAATTCTCTCCTCTCCCTCTGGCTCTCTCCCTCCTCCACCTCTCTCTCTCTCTCTCTCTCTGTCTCTCTCTCTCTCTCTCTCTCTCTCTGTCTCTCTCTCTCTGTCTCTGTCTCTCTCTCTCTGTCTCTTCTCTCTCTCTCTCTCTCTCTCTCTCTCTCTCTCTCTCTCTCTCTCATACCCCAGGGAAGAGAGTGGCCCTCACAAACCAACTGCCCATCCAGAGCCCTGAAACCAACCTCTGGGTGACAGGGGTCCTCCCAAAGAGCAGGGGAGCCGCAGATGCCCTGTCGCACCCGAGACTGTAAAATGCAGTTGATAAGAATGTGGACTTCTGGAGTCAGAAAGACCTGGGTCCAGAGCCCAGCTCCACCAGTTCCTCGCTGTGTGATCTTAGGCAAGTGACCTAAGCATTCTGAGCCTCACATTCTTATCATTCCTAACTCACCAAGGCGTCCTAAGAATGAAACAGGAAAATATATCAAAAAATGCTTACCAGACTGCCTGGCACATTGTAAATGCTCCATAAGTGGAAGCTATTATTACCCTCCCTCCTGCATGTTTTTACTTCTTTCTCTGGGGAGGGAAGCGGCTCTTCTGCTATGCACCACAAGGCAATAACTCAGCCTTCAGGAGGCCTGGGGAAAGGTCAGTGGGCCAGTCGGGGGACTCTCTTTATCACACAAAAAGCTCCCAAGAATAGCTGGGCCCATTTGGAACAGGCCTCCAGGCCTCCAAGCCTATATCCATCTGTGGCAGGGCTGCTGAGCTCAGCCTGGCAAATGAATAATGATAGCTAAAGAAAAGGGACACGCAACTCTTCACAGCTTCTTTACTACCTTGCCTTTCCTGGAAGTACCTCTGTGGTTCATTATCACTCACCTCAAGCAAGGGCTTCTGGTTCATTTATTCACCATCCACAGGGCACTCGCTATAAGCCTGGCACTGAGCTGGGCACAGTAGACAGCACCAAATGATTTTTACACAGTCACTGACCTCGATCCACTTACAACAACTTCAAAGAGGTGGGCCTATCTCCAGTTAGAGTCAAATCAGGAGGTGCAAGAAGCCAAAAATTCTCACCTGAGATCAGTGATGGCTTTTCAGAGGCACTTGAAACATAGGTTAAATGCCCATGGGCAAAAAAGAGAAGATAATCACATACAGACAAGGCCATGCCAGCAAAGGACAGTGCCTGGCATGCTCAAGTAAGGGAGAATTCAATAAGGCATTCTTATTTGTGGAAAAGAGCACCATGCTGTGTGCTATGGAGAAAGAAGAAGGGATCGCAATGAATTCTCCCTTACCTGAACATGCCAGGCACTGTCCTTTGCTGGCAAGGCCTTGTCTGTATCTGATTATCTTCTCTTGTGCAGAGCCCAAGGCATGCAGAGGGATGTTACAGAATCTGAGACTTTAAAGGTAGGTTGAGGCCAATTCTGAGATGACCAGAGAAGGCCATGCCAAAGAGTTTAAACTTATCCTTTAGGCCTTTGAGAGTTGTTGAAAGATTTAGGGGAAGGTGAATGGCTCCGCTTGTATTTTTTGAAGCTTACCCCGACAGCAGTGAGGGCAGAAGCAGAGAGTCCAGACTGCAAGCCCGTGCGCGGGCCCAGTCACCTCAGCGGGAGGTCCTGAGGGCCTGAGCGAAGGCAGGAGCAGGCCCTATATTGGAGCTCCAGTGGATGTTGGGACTGGCTGTTCCATTCTCCCTGTGATGTTTCTAGCTCAGCCTGTACCCCAGGATGATCTAATGGAGACGCTGCCATCTGCCAGCCTTGGTATTTTCACCTAAGACTCAAGAGACAGCCCGGCACCTTCCATCCACTCCTCACTTTGCTTCCTCTTATCTGGACCTGCTTCAGGTCCTTCACCCTCTCTGACCTACCCACAGTCAGACCTTTGAGTGAATGCAGCCCCGCATCTGGAAACAGCCTGGGTGCTGTTTGGGTTCTGATGCCCTTCTCAGTGCCATCTCTCTGACAGCTGAGCATTGGAACCACGACCTCAGAGGGTCCCCCCTGCCGCTCTCTTCCACCCTTCCCCATCATTGCCACAGCTCTGACCCCCCAGCGCTCCTGCTAGCAGGGCACTTAGACTTTGGAGCCATGGTGGCATGTTGCTACTGCAGGGGCCTGAGTGGCATTTGCAGCAAAAAGCCACGAAGGCAAGAGCTGAACTTTCACAGCCCTTCAGTCTCTTGTCATTTCCCTACCCGGCAAAGAATTGTGAGTCCAGTTGAATGATGGCGAGTGTGCAATTAGAGCAAAGGTTACTGCAGAGAAGAAGCTTTGCCATTGTTAAGTGAAGAGACAGGCCAGCCAGGGCCTCCAGGAACCTTTTCCTTGGGAGCTTAACCCCTAATTGACCAAGTTGCTTAAAAGCCTGAAATTTATTCCTCGTAGGCCTTAAGAATTATCTTGCAAGGGAAGAACTAAGCCCAGCAACTTCCCTGACCTCATGCCTTACCAGATCCCTGGGAGCCAGGCGCAGTCCAAACCAAGGGAGAGGGAACCAAGCAGAGGAGAGAAACAGAGAGGTAAAAGGACAACCAGCTTGGTTTATCTTGTGGGTAGTTATCTGATTTTCAGGAATCCTCAGCCCCGCATTTCTTATTTGTGGAAAAGAGCATCATGCTGTGTGCTACGGAGAAAGAAGAAGGGATCACAGTGAATTGAGCCATCCAGTTGGCTGCCTGTAGGCAGCTCTGGGCCATGGTAGGGACAAGGAGGAAGCCAGAGCAATGACAGCAACTCCACTTTTCCCAAGATAGCCTTGGTTGCATGTAATGGTGATATTAAATATTAGTGAAATGTCATTTAATGCGCATCTCCTTGCATCGGAATAGAGAGACTTTGTGTTATAATGCATTACTCCACTTAACACACTTTTCTTGTATTCGTTATAACTACGTGACCCCCTAGACTCTGGCCTAGTAAAGATCAAAAACTGTATCATATTTATCTTTGATTCTCAGCATCTAGCATAGTGCTAATAGATATGGTAGGCTCCTAGTTAATATTTATTGAATCAATTAGTAAATAGAAAGGAAAGATAAAGAAAATAGATGAACTTTTTTTTCATATATTCTGTACCAGATAGTAGCATAGGCAGTTATTACTCATGAGTCTTATACTAATTCTGTTAAGTAGATGGCATCATCTTGTTACTCTCAGGAAGAAATTAAGCTCCAAGAAGTTTAAGACATTTGCCCATATCATACGGGTATTTGAACCAGTATCCATTTGGCCCCGAAGTCCGTTTTTGAATTGTCTGTTCAAGACAGGAATTATAATGTGAATGTTTTCCTGGCTCCTGAGTATTAGTTCCTGCTTCTTTTAGTAACAATACCCCAAATTTCCTTTCCGGAGACAGCTTTCCCTGCTCTCAGTTCTAGTCCTTCAAATGCCATTGACTCGGTTCCCAGCTTCAGGGGGGTCTTGCGACTTGGTAAACCTCTGAAACATGTGAAGTCCAAGCCCAGAGCTTTGTTCAGGGATAGTCACCTAGTCCAGGCAAAGCCAAGAAAATACAATCAACCCTTTGCAAGAGAACTAGTGAGAGAGGGACTATTTGTTGATACTCAGTACTGTCCCCACCATTGTCAGCTCTTTCCTGGTATACAGGGCAGACAGCCAGTAAATTATCTTTCCCAGATGCCCTTGACAGCCTGGTCCCTGTAAGGGTCCACCAAGGAGATGCACTTGTTCAAGATGTAAAAGATGGAAGAGAAGAATAAGCCATTTTTTTTCTCCAGCCACATGAAGATTTGCAGGCTTCCAGGCATTCTCCTGTGAATCACTCACTCAGGCACTACAGGCACCTGAGATCACTAGTGACAGCCTCACTGAGATTCCTGCATCCAGATTCCTGGAGGTTAGCAGCTGCCTTTTTGGTCTTTGCTCCTCCAGCCCTTCCAATGGTTGTGTAAGTTTAACTTCTTGTATTGAATTCATTCATCTTCCGGATACCTAAAGTGGCTTTTGGTCTCCTCACCAAACCTTGATGATATGTTTAGGAGTTATCTTCTGCTATCACCAGGACTGCTAGCATTAGGGAAAACCTTATGGTGGTCCTGCTGAGAGGCATCCTGAGGAGTCTGAGAATGAGCTCTGGAAGGCAGAGCTGAGGGATGGAAAAGGACTGAGACTTGACACCATTTGAGCTCCTGAATCTAGCTTTGCTTAAAGCCAGTGCCAGCCCGGGGCTTCTCAGCTCCTGATCCTAACTGGATTCCCTTTGCAATTGCTTCAGCCCATTTTCTCTTGCATTTGGCCATGGGTATCTACAGCTGAAGACTCTGACTGAATCATCCTTCAGCCTTCTGCTTTCTGGCAGATCCTTAAGGCTTCTTCTGTAGATGTTGGTTCCAGCTTAGAATCATCTCTCAGGCCCCTCCCTAGACCTGCAGACCACCAAAGCTTCTCCAAATTCCAAAGACCCAAGAGCAATGGTTCTTTTATTAGAACTCTGCAGGCCTGAAGTCCCACCTCCTCAGCCCTCCTTTTTCCTAATTGAGATTTCTTCCTGTTTAGATCAGATTAGAACAAAAAGAATTTATGCCTGTGTATCATGATTTCAAAAGCAGGAAAAATTGTCTCTTTTCCTCCCTGCTATTCACGAAAGAAAACAAAATTATTTCCTCTTTCCCAACTTAGTACCTGCCATTGCCCATTTTCACCTATCCCCATAGGTGACATTTTAAGATTCTATGATTAGGTATCCATAGTTTTGTGCATTAACGTAGGACCTCTGGCCACCATTAAAATGCAAATCCCTTGGCAGAGCCAACACAATAATGTTTAGTAATCAGCACCTCTAATGCAAAGAAGAGGATTTCTAGACTCAAATAATGAAAGTTTGACTTTTACCTAGTGGCCTCAGGCTAATTTCTTTGAGCCTCAGTTTCTTCACTGGAAAAATGGGAACAACAGATCTCCCCTCACAGGGTCTTTGTGAGGTTAAGATAGCACCTTTGCACATCGTGAGGTTCTGTTGCTGTGATTGCCATCGGAGGTGAGTGAATCATTGTGGCATTGATTGAGAGCTTACTATGTGCTAGGTACGTACCATTAGCTCCAAGTAGGGCTATAATTGTCTGTGATGGGATTCAAGACACACTACCTCACAATATAGCACCTTGGCATTTGAGAAAACAGCAGAAGCAGGAATATCACTCTCAAACACCCCCTTCCCCTGCCACTGCCTTTCTTCCTTGAAGCAGGCCATAAAACCTAGAAATAATTTTCTGACCTTCCCTTGAAGTAGGCCATAAAACCCTCATGTGAGAGGTGCCCTCTCTGTACCCAAAGAAAAGGAAGATCCTTAACTCTGATGACACAGAGACCATTAAAATGCAAAGAACACAGAGAAGAATTTGAACACACAGGCCTTGCTAAGTTCCGATTTATTACCCTCAGCTCATACCACCTTTGTCTAGTCCTACTTCTCCACAACGATCTACTTCTTCATCAAACTTAGCATAAAAATACACAGGTTTCTTTATTTCCTTTAGTCTTCATTTCTGAAGGCTCCTATGTCATGTAAAACTTACATTAAACAAATTTGTATGCCTTTCATGTATTAATCTGTCTTTTGTTATAGGAACCTTAGCCATGAACCTGAAATAGAGAGAAAAGTTCTTCCTTTCCCCTACATCTGCCTACTACAAATATGGAAACTGCAACATGGAGAGGTAGAGCTACTTTACCAAATAGGAGCGGGAGACGGTATTTGAACCCAAGCAGTCTGAAACTGAAAACCCACACTCCTAATCTTTACTTCATAGGGTGTCCTGGTCAAATATTTTACTGAAACACTTTGCATATTTTAGAATATGAAAAACAGGTGGTCCCTGGGAAGCAGGAAAGGGTGCTTGGTTGGGGAGAGAAGGTGCTGGGAGGTGTGGGACAGGAAGATGAGCTATCCCAGGCTTACCTCCTGGCTCTGCTTGGCCCAGCCCAGTGGGCTCTTATATTCTTTCTTTTCCCAATTGAATTAAGTGAAGGTTTATTGAGCAAAAACTGCCCTCAATTTTTGGAGAGACACAAATATATAGTCATATAAAGTAAAAGAAAGGTTAATAAGAAGAATTATTTTTTGGAAAAAGAAACTATGCCTACCACATATGTTCAATAGCTGCTAATTCATTTTTCGTGTGTGTGTGTGTGTGTGTGTTTGTGTGTGTGTGAAATCATGAAATATCTCATAGAAAAAATAAAGTATGTATTATATATGGACAATCCCCTGCAGTTTTGACGTGCTTCTGAGGGGCAGCCTTCAGAATAGACAGGGATGCGTGGGAAAAAGAAAGCCAGATTGCTGTTAGCTGTGGGGACAGGCAGGCCAGCCTTCCTGACCCGCCCCGGCCCAGCTTTCTCAGGAAAGGGCAGGTGCCAGCCCAGGAGGTTTAAGGGAAGCTGCCTCCTTCCGTTCATTTCTGGGCTAGTAATAATTTCCGGCCTCTTTATTTGCATCCATAATTGACAGCTCCTTAGCAGCTCATTAGGAAAGTAGGGCTCTTTGTGACCAACAAAAGAGGGGAACACATCCCTGGGGGTGGGGGCGTCCTTGAGAAACTGTTTGAAACTCTGAGAAAGACAGCAGATAGATTCTTAGGGACCAAAAGCACCAAGGAGCTTAGTAATCATCCCTGGCTGTGAGCTACAGATTTTCAGCACTCTGCAGTGAGCCTAGAACCTGTGCCTGTGCCTGTGTCTGTGCTGGAGTCAGGGAAAGCAGGGACAGTGGGCTGGAAATTCTGGGGCTCTGTAGGCCTGCACACTAAAGGAAGTCAGCTAGTGATCTCTCCCCCGTCTCCTTTGGGCCCAGTTTGGGCTTTCGGGTCCCCATGGCATGGAAAGCAGTGCCTGACCCCTTATACTCTCCGAAACCCCTTACTGGGGAGGCACTGATGGGAGGAGAAAACCACACATTTATTCTATAAACGTTTATTGGTCACCAAGTATTTAACAGCCACACCTCATGCACTAGGTTGTCTTACTCTCACAATAGATTTATGACACAATAACCCTTTACATTGATTTTACAAAAAAGGAAATCATAGCACAAAAAGGTTTACTAACATACTGAAAGTCACATAAGCTCTGAAGCCAGATCTTATCAGCCCAGTAACCTTTTCCCCACAGAAGCACAATGAACAAGCCAGGAGTAGGGTGCTACATGGACAATAAATTCTATGGAAATTCAAGGGAGGTAGAGGCCACTCTGAACTAGGGAAGCCAGGGTAGGCTTTCTAGAGGAGACGGGCCTTGAGTTAGAGCTCAAAGAATGAGTAGAATTCAGAAAGACAGATGGAGGGAAATAGACATGGGATGAGGGTTGGGGGCAAAGGGTGAGTCAAGCAGTGTTTCCCCAGGAGGAAGGCTCTGCATACCCTGGAAGCCAGTAAAGGCTGGAGCACCTGCATCAGAGATTGTGAATGAGTGACAGCAGAAAGCAAAGCTCCGATGTGTGCTGTGACCTGAGCCTAGGGAACAGAATTGCCGGGTTAAGAACTGAGGACCACAGCTTCTGGGAGCTGGGAGCCATAAAAGATGCTCAGGAAAAAATATGGTGCTTCAGAAATATGATTCCTTACAAGACGGGGATCTTATTCACTTGGGGTCTAGGCAACCTAACCAGGGTTGGCGCTAGCTCTGAGCTTCAGGAAAGGGACTAGATCCTCTGGGCAGCTTCAACCAATTATGTTCTTTCTCAAACCCCTGCAAGCTTTAGTCTCCTTTGCCTGACGGTGCCCCCTCCAGCTGCCACCTCCTCCTCCAACCCCTCCATTCAAGTGTGCAATGCTCAGCACTGTGCCCCGACATCCCTACCCCATGCCAGGGCCTGGCTTTATACACAACATTCCCTCACAGAATGTGCTCCCCTGCCTGCCCCTGCAGAAAACATGTCACCCATTCCCCTCCCAACAGACATCCTCCCTTCCCTAAGGATATCCTCTTGAAACCCTGGGTATCACCACCTCCTAAAGTTGGAACTTTCTCTGTTCCCCCACTAGAATTTGTGTGTGGTTCTATCACATTTCCCGACATAATTATTGGTATAAATTATTCCATCATTTTTCATGGATGTCTTCTCTCGCCAAGTAGATTATCAGCCCGGCACGAGCAGGGTCCGATAGCTCTCTTCCCTGCCAACCCTCTCCTGACAACCCCATCCATGGGCATCTTCCTCAGCCCTCACTGCTCATTTGGACACTAAGCTAGCTGTCATGCATATCTGTTTCCCATTCATTCCTTCACTCATTCACTCACTTATTCTGTGGGGGTAGCAATGATTACAGAGGACCTAGACCTGCATCTCACTATCTTGAGCAAGTCATACCAGACTGCAGTTGCCTCATGTGTAGGATATAGACAAGAGGGACAAATCTGGCAGGAAATGTTACAGATATTAAGTAAGCTAAGGTTTATGTATGTGTGTACAGTCCCAGGTACCAAAGCCAATTGATAAGCATCCAGTGATTAAATTAGTGAATTTCCCTAACCAACATTCTCTGAGAATCCACACAGCCCCTATGGTCTAAAGGGCAGCAGAAAACTTATAAGCCCTGGTACTTACCACAACCCACCCTCTTTTCATCTCTTTGCCATCCCATTCCCTTTTCCACCTGCTGGACCTAGCACACTTGTGTACAGAACAAGGTTCAATGAACATCTTTCACCTTCGTGGAAGTGAGTTTGCATTCTCAGAACAGCTCAGGGCACTCATTCCATGTTAACATTGGTGGCGGCAGGAGAGGCACCAGAAGTCCTGACCCAGTTCTCCTTCTCAATGGTCATTTCCACTCACTGACTGATCTGTAGTCACAGGACAGGAGGTGGCTGCAGAAAGGCAGTGATGGGCCATCTTGGCTGGACCCTTGCTGTCACTGTCAGCCTTTCTGGCCTGGAGCCAGTAGGAGCAGCTCTTCCCCTTCTGTGGGGTTGTGGCATTGGTGCTCAGGCTCTCACCAAACATCTCACATGTCAGATGGCCTTACTATCAGCCCTGAGCTCCTTCTCCTGGGGTCTACAAAAGTTCTGAGCTCAGGCCTGCCTCCCTCCCTCCTCCATGAAGCTGTTTGTACCCAAAGCCATTTGGAGGACTTGGTCAGATGACTGGTGTCAGGAGCCCAACCCAACAATCTGAAATTAATATTGGTTTTGCAAAGAGGAAAGCAGAGAACTGGGATGCCAGTTCTAAGCTCCAGGCCTTGTTCTGCTGATAACTAGCTGAGCAACTGTGGACAAGTTAATTTTCTTACCAAGATTCCTTCTTCTCTGCAAGCTGCAAGGCTGTACTGACTGCCCTCTGAGCTGTCTTCCAAGTTCAAAGGTGAGTGGTGCTGGTGTACTAGGAATATCAGGGCATTTGTTTGATCAGCTTCAGCCAGAAAGTCCTTCTAAACCAGAACACTTCCTCCTAAAAATTAAATTCACTTTTTTTCTGTTAATCTCTAGGTTAAAGCAAACTGTAATTGTATTTATCTCTTATTCTAGTGTTTTTGGCAAGAATGAAAGTAGGGAGCTTGAACTGGACCAGAAAAGAAAGAGAAGGGAGCTTAACATACCTGGCTTCTTTCATCTTTTAGGACACAGACTAAACGTCACCTCTGCAGAAAGACCTTTCCTGACCATTCAATCCAAACTGGGTCTCCTCAGCACCACCAGATACACCCATTATTCTCTATGACTGCATCATTCATACTCTATTTATTTCATCTGTAGCAATAAGCACTACCTGTAATTTATTAGTTATTTATTTGCTTAATATTTGATTTCATATTGGTTTTCTATTGTTGCTATAACAAATTACCATAAACTTAGTAGTTTAAAACAACATAAATTTATTACCTTAGGGTCTTGAAGATCAGAAGTCTGAAACCAATTTTGTTGTGCTAAAATCAAGGCGTGTAATCCTTCTGGGAGTGCTAGGGAAGATTTATTTCCTTGCCTTTTCCACGTTTTAGAGGCTGTCTGCATTCCTTGTCTCATGGTCCCATCCTCTATCTTCAAGCCAACAGTATAGCATCTTTAAACTCCCCCGCTCTCTGACTCTGCCCTTTGCTTCCATTGTTGCATCACCTCTACCTCTGCTTCCTGCCTCCCTCTTATAAGTACCCTTGTGATTACACTGGGTCCACCTGGACAATCCAGAAATGTCACCATCTCACGATCTTCAATTGCATCTATAAAGTTCCTTTTGCCATGTGAGGTAGTAAATTAATAGTTTCTGGGGATTAGGACGTGGACGTCTATTCAGACTTCACTACAAAATAAGCTGCAGGAGATTATAATAATTTATCTATCTTATTTATTATGGAATTCTCAGTGCATAAACACTATAAAAGAACAAAAGAATGAAGAAAGAAGAGAGCAAAATCCATTTGGTAAAGAAGAAAATAATGGTTCTTGCCTCTGTCATTAACTAAGGCAAACAGAGCAGATCAGTTTAAGTTTCTTTGCTTTCCTTATCCCCCAAACAAGATGCCATTATGCCATAGAAAATATGGTCCTGGCAATGGAGTGTGACAGAGAAAGAGAATTCTGGGAGGGAGGAAGCCAACTTGCAGCACTGCAGAATAAACCCTGAGCATCCTCAGAGGACCAGCCCAACACACTCCCCTACTGTAACCTGAGAAGATGCCTAATGCCCAGCTCTGCCCCTCCTGAAGGCCCAACTGCTGGTGGCATCTCAAAGGATAAAGTAGGACCTCCTCTTCTAGCCAAGATGAAGTAACAAGGAATAGATATAAAAATATCCAATAGTCAACAGAAAAAATTCTTAACCTGGAATCCAATAAAACTTTGAATGCAAAAGATCAGGAAAATACAACCCATAAGGAGGAGCAAAAGCAATCCATTAGAATCAACTCAGAACTAACACGGATATTAGAATTAGCACACAATAATATTAAGCCAGTTATTATCACTGTATTTCATATCTTGAAAAACTAAACAGAGATGTAGAAGTTACCCAAAAAAAAAGATTTAAATTGAACTAGTATAGATAAAAATTTCCGTATGTACAATGAAAAATACACAAAATATGATTGAGGGAAGATTAGACATTGCAGAAGAGAAGATTAGTGAACTTGAAGCCATAGCAATAAAAACAAACCAAAATGAAACACAGAAAGAAAAGATAACTGTTTTAACGTATAGAGCATCAGTAAGCTGTGGGACAACTTCAAATACCCTAATATATGTGTAATTGGTGTCTCTGGGAAAAGAGACAGAAAAACATATTTGAATAATGGATAACAATTTTCCAAATTTGATGAAAACTATACATTGACAGATCCAAGAAGCTCAATGAACCCCAAGCGTAAGAAACATTTTTTGTGACAGCAAGTCACATCAAAATCAAACTGCTCAAAATCAGTGACAAAGAGAAAAATCAATAGCAGCCAGAAAAAAAAAAGTTATTTTATGTACAAAGGAGCAAAGATAAGGATGACAGTAGATTTCTCTCTAGAAACAAGGCAAGTGAGAAGACTGAAGCAACATCATTAAAGTACTGAAAGAAAAAATGTTCAACCCAGATTCTGTACCTAGCAAAAATATCTTTCAAAAGCAAAGGCAATATAAAGACTTATTAGACATAAAGAAGCAAAAATAATTTGTGAGTAACAGATTCACACTACAAGAAATATGCAAGGACAGTCTTTAGGTGGAAGAAAACTGATATCAGAAGAAAATATGGATCTGCACAAAGAAATGAAAACCATCAGAAACAATGACTATGCAGGTAGATATGTATTTTTCTTATTGTTTAAATATCTTTATACAATAATTGACTAAACAAAAATAATAGTGATCAAGCATAGGATTTATAACATAGGTAAAATGTGTGACGATCATGGTACAAAAAGTAGATGGACAAAGTGGAAGTATACAGTTGTTAGGTTCTTATACTGTATTTTAAATGGCGTAATGGCCTTTAAAAGTAACCTGTGGTGAGGTAAGCATATTAGAAATCCTAAAGTAACCAATAAAAAATAAAATAGCCTGGAGCAGTGGCTCATGCCTGTAATCCTAGCACTTTGGGAGGCCAAGGCGGGTGGATTGCCTGAGCTCAGGAGCTCGAGACCAGCCTGGGCAACACGGTTAAACCTCATCTCTACTAAAATACAAAAAATTAGCCGGGCATGTCAGCATGCACCAAGTAGTCCCAGCTACTCGGGAGGCTGAGGCAGGAGAATTGCTTGAACCCGGGTGGCAGAGGTTGCAGTGAGCTGAGATTGCACCACTGCACTCCAGCCTGGGTGAGAGAGTCTCAAAAATAAATAAATAAATAAAGGTTTCTCTGATAAGATAAGATGATAAAATTGAATTACAAAAATATACTCAATAAAATAGACTGGAAAAAATAAACAGAGCCTTAGAGGCTTCTGAAACTATAACAACAGATCTGATATTTGTATTATCAGAGTCTCAAAAGTAGAGGAGGGAAGGGTGAAAAAACACTCCGAGAAATAATGACTAAAAACTTTTCAAATTTGTCAGCAGACATAAACCTATAGACTCAAGAAGCTGAAAAAATCAAAAAAACAAAACAAAACAAAACAAAAAAACAAAGAAATTCATGCCAAGACATACCATAATTAAACTTCTGAAAAGTAAAGACAAAGGAAAATTATTGAAAGCAGTCAAAGGAAATGTCACCTTACCTATGGTGGAGAAATAATTCAAATTATAGCAAGGTTTTTGTGTTTGTTTGTTTTGTTTTGTTTTTTATCAGAAACCATGCAGGCCAGATGGAAATGGCACAATATATTTCAAGTGCTGAGTGAAATATGTTTTCACCATCCTCCAAATCCTATTGCCCAGCAATATATACCCTGTATCTGGCAAAACCATCTTTCAGGCTTGAAAAGGAAATAAAGGTATTTTAAGAAAAAATAAAACTAAGAAAATTTCGGGTTTTTTTGTTTGTTTGTTTGTTTGTTTGTTTGCTTTTTGAGACAGAGTTTCACTGTTATTGCCCAGGCTGGAGTGCAATGGCTCGATCTCACCACACTGCAACCTCCACCTCCCGGGTTCAAGCGATTCTCCTGCCTCGGCCTCTGGAGTAGCTGGGACTACAGGCATGTGCCATCAAACCCAGATAATTTTGTATTTTTAGTAGCGACAGGGTTTCTCCATGATGGTCTGGCTGGTCTTGAACGCCCGACCTCAGGTGATCTGCCTGTCTCAGCCTTCCAAATTGCTGGGATTACAGGTGTAAGTCACTGTGCTCAGCCAGCAGACCTAACCTAAAACAGCGACTAAGGAAGCCCTCTAAACAGAAAAGAAATGATAAAACGAAGGAACCTTGGAATATCAGGAAATAAAAAAGGAACTCAGTAAGCAAAAATATAGATTAATTCAATGGGCTTTCCTTCTCTTGTGTTCTAAATTACATTTAACAGTTGAAGCAAAAATTATTATATTGCTTGATGTTCTGAATAAATGTAGGAGAACTATATGAGGTAATTATTTTACAAATAGGGAAAGATGAACAAGTGTAAAGGGAGTTACGTTTTCTATACTTCACTGAAACTGGTAGCATAATGATACAGAACAGGGGAAGGGAAGTGCTGGGAAGGGAAGGGCATGATCCTCTTCAATGATACAGAAGCGGGGAAGGGAAGTGCTGGGTAGAGGAAGGCGTGGTCCCTGGCTAGGGCTCCACCTCCTGGCCTGTGCCCATGGACCTAAGTGAGGACAGGCATTTTTGTTTTCCTGCCCAAATGGTGCATTTCCACCCTGGCCTGCCACGCCCCCATCCGGTGCCTACAAAAACCCCAAGACCCTAGCAGGCAGACACGCAGGTGGCTGGACGTTGAGAGAAGCAAATCAGCGCAGGAACACACAGGCGGCTGGACATCGAGAGGAACACACCGACGGCTGGACATCGAGAGGAACACACCGACAGGCACTGGCACTCCAGCAGGCCTCCAACCTGCAGAACGAAGCGGAGTTTGGCTGGGGCAGTAGGAGGAGAGCCCGGGCTGCTGAGCAGCCTGACTCCAGGGGAAAACCAGCTCCCTTCTGGCTTCCTCCATCTGCTGAGAGCTACTTCCACTCAATAAAACCTTGCACTCATTCTCCAAGCCCACGTGTGTTCTAATTCTTCTGGTAGACCAAGGCAATAACCCTGGGATACAGAAAGCCCTCTGTCCTTTCAATAAGGCAGGAGTCTAAATGAGCTGACTAACACAAGCTGCCTACAGACAACAAAGCTAAAAGAGCACCCTGTAACATACACCCACTAGGGCTTCAGCTGTCAACATTCACCCCTAGACACTGCCGCGGGGTTGGAGCCCCACAGCCTGCCCATCTGTATCCTCCCCTAGAGGTTTGAGCATCGGGACACTGAAGGGGTGAGCCACTCTCCCATGGCACACCCTGTGAGGCGACAAGGGAATTTTTCCCGTTTCAATTCCGGGCTAGTCCAGGAGCCTTTTTGCCCCTTTAACTGTTTTCAATCTTCTTTTTTTTTTTTTTTCTTTTTTCATTTTCTAAGTGAGAGGGCTCCCCCTCCCAGCTCTGTTTCTGATAGAGAAGTTAAGAGAGGAACAACCCCTGCTGGCTGAGAACTGCAAATTCAGCAGGGCACATTTGAGACACTCTAAACAGATACAAACGGCCTCTAAAATATCTTTTCAGCCCCAAACTCGATTCTAAGCTTCAGGCTGAGGCCCTAGAAAGAAAAATCGGGTCTGAGGGATCCAAAGCCATGCAACAGGCACAATGTCAATGGGCAGGACCGATTCCTGCCGACTGGACCCCACCTCACGGAAGGAGCGTGCTTCATGGCATAAACAGGCCCGGGGGACCTGAGGGCGGTTAACTCCTATTCTCCGGGATTTCCCTGCTTCATGGGTACATACCACATCAGTACCCAGGTCTGGCACCTGGCAAGGTCTCCGGGACTCAGGGACAAGAGGTGGAGAGTGAAGGGAGGATGCTTACTTTCTCTCTCCATCACACCTGAATTTTTGCTGAAAGAAGGAAGGAAATGAGGGATGCCTCTTTTCCCTGTCTTTCAGAATGGATAACCAGTTCTCTTCATTCACCATTCCCAGCTATACTCCTCTGGAGTGTATCCGGAACCAGTGGGACTGCTTTGACCCTCAGAATCTGGAGGAAAAGCACCTCATAGCCCTCTGCACAAAGGTTTGGCCAAATCATGATTTACATGAAGGGCTTTCTGATTTACAGGAAGGAGGCATTCATTTTGATACCATCTGGCAGTTGGAACTTTTCTGTAGATGTGAGGATAGATGGTCTAAGGCCCCATATGTGCAGGCTTTCTATACCTTGCAAGGCAATCCAGACCTTTGCTGACAATGCAGGATTGATTTAGCCCTCCTGTTTGCCATCTCAGGGAAGGCTGCGAAGGGCAAGCCCAGGGAATTAAAGATGCAAGTCCCAAAGGCACCCCCAGCAAAGGAGCCAGCTCCTTCCAGCCCTGCTCCTCCAGGTCCACCCCGACCTCCCTATCCAGCTTCAGCCTCTCACTTGCTCCATCCTAGAAATCCTCACCCTAAACAAGCCCCAGCCTCACTCTTGCCCCTCCAACAGATGCTCAGTGAATTTGGGCCCAGTAAGGTCCAGGTCCCCTTCTCCCTATAGGACTTAAAGCAAATTAAGGGGGATCTTGGCAAGTTTTCAGATGACCCTAATATATAGAGGTTTTCCAGAATTTCACTCAAATATTTGAACTCTCCTAGAGGTGTTATGTTACTTTTGAATCAGACCCTGACAGACACAGAGAAACAGGCTGCTCGGCAAGCAGCAGAGAGATTTGGGGATGAGCTTTGCATCACATATAGCATCAGGGAAAGGGGCAAATATTATCCAACTGGAAGAGAAGCAGTACCAGTAAATGACCCTAAGTGGGATCCCAATGATGAGATAGAAGCCTGGAAAAGGAGACACTTTCAGGTGTGCATAATGGAGGGCTTACATAGGACTAAGACCAAGCCTCTCAATTATACTAAGTTGTCCATGATCGAACAAGGATCGGATGAAAATTCCACTGCTTTCCTGGAAAGGCTAAGAGAAGCCTTGGTAAAGCACACCTCTCCATCTCCTGATTCAGTTGAGGGACAACGAATCCTATAGGATAAACTTATTACTCAGGCAGCTCCTGACATCAGGAGGAAGTTGCAGAAATTGACCCTGGGACCAGATAGTACATTGGAGGACCTCCTGAAAGTGGCCACCTTGGTGTTTTATAACAGAGACAAGAGGCCCAGGAAAGAGAAAGGAAATACAGGAAAGAGGCAAAAGTTTTAATGGTCACTGAGCAAAGCCCACAAACCCCAGAATTCCCAGGGTACACCTGTTAACCGCTAAAGATATGGCAAGAAGAGTTATCTCTCTTCTAACATTTATCTGCTCCCATACAAGGTTTAATTCCTTTCACCAGGGTGAAACACCTCAGGGTACAATGTTGTTGTTACTATACTTCACTTCTTATCTCTGTAATCTTCGGCACTAAATTCTTTCCTTGTATAATACATGTTTAACCTATGCATACTTAAGCTTATAAAACTTGTTTTGTTCTCTCGCACCTAGAAGCCATCAAACTCCAAATGGCCAGGCAACCAGAGGCTCAGACAATGGCTCCTTTTTGCTAGGAACCCTTAGATAGACTTCTGAGAGGAATCTGACTGCCGTTTTCCCCAAAACAACATCCGCTGTCAGCAGGAAGCAGCTAAACCATATTCTAGCGGTAGTTAGATGTACCTCTTCAGAGGGGGGAAATGATACACAAGTGCTGGAAAGGGAACGGCATGGTCCATTTAAATGATACGGAAGTGGGGAAGGGAAGGGCGTGGTCCCTGGCTAGGGCTCCATCCCTGGGCTTGTGCCCATGGACCTAGGTGAGAACAGGCATTTTTGTTTTCCTGTCCAAATGGTGCATTTCCCAAGAACACCCTGGCCTGCCACACCCCCATCCTGTGCCTATAAAAATCCCCAACACCCTAGCAGGCAGACACACAGGTGGCTGGATGTGAAGAGGAGCACATCAGTGCAGGAACACACAAGTGGCTGGACATCAAGAGGAACACACCGGCAGAAGAAGACACAAGCGGCTGGACGTTGAGAGGATATCAAGGGGCGGTTGGAGGAGAGCCCAGGCCACTCAGTGGCCTGACCCCAGGGGAAAACCTTCCCACTCCATCCCTTTCTGGCTTCCCCCATGTGCTAAGAGCTGCCTCCACTCAATAAAACCCTGCATTCATTCTCCAAGCCCAGGTGTGATCCGATTCTTCCAGTACACCAAGGCAAGAACCCGGGATACAGAAAGCCCTATGTCCTTGCGACAAGGTAGAGGGTCTAATTGAGCTGGTTAACACAAGCTGCCTATAGACGGCAAAACTAAAAAAGCACACAGTAGCACACGCCCCCTGGGGCTTCAGGAGCTGTAAACATCCACCCCCAGACACTGCTGTAGGATCGGATTTCCACAACCTGCCCATCTGTACTCTCCCCTAAAGGTCTGAGCAGCAGGGCCCTGAAGAAGCGAGCCACACCCCCGTCTCACGCCTTGTGAGGAGGACACGGGAACTTTTTCCATTTCAATATCAGTAAGCAGTATGTTATGTATAGATGATATAATACCTAGAACAATCACTTGAAAAGCTATACAAACAGATACACTAAAAAACACTATTAATAAATAAAAGTAGAATTATCAAAAAAAGTTCAAGTAATCCAAATGAAAGCAGGAAAAGGAAAACAGGGCAAGGAAAAACAAAGAGACCAAACAGAAAATAAAAATAAAGTAGCCCACGTAAACCTTGACATATTAATAATCACATTAAATATAAATAGTATATAAGCACACAAAAGAATGGATTAAAAAACATGACCTAACTATATGCTATCTTCAAGAAACTCATTTTAAATATATTTATATGGCAATTGAAAGTAAAGGAATGAAAAATGATATATAAACAAACAAGCCATTGAAAGCAGAAGTAGCTATATTTTGTTTTCGGTATTTTTAGAGATGGGGTTTTACTCTGTCACTCAGAGTGTTAATTGTGCTACCTGAGTGTGCCACCTGCAGCCTCATACTCTTGGGTTCAAGGATCCTCCCGCCTTACCTTCCCAAGTAGCTGAGACTATAGGTGTGTCCCACCACACCTGGCTAAGAAAGGAGCTATATTAATGTTAGACCAAGTATATTTCAGAGCAAAGAATATTACCAGAGACATAAAGGGGCATTATGTAGTGATAGCAGAGTTAGTTTACTGATTAGACATATAGCAATCCTAAAAGGGTATGACCCAAACAAAACAGCTAAAAAAAAAAAAAAAAAATACATAAAGCCAAACTGCTAGTGCTGGAAGGAGAAATGGGAAAAAACACAATTATATATGAGGACTTCAACGTTCCACTGTCAGCAATTGGTAGAACAATAGCTAGAAAACCAGCAAGGATATAGGAGAACTGAACAACAACATCAAACAACAAGATCTAATTGGCATTTATAGAACACTCCACCCAACGACAGCAGAATATATATTCTTTCCATGTGTCCATAGAACATACGTGAAAATAGATCATGTCCTGGGTCACAAAAAACAACTTCAACAAATTTAAAATAATTAATGTTGCACAAACTGATCTCTGACCACAATGAAATCAAACTAGAAATCAATAACAGAAATAGAGAAATTTTTAAACAGGTATATATCAGAAATATAAATATACATATGTACATACACAGACACACACACATATATATATACTCTGCTCTGAAGTATACTTTATCTGATATTTTCTGTAGATAGATGATTGATAGATATAGACATACATGTAGATATAGATACAGGTAATCTGGTTGTGTGTGTGTGTTTGTGTGTGTTTATACACACCAGAAATATAAAAAGCACTATACACTTGGAAACAAATAAGACATTTCTAAATAATCTGTGAGTCAAAGAAGTCTCAAGTGAAATCTTTAAAAAGTCTATTAAACTGGGTAAAAATAAAAATATAAGATAAAATTTGTGAGATGCAGCTAAAGCAGTGTTGGTAGGGAAACTTACAGCACTAAATACATACATTAGAAAAGAAGAAAAGTCTCAAATTAATAATCTAAGTTTCCACCTCAAGAACCTAAAAAAGGAAGCACAAATTAAACTTAAAGAAAGCAGAGGGAAAAAAATAGTAAAGATAAGAGGAGAAATAAAGGAAATTAAAAGCAGAATAACAAAATGAGTAACTAGTTATTTGGAAAGATCAATATAAGCAACAAATTTCTACCAAGACTAACAAAGTATAAAAGACACAAATTACCTATAATAGGAATGAAACAGAGGATACCACTGCAGACTCTGAAAACATTAAAAATATAATAAGGAAATGCTGTAAACAACTCTCCACACATACATGTTATAACTTAAATAAAATGAACCAATTTCTAGGAAATTGCAGAGCACCACACTCATCTAATACAAAATAGATCTTTTGAATAGCCCCATAATTATTAATAAAATTGAACTTGTAATAAAAAGTTCTCTAAAAAAATCTTCAGGCCTAAATGGTTTCACTGGAGAATTTTGTCAAATAGAATTAACATCAATTTACACAGTCTCATTCAGAAAACAGAAAAAGAGACAACACTTTTTAATACATTTTATGCAATTACTCTGATACCAAAGCAGATCAAGATGGTACAAAAAAGAAAATTATAGACCAATATTTCCTAAGAATATAAACACAAAATTCTTTTAAAAATATTAGCAGATAAAATTCAACCACATATTAAAATAATTATGCACCATGATCAAGTGGAAATGGTTCAATAATCAGAATGGTTCAATAATCAGAATAATCAGAAATTAATCAGTATAATCTACCATATTAACAGGCTAAAGAAGAAGTCATATAATCATATTAATCAATGCAGAAAAAGCATTTGACAAAATTCATTGTCCTTTCATAATAAAAACTCTCAGAGAAATAGGAATAGAGAACTTCTTCAACTAGATAAAGAATACAAAAAAACCTACAGCTAACCAGCTACCACTATACTAAATGATGTGATACTGAATACTTTCTCCCTATACAAGGGAAGACTATCTACTCTCACTACTCTTATTTAACAAAGTGTTAGATGTTCTAGCCAGTGTAATAAGGCAAGAAAAGGAAATAAAATTCACACAATTGGAAAAGAAAGAAAGAAAACTGACCGTATTTGTAGATGACATGATTGCCTATGTATAAATCTCAAGGAATTTACAAAAAACTTCTAGAACTAATAAGTTCAGCAAGGTAGTAGTACACAAGATAAACATAAAGAAATCAAGTATATTTCTATATACTAGAAATAAACACATGGAAATCAAAATTTAAAATATCATTTACAATCACTCATGAAAAAAATTCTTAGATATAAATCTAACAAAACATGTATGGTGCTTGTATGCCAAAAGCTACACAATGTTGATGAAAGAACTCAATAAGATTTAAATACATGGGGAGACATCAGTGTTCATGGATTGGAAGACTCAACAAAGATGAGTAAAGATGTTAATTCTCCCCAAATTAATTTACAGTTTTAATGGTATAAATTGCTATCAAAATCCTAGCCATATTTTTGCAGATACTGATAAGATTATTCTAAAATTTATGTGGAAATGTAAAGAAACTAGAATAGCTAAAACAATTTTGAAAAAAAATAAAGTGGAAGGAATAAGCCTACTTGATTTTAAGATTTATATAGCTATAATAATCAAGACTGTGTAGTATTGGAAGAGAGACACAAAGATAAATGGAACAGAATAGAGAATCCAGAAATAGACCCACACAAATATGCCAAATTGATTTATGACAAAGGTGCAAAAGCAATTCAGTGGAAGAAAATTTGCCTTTTCAAAAAATTGTGTTGGAGCAATTGGACGTCCATAGACAAAAGAAAAGAAACTCAACCTAAATCTCACACCTATACAAAAAGCAACTTAAATGGATCACAGAATTAACTGAAAATGTAAAACCATAAGACATTTAGAAAAAATAGGAGAAAACCTAGAGCTAGGAAAAGAGTTCTTAGACCTGATATCAGAGCAAGATTTAAAAAGAAAAAAAATGGCAAACTTCCATGAAAATCAAAAACTTTCGCTTTGTAAAAGATCTCGTGAAAAGGTTAAGACAAGCTACAAAGTGAGAGAAAATATTTGTAAACCACATATGCAATAAAGGACTACATTTAGAATATATGAAGAACTCAAAAAACTCAATAGTAAAACAAAAATCCAATTAGAAAATGGGCAAAAGACCTAGAGAGACATTTCACCAATGATGATATACAGACAGAAATTAAACACATGTAAAGATAATCATCATTAACCTTTAGGGAAATGCAAATTAAAACTACAGTGAAATTTCACTACATATCCATCAAAATGGATACGATTTTTAAAATAATGATATTTCATATGATTTGAATGTCTGACCCTCCAGATCTCATGTTGAAATGTGATTCCCAATGTTGGAGGTGGAATCTGGTGGGATGTGATCAGATCATAGGGGTGGACCCCCATGAATGATTTAACACCATCTCCTTGAGTATAAGTGAGTTCTCACTCTATTAGTTCATGAGAGATCTGGTCGTTTAAAAGCCTGGGACTTCCTGCCTTCCCCTTCCACCATGATTGTAAGCTTCCTGAGGCCCTCACCAGATGCAGATGCTGACATCACACTTCCTGTACACTCTGCAGAACGGAGAGCCAATTAAACTTCTGCCAATTAAACCTCTTTTCTTTATAAATTACCCAATCTTTGGTATTCCTTTACATTAATGCAAATGGACTAATACAACATCAAATGCTGATGAGAATATAGAAATACCAGATCACTTGCACATTACTGGTGGGTATGTAAAAAGGTACTGACACTCAGGAAAGCTGTTTAGCAGTTTTTTGAAAAACAAGCTGGCAATTACCATGCAACCCAGCAACTGGACCTTCTGAGTATTTATCGCAGAGAAATGAAGACTTATGCTCACACAAAAACCTATACATGAATGTGTATAGCAACCTTATTCATAATAGTCCCAAATCAGAATGAACCAAGATGTCTTCCAATGGTTACATAGTTAAACTGTGGTACATCCATATCATAGAATATTACTCTGGAATTAAAAAAAAAAAAACAAGACTATTCCTACATGCAACAACCTGCATGTATCTCCAAAGAATTATGGTGAGTGAAAAAATTCTAATCATAAAAGGTTACACACTGCATAATTTCATTCATAGAATATTATTGAAATGACAGAATTATTGAAATGGAGAAGAGATTTGTGGTTGCCAAAGGTTAAGGAGAGGTGGGGATGGGGTTGGACATGGCCACAAAAGGGCAACACAAAGGATCCTTTTGGTGATAAAAATTTCTGTATGTTGATTATATCAACGTACACAGCCTGATTGTGATAGTGTACTAATGTTTTGCAAGATATTATCATTGGGGGAAACTGGTTAAAAGGTACCTGTGATCTGTCTGTACTATTTCTTACAAATACATGTGAATCTACAATTATATAAAAATAAAAATTTTAATTAAAAAACAATATTTAAAACCCCAAATACAAAGACCATATATTGTATGATTCTATTTATATGAAATGTCCTGAATAGGCAAATTATATAAATTGGAAATGGTTGCCTAAGGCTGAGGGTGGGAAGAGAAGTGAATAGCGGTGGCTGCTAAATGAGTACTAGGTGTCTTCGGGGGATAACGAAAATGTCCTAATATTAGATAATGGTGATGGCTACACAACTCTGTAAATATATTAAATATTGAATTGTACACTTGAAGTGTGTGAAGTTATGCTGTATAACATGTCTCTATGAAGCTGTGAAAAAGAACAAAAGCTGGGGTGATTATATTATATTAGACAAAGTAGATTTCAGTGCAAAAAATGTTACCAGGGCTATTTTCCTTTAGGTTTATTTCATAATGGAAAGGGGGTCAATTCATTAAGATAACCTAATAATCCTAAATATTTATGTACCAAATAACAAAGTTTCAGGTGACATAAAGCAAAAACTGATAAAACTACAAGGAGTACTGGGCATATCCATAATTATAGTCAAAGATTCAAATATTTCTTTCTCAGTATTTGATGGAAAAAGTAGACAGAAGGGCCAGGCGCGGTGGCTCACACCCGTAATCCCAGCACTTTGGGAGGCTGAGGCGGGCGGATCACGAGGTCAGGAGATCGAGACCATCCTGGCTAACACGGTGAAACCCCATCTCTACTAAAGATACAAAAAATTCGCCGGGCATGGTGGCACACACCTGTAATCCCAGCTACTCCAGAGGCTGAGGCAGGAGAATCACTTGAACCCAGGAGGCGGAGGTTGCAGTGAGCTGAGATCGCACCACTGCACTCCAGCCTGGGCGACAGAGTGAGACTCTATCTCAAAAAAAAAGAAAGAAAGAAAAAGAAAAAGTAGACAGAAAATCACAAAAGGTATAGAATATTTGAGAAGCATTATCAAACAAATTGACCCAATTAACACTATAGAACACTCTACCCAACAATAGCAGAATGCAAGTTTTTTCAAGTGCAAGGTAGTTTCATAAGATGGAACATATTCTGTACCACAAACAAATATCAATAAATATAAAGGAGCTCAAGTCATACAAAATGTTTTCTCAATTTAATCGGATTAAATTAAAATTAATAACAGAAATATCTCCAGAATGTCCCCCAAATATTTAAAAACTACATAACATATTTCTAAATAACCTGTGAGTTACAGGTAACTCAAGAAGGAAATTAGAAAATATTTTGAACTGAATAAAAATAAAACGCAATCTAACCAAAACTGTGGGAAACTATTAAAGCAATACTTGGTGGTGGTGGAGGGGCACGGTATAATATTTATAGCAATAAGTGCCTACATTAGGAAAGAAGGAAAAAGGAAAGTATCAAACCAGAGAACTTCGCTTTCACCTTAAGAAACTTAAAAACAAAGAGTAAATGCAACCCAAAGTAAGCAGTAGAAAAAAACTATTAGTAAAAATTAGAAATCAATGAAATAGAAAACAGAAAAATGGTAGAGAGAATCAATAAAAACAAGATTTGCTTATTTAAGAATATCAATAAAATTCATAAATATTTAACCAGGCTGATTAATAAAAATAGAGATTTGACAGATTAACAATATAAATAATGAGAAACATTGCAACTGTACAAATTCCACACTTGTTACAGAGTAATGAAGTCATATTATAAACAATAATATGCCAATACATGCAAGTAAATTTAGGAATTTAGATTAAATTGATAAACTAAAAAATTCAAATTACCAACTCTCACTAAAGAAGAAATAGATAGGCTGGGCACGGTGGCTCACACCTGTAATCTCAGCACTTTGGGAGGCCAAGGCGGGTGGATCATGAGGTTAGGAGTTCAAGATCAGCCTGGCCAAGATGGTGAAATCCTGTCTCTACTAAAAAATAGAAAAATTATCCAGGTATGCTGGCGGGGGCCTGTAATCCCAGCTACTCGGGAGGCTGAGGCAGAGAATTGCTCGAACCCTGGAGGTGGAGGTTGCAGTGAGCCAAGATCACGCCACTGCACTCCAGCCTGGACAACAGAGCAAGACTCCATCTAAAAGAAGAAGGAGGAGGAGGAGGAGGAAGAGGAAGAAGAAGAGGAGGAGGAGGAGAGGAAGGAGGGAAAGGAAGGGAAGGAGGGGAAGGAGAGGAAGGAGAGGAAGGAGAGGAGGAAGAAGGAGAGGAGGAAGAAGAAGAGGAGGAAGGAGAGGAGGAAGAAGAAGAAGAGGAGGAAGGAGAGGAGGAAGGAGAGGAGGAAGTAGAAGAGGAGGAAGAAGAGGAGGAGGAAGAAGAGGAGGAGGAAGAAGAAGAGGAAGAAGAAGAAGAAGAAGAAGAAGAAGAAGAAGAAGAAGAAGAAGAAGAAGAAATAGATAACCTGAATTTCAATCTATTCAAGAAATTGAACTTGTAGTTAGAATCTTCTGACAAATAAAAATTCAGCACCAGATAGGTTCATTGGTGACTTCTACCAAATATTTAAAGAAAAATAATACAAATTTTATACCTTCTTCTAGATAATTGAAGAGGAGAATATACTTCTCAACTCATTCTATAAGGTCAATGTTACCCAGTTACCAAAATCAGACAAAGATATTACAAGAAAAGAAAGCTTCAGATCAATATCACAAATTAAACAAATTTTAAACAAATTTTTGGAAAGCTGAATTCAACAATATATTTAAAAGATAATAATTACGACTAAGTGGAATTTAATCCAGGAATTCAAAGTTGGTTTAACATCTAAAATGTAATATGTTTTTTAATGTAATTCACCATAGAAACGCATTTTGAAGAAAAGCTGTATCATCTAAATAGATGCAAATAAAGAATGTAACAAAATCCAACATTCATTCAGGACAAAAATTCACAGCAAAATAAGAATAGAAGCAGCTTCCTCAACCTGATAAAGGACATCTATAAAAAAGATTAATGCTTCACACATACCCATCACCAAGACCAAGAATAGCAAAAGGATGTTCTCTTCCATTCAACATTGTGCTGAAGTTCTAGCCAGTGTAATAAGAATAGGAAAAAATAAAATAAAATAAAAGGAACCAAGATTGAAAAAGGAGAAAAACTTTCTTCATGTACAGCCAGCATGATGGTTTATGTAGAAATTCCAATGAAATCTATGAAAAGCCACTAGAACTAACAAATGAGTTTATCAAGGTTGAAAGACACAAGATAAATATACAAAAATTAAATTTTAATATACTAACACTATACTAACAATAAATCAAAAACAAAAATTGAGAAAACAATATTATTTATGAGAACATCAGAAAATATAAAATATTTAAGGCAAGATCTGCAAAAGTTGTGAAAGACATGTACACCAAAGACCCTAAAATATTGCTTAAAGACATTTTTAAACACCCAAATAAATGGAAATATACATACTATGTTCATGAATTGGAAGACTCAAAATTGTTAAAAGTAAAATGTCAATTCCTTGCAAATTCATCAATAGATTCAATGCCATCCCATTTAACATCTCAGCATGCTTTTTAGTAGAAAGTTTTAAACTAATTCTAAAATATTTCTAGAAATGCAAAGAACCTGAAATAGACAGCAAAACTTTGAAAAAGAAGAGCAAAGTTAGAGGATTAGCATTATCTGTTTTCAAGAGTTGTAAAGTTGTAGTAATCAGAATAGTGAGGTATTTGTGTAAAGATCAATGTAACTGATTAGAGGCCAGAAATAGACACAAACATATATAGAGATAGCTAAGTTTTGACAAGCTTATAAAAGCAATCCAGGGGAAGAAGTTTAAATCTTTTCAATTAATGGTATTAGAACAATTGTATATTCACATGCAAAACTACATATTTTGATCCATTCTGTGCACCACATACAAAAATCAACTCAAAAGGATAATAGACCTAAGTATAAAACCTCAAACTTTTACACTTCTAGAAGAAAGCATAAGAGAAAATCTTTATAACCTTGGGTTAGGTAAGGCTTCTTAGATATAACTGCATAAAAGAATAAACTTGTAAATTGAACTTTATCAAAATTTAAAATTGCTCTTCAAAGACACTGTTAAGAGAATAAAAAGATAAGCCACAGACTGAGAGAAAATATTTCCAAACCATATATTTGGTGAAAGATTCATATCTATAATATATAAATCTTCAAAAATAAATAATAAGAACATAAACAATGTTATTTAGAAATAGAAAAAAGATTTGCCTTCACCAAAGAAAATATACAGAAAGCAAAGAAACATATGAAAAGAAACTCAACATTATTACTCGTTAGGGAAATGCAAATTAAAACCACAATGAGATACCCCTGTACTCCTATTAAAATGGCTAAAATTAAGAAGCCTGAACATACCAAGTGTTGCCAAAAATGTGAAGCAATTGGAATTCTCATACACTGCTGGGAGAATGTAAAGTGGTGCAACTAATTTTGAAAGCAGCATGGCAGTTTCTCAAAAATTTAACCACCTACTATATGATCCAGTCATTCTCCTCTTAGGTACTTACCCAAGACAAGTATAAGTGTATACCCATGCCAAAACTTCTACACAAATGCTCACAGAAGCATTATTTATAACAGCCAAAAAGTGAAAGCATCCCAAATGTCCATCAATTGGAGAATAGACAAACTGTGGTATATTCATATAATGAAATACTATCAGAAATGAAAAGAAATGAACTATTGATATACACTACAACACAGATGGATCTCAAAATAATTATGCTGAGTGAAAGAAGGCAGACAAAATGTGTGCATATTGTAGCTTCCATTTATATAATTGTAGGAAATGCAAATGAATCTATAGTGACAGAAAGCAGATCAGTGGTTGCCTAGGGACTAGGGGTGGGGGGTGCAGGAGAGAGGGATTTAAAGGGACACAAAGAAACTTTTGGAAATGACAGATATGTTCATTATCTCAAATATACATATGTCAAAACTCATCAAATGGTATAGTTTAAATATGTTCAGTATATTGTATGTCAATTATATTTTAATAAAACTTAAAAATAAAAGGTAAAGGGATCCAAGAAGAGATATAGGAGCAGTAGGGAAGATTGTTTTGTCTCTTCCCTTCTCTTATTCTACCTTCCCAGTTACAGCCTGGGGGTGGTGAAGGAAGGGAAAGAGTGAAGATGAAGGGACATTGGGGCTTGGGCCAATCACAGGACAGCCACAGCTTCCCTGTACCTCCTACCTGCTCCCCTGCTCCCCTCTATAGTCTGTTTCTTAAATTGATGTGTGAGAACTGGCAGGGACCTGAGAGATGATAAAGTTATATGCAATAGTCAGCAAATGTTTGTCAAACACTGTATTGGTCAAAGAAACAGAACCAATTGCATATATAGATATAGATATAACTCTATATATATGACTATATATATATAACTTTCTCTATATGACTACATATATATAGTCATATGTTGCATAACAATGTTTCAGTCAACAATTGACTACATATATGACAGTGATTCCGTAAGACTATAATGGATATTTTATACTGTACTTTTACTGTACCTTTTCTATGTTTAGGTACACAAATAATTAGCATTGTGTTACAACTACCTGCAGTACTCAGTACAGTAACATGTTGTACAAGTTTGTAGACTAGGAGCAACAGAGAATACCATATAGCCTAGGTATATAACAGGGTAAACAATCTAGGTTTGTGTAAGTACTCTCTATGATATGTGCACAATGACAAAATTACCTAACAATGCATTTCTTAGAAGGTAACTCCGTTGTTAGGTGACACATGACTATAGACACACACACACACACACACACACACACACACACACACATAGAGAGAGAGAGAGACAGAGAGAGAGACAGAGACAGAGAGAGGTGTTTATTAAAGGATTGGTACATGCAATTATGGAGGATGACAAGTCCCAGTATCTGCAGCTGGCAAGCTAGAGACCCAGGAGAGTTGATGGTGTTAAGTTGCAGTCAAAGGGCAAAGGGCTTGTTCCAGCTTGAGGCAGTCAGGCAGGCGAAGTGACCTCTTATTCAGCTTTTCTGTTTTATTCAGGTCTTCAACTGATTGGATGAAGCCCACCCACATTAAGAAGGGCAGCCTTCTTTTCTAGTCCACTGATTCAGATGTTAATCTCACCCAGAAACACTCTCAGAGATACAATAGAATAATATTTGACCAAATGTCTGTGGTCCAGGCAAGTTGGCATCGAAAATTACCCATCATGTTCACTGTGGTGACTCTTGTCAAAGATGTGGGCAGGGCTAAGAGGAAGTGACAAGGGATAGTGCAGCACTGTGGGACTAGCAATATGAAGGAGACACTGCTACTCCTAGGCTAGGACCTGGTGGATAGCAACTACCAGCACCTGGACTCAGTGGCTACAGGAGGTGAATGTGAAACTGGGGTAGTGGCCTCTTACAGAGAGATGCAGACAACCCACTGCCCAGTAGGGTGAGAGCAAGGGAAGTCCGTATCTTAAACTCACTCTTCTTCTGCCCCCGTTTCTGTACTGGTACTCCCCATTAGCCAAGCCAGAGGGAAAAGGAGCCCACTGAGGCAGTCCATACAAATCAGCCTCCTGGGGCCCAGAGCAGGGCACAGAAGGCTCAAAAGTGGCTCAGGAGGGGCCAATGGGAAATACACAGTGCGCTCCATTACAGGTGAGGCCATTAAGGCTCAGAGGCAGTTAATTTCCTAAGGAACAATTAGCAGAGCCAGAACCAAACTGGCTTTTCTGACACTGAGTCCAAAATTCTCCCCAATCCCTCCTGCTGGCAGTCTGCTTTTTTCTTCCTCTAAAATGAATCAAGGGGCCTATTTGGGACTCAAGGCCTAGCTATTGAAGGGCCTCCAGCTTGATCTGCAGTTTTAATTGGGACCCTGGGATCTGCATTTCCCTATTGCCCTAAGACTTCCCACTCCTGACCTCTGCCTATTTCACCAAACACCTCTTTTTTTTCTTTTTTTTTTTTTGAGACAGAGTTTTGCTCTTGTCACCCAGGCTGGAGTGCAATGCTGCGATCTCAGCTCACTATAACCTTCGCCTCCTAGGTTCAAGTGATTCTCCTGCCTCAGCCTCCCTAGTAGCTGGGATTACAGGGATGTGCCCCTATGTCCAGCTAATTTTTGTATTTTTAGAACAGACAGGGTTTCACCATGTTGGCCAGACTGGTCTCAAACTCCTAACCTCAGGTGATCCACCCCTCCTTGGCTTCCCAAAGTGCTGGGATTACAGGCATGAGCCACTGCGCCTGGCCTCACCAAACACCTCTTTTCCCTTTAGTCACTCCAGCTGCTGTCTTCTTCCAGTTCCTCAAATGCAGCAGCCTTTTTCCTGCCTCCGAGCCTTTAAACACACACTTCCCTCTGCCAGTAATGCTCTCCCTCTCACTGTTCTCCTAGCTCAGTCCTCCTCTTCCTTCTCTTGCAGAGATACCTCCATTACCCATCCACCTGCCATTTGAATTCAGCCACCCTTCTATTCACTCTTATTGCCCCCTGTTCATTTTCTTCATACTCTTATAGAATGTGTAATTATATTTATATTTAGCAATGCTAACATTTGTTTCATAACTGTCACTCCCACTGGCTTTTAAGTTCAATTAGGGCAGGGACTATGTCTGTTTTGCTTACTGCTGTAAACCCAATGATTTGCACAGTGCCTGGCATATAGCAGGTGCTCAGTAAATATTTGTTAAATGAATTAAGCAACTAACTGCTTAACAAATCTTAAATTTCAGCAAAAGAGAGAATCCATGAGAGGCACTAGCCATCAGGGTGGGTTCCCAGACTCAGAGCTTCCCTTATAAGTAACCTATCACTTTCCAGTAGAGATTTTGGGAGCACCCCTCTGCTTTATGACAGGCTTGTAGAATGCCCCCATTAGAGCACCAAACCTTTGGTTTAAGAAAAATTAGGTATTTTATCCCCTTGAGAAAATGACAATCCCCTCAGGAGGAGCAGAGATTTTAAGCTCATCAGTCACTTATACCTCAGGGTGGATGTTTATTGAATCCTTTGATCCTTTAAAAGAAAAGTACAAGCGAAAGGATGCCAGGAGGGATGTGCAGGAAGAACCACCACTAAGAAAAAGGAAGGGTAGAGAGTGAGGAGGCTAAGGCAGGCCCTGCCTAGATTCAGATTCATTTGACCATTTGTTGAGCATAAACTGTGTGGCAGGCATGTGCCTGGTGCCTTGCAGACATTCTTTCTAATCCTCACAAACTCCAAGAGAAGGAAGAACACCACCGCCATCTTGTCCATGAGGCCCTCAAGGCTCATGAAGGTAAAATAACTTGCCCAAGACCACACATATACAAGCAGGGGAACTGGGATTCAATCTTGATCTGTCTGGCTCCAAAATGCATGGTTTTTCCCTCTAACTTGACAATTTCCTCCAAAAATCATGGGATAATCTAGGGAGAATGTCATAAATTTAACCCTCCCTGTGGCAGAAGGCCAGGATAGACTCAGGCAGATACTCCCATCAAGAGCAATGGAAGCTACAGCTGAGATCCTTCTGTATTTAATGAGAACAATCAAAATGGAAATGACAACAATCATAATAATAGTAACAGTAATAATAATAACAGTAATAGCAGGTGCTTATGAAGCCCTATGGCCAGAACCATATTGATGAGACCCTCTCATGTAACCCTTACCTCAACCCCAGGAGACGGGTGCCTTTATGAGCCTCATTTTACAGAGAAGGAAGCTGAGGTTCAGTGAGGTTATTTGCCCAAAGTTACACAGCGAATAAGCCAGGAAGCAGACCCCAGAGTTCAAGCTCTGACTGCTCTACCCCATTCAAGGAGTACAGCTCTTAAACTCTCCGTTGCAGTGCTGCGATTTTTCTGTGGCTGGGAGCGGGGGTGGGGGGGGCTTCCTTCCCAAACAGCTGCCCACTGCTTGGGCACCTGGGGCACATCATGCCCCCCCCTTCTTCCCTGCACCACCCTACAGCCATGTGGGCAAACACCCTGCCTCTCCCCAGGCAGGGGATGCCCAATTTGCATAACTTAATTAAATTCTGCATTCTCGTTTTCGGAGGAGCAGGCCTATGAAGGATGCTGAGTGCATGGTCTTAAGGCAAATCAACGCAGATGATGAAAGAGCCTATTTCGGTTAAGCAAATTATGAGGAGGCGGGCGATGTCCTCACTCTAATAATTTCCCGTGAATTATTTATATGGAAACTGCAATTACATCGGGCAAAACAGTGTTGTATGCATAAAGCTCACTTAATTACCCAACCACCTGTTGGGACACAGGGTCCTCCGCCAGCCCATTTCTTCCCCCAACAGGTCCTTTATTTGGAAGGGCAGGGGAACCGGGGACCTGAGGCAGGTGGGGCTGGGAGAAAAGCCGTGGCTGCAAGGACAGGAGGCGCGACCTCCGCTCAGACCCCAGCCCCCAGCCCCCAGCCCGGCTGCCTCTGATCCAGCCTGAAACGACACTCCCCATTCTCTAGGACCTGGCCCTTCAGTGCCTCTATCTCATCCTTGAAAAGGAGACAGGAAAGTGAGGAGTAAGAAACGGAAAAACAAGAGAGGAAGAAACGCACTCCACACCCTTCCCAGCAAACCCTGTAACCAAAGCAAACGAGACTCCTTTCATCAATGCCCGGTTGTTTAACTGGAAATGAGGGTTGCCATGGCAACCATCCTGTCACATAGTATTTCCTACCACTTGCCAGCGGGAGAGGCGATGATGTGGAGCGGAGAACTCCGACTGGGTGGGGAAGGCCGGAGAGGTGCAGGTTGCATTGTTTGTGATCCATTTGTTGAAACACAAGGTCACACAGGCCTGTCCCTAACCTGGGGCATCTCGGGTTGCTCTCCTTTTCCAGGATCGTGTGAGTGGGGCATGGGAAAACGGCTCCTTCTACTCACCCCCCAGGGGAAAAAAAAACATTGTAAATGTCAGAAATGTGATGGAACTGTCAAAAATACATGACATCGGTAATACAATAAATGGTGAAACATATATTCTTTTTTGCTTTGTGACTGTAAAAATTACAAAATTGTCTCCATGTAAAAGTCAAAACAAAGAAAATTTATGACTACTGAGAGAGGTTGGACAGGAATCACGAGTGTCTGTAGCAAGATAGGGACAAGTAGCCCTCCTTCACCCCAGCATTTTAATCACGATTAGTTCAGGGACCAGGCAGTAGACATGGGTCTGATTAAAGGTAGGCAGAAGGTAAAGTTAGTCAAGTATGCTCTAGACTTGGGGGGAGGTGGGGTATGGAGATCAGGGCTGCCTAGTAACTTCTCATTATTGAAAGTTGCTGGAGATCAAGAATCCCGGCTTCTAACCCTGATCTATCGCTTACTGCTAAACAACCTTAAGAAATAGATTAACAGAAAGATCTTTTAGTTAGCTGTGAAGTTCAAATACAATGACTGCACTACCCTGATTTACTTCACAATTAATGATACACCT
The DNA here is from genome assembly GCF_000001405.40 of Homo sapiens. Classification (NCBI taxonomy): domain Eukaryota; kingdom Metazoa; phylum Chordata; class Mammalia; order Primates; family Hominidae; genus Homo; species Homo sapiens. The sequence continues at coordinate 116,163,804 of NC_000011.10, forward strand.
AGCAAGTGGATAAAATAATAACTATTTAATAGCTTAAAATAATGATAACAGTTCACATGTATGGAACATCACATATATGCCAGCACTATACTGAGCTTTATATACATTTATCATAAATCCCATCTTAGAGACTGAAAAACTGAGACAGAGAGGTTAAGTGATTGGCCCTAGCTTCAAAGTCAGGAAGTGACAAAACCAACCTGGAAACCCAGAGCTCTCGGACTCAAAACTCATGCTCTTCCTGGTAGGAGGAAGTTTGGAGATCATAATCCAAGTTTTCCGACAGTCAAGCTCCCAGCCCACGTCTCTACTGTTGGTCTCCATCCAGTCTAGGACCGGCTGCTTAACAGGGATGAAATGAAATGTTTTTTCTCCTTTAAAGATTTACCATGTATAAATGTATGAGAATATTAAAGGCAACAATTAACTTTATTGGAAACCTTATATTCTCCAGCCTCATTAGAGCTGCCAACAAGATCTATTATTAGTATTACTATGCAGATACTGTAATAAAAAGGGTATTTAAAGTGGATGGTTTGGCAATGAAATAAAATAGCTTTTCTCTCTCTTTCTTTTCCTTTTCAAGGTATATGTGTGTATCAGAGATGGTCTGGAGCAAGGCAAAAGCCCATGGGACCTGAGGACTGAAGAGCTCATAAAATTTCCCTTTGCCACCATTGCAGACAACTAGGACAGTCAGGTGGGGGCAGGAGCTGGAGGTCATCAGAGCCCTCTCAACCTCTCAGCGGGCTCGCCCCCAATACCACTTGGAAGAGAAGGATTTCTGCAAGAGAGAAGATCCTGTTTATTCGAGCAGAAATGTGCCGTAGGGTCCAGCTGCTGTCTTGTACAGTTGTGGACGTCTAACCAAATCCTTCTTGGGGCCTTCAGCTTCTTTCAGCTCATCCACTCATCGCAAAGATGGGAAGTGATTCCCCTCACTCCTTCCCCCTCTCTTCCTCTATTTACCCCACATCCCTTCCCTGGGTTATGGAAAGTCAGAAAGAGGGGGAGCCTGCCTCCTTGCCTTCTATACTCTGGCTTGCTTCCCCGACTAGCTCAATTCTTTCTTTTCAACTCTAAGTCTTCCTGGATGAGGTGAGAATTTCTCCTAGGTCTGGCTCAGGAACCCAGGGAGTATGGGAGGCCTGGGCCTTTCCCCTCCTCAGCCTGCTTGCTTCCATAGCACAGAGAAGATGCTGCCCTCTCTCCCAAGGCCACCTGTTCTTCCTCCCTGTGCAGTGCCTGCCTCCGTCCCCACTGAGCATCCAGTGATGCCCTTTACTAAGAACCTGGGATGGGTGAGTCAGAAGGGGCAGCTGGTATCTGGTCTTTGACTCACCGGAAGCATCCCTGACCTGCTGAATGGAAAAGTCTCAGCTTAATTGGAGGCTCAGTTCTCCCGTAAGGGCTCACAGAGCTGAGCCCACGCTTATGATTATTACTCTTTTTATTAATGCTAATAGTTACCATTTATTGCATGCCAAATACTGACTTATTTAATCTCCATGGCCACCCTGTAAGGTAGGGACTCTTGTTATATTCATTTTGTGAATAAGGAAAGTAAGTTTCAGAGAGCAGATATAATCTATCCCAGCCTTCATCATTGCTCACCTGGACCTTTGCAGTAGCCTTCTCCCTGGTGTCCCTACTGCCACTCTTGATGACCTGCAATTCATTCTCCATACAGCAACACCCTATAAATCTACTGAATGTGTCAGCCTTTTTTGTGCCCCAGGGCCTTTGCATTGGTTGTTTCCTCTGTCTCAATAGAATGTTCTTCCTCCATATTTCCTCTTTTTCATCATTCAGTCTTCAACTCAAAGAGGCCTTACTTGAACACCTTCACAAGCATGCACCTGCCTGTTCTATACTACACACTATATCACCACATGTCCAGTACCTAGAATAGTATGTGGCACATAGTAGGTGCTCAGTAAATATTTCTTAAGTGAATGTTGATGAACTTATCCAAGGTTACATGCTAATCAGAGTTAGAGCAGAGAGTCAAATGCAGGACTGTCTGATCCTTAACCACATCATGTATATGTGTGCAGTTTGGGTGTTCAGGAGAAAGAAGAGTGGGATGGGGGCTACCCAGGGCCACTCAAAGACAACTCATCAAGAGGCCAAGGTCCTTTACAGGACCCAACTAGAATCCAAGCAGTGGGAAGGCCAGGTGAGGACAATGAACCTGAGGAAAGAGGCAAGGAAGAAGGGTTGAGCATGCAGTCCTGAGGCACTGATGGAGAGGTGAGAAGGGCTGTAGATTGGGGGCCAGGGCCACAAATGAGCACTGCTTGGCTATGTGATCCCCACTCCAGGCTACCAAGACCCACTAATCCTAGATGACAATCACTGGCTCTTACTTTCCCCTCTCACAGAAAGAGAAGACAGGACTGTGGGAGGAGCTGTGGGAAGCCTCAGGACCAATTCTCATGCTATATGAATTCTCCAGTTCTGGACTTCCCTTGGGGACGGTTTTACCCTGAAATGGCAGTCAAGCTACCTGGGGATTGCTCTTCTGTGCCACAGTACCAGTAAGATTTTACAAACCCACCTACACCCAGGCAACACTAGCAGTCAGTTGTGCCTTCTGCCTGTGACCCAGGAAAGGCTATTCTACCTCTCACTTTTAATTTACAACAAAGTGTCTAACATGCCCAAGAGTAATCACTGAGCTCTTACTGTTGAGTATAGTTTTGAGCTTCGGGAAGATGGAAGGAATGCAGAAAACACTATCTCTTTTGGGAGATCTATAGTCTAACTGGGAGAGGACACACACACAAGGCATACTATTTAACTACTTAAGAGCATGGGCTACATCAGACCAGACAGACTCACATCCAAGTCATCACTCAGCTGCTTCCTATTTGGGCAATTGTGTTCAACCATTGAAGTCTCAGGTTTCCCATGTGTGCATACACAACGGTGCACGCGTCCCTCACAGCACTATTGTGAGAGTGAATAGCAAAGTACTTCATGAGCTGTCTGGCACCCACGTGCTCAATAAGTGAGAGGAGTTGTTGTTATTGTCATTGTTGTTACAGGAAATAACCCACAGGTCACATATTAAGAAGTACAAATTCATTCATTCATTCCAAGTGAATGCAGCTCATAACTGCTGAGAAGACTGTGATGAAGAAATATCATTGAACGATGTTGTGGGGGCAGGCAGACTTCTTGGAAGAGGCCAGTTTCGAAGCTAGGAGATGACTCAGAATATTAGCATAACAGGAATGATTTCTAGGGCTTCTCAACTTTTCCTTTTTTACATTGTGTCACACAGGGAAAATGGTAATATTTGCATGCTGAAGTCAATAGCACAGGCTACTTGCAGTTAGAGGAGACCCTGTCCTGACCCACCCAGGCATCTGAAGGGCCAAGAGACTCACCATCTCAACACACAGGCAACCTAGTTGTGGCTCGGCAATGTGGCACAGCAACCTAGTGGGGAGCTCTGATTTAGAACAAGCACATCAATTGACAGATGACAAAACAGATTTGGGGAGCAGAAGCGACTTGGCTGAGGTCACCCTGGGGCAGCACCAAGCAGAGAACCAAAGGCCCCGTGCTATATTGTCTGCTCTCAAAAGATAGGAGGACATCAGGTCATGTGAGAAGGTCAAGGAGCTCAGCCCAGGGCAAAGGAGTGGGGCTAAATAGCATTAATGGAAGAGACCTGACCCAGTAAATAGTAAATCTAACGGTAGCTAAACTGAGCGTCCAGGGTCTCTGGCACTGTGCTAAGTGTTTGACATGCCTTATCTCGTTCATTGGAGGTAACGGCCCTATGAGAGGTCACACTGTTAATCAAGTTGTGATGCCAGCTTTGATGGTCACCAGAGGTGCAAAACCAGCGTGGGCGGCCGTCTCCAGGGCCATGCCAGTCACACTCACCTGGAGCAAGAAGCAGGCTGATCCTTTGGCCTCAGACCTCCACAGCCAGGGCCAGAGAAGACAGCCCAGACACGAAAGGCAGACCCTGCTCCATCTGAGCCGAAGGAAGCTTCCAATCCCACCCACTCGTTCTTCTCCTCTACCTTCCTTACCTGCTGCATCCACGGGAGCAACATGCTTGGCCCTGCCACCTTGCCGTATGCATCTTCTGCAGCCCATCTCCCAGGTGAGGAGAGTGGCAGCATGGCACGCACTCCACCTGCTATTTAGAACGCCTGGCCAGGACTCCTGGGGGCACCAGCAGCATGCAGGGAAGTAACTCACAGACACTCAGCTTAATCAAGGATACGCTTGGCTCATGCTGAGGCCCAAGTCTGGCTTCTTCCATCTGGATCTGTTAAGGCCCTGGCTGGTTAGATGATGCCTCTTGGCCCCAATCCTTGGATGTACTGAGTCCTTTCTGGTGAAACTGACTTCTCAGTTGCCACCTGAAAGCTTTGTGTGCCAGTCTCAGGGCTCTTCCTCCAGGGCCTCTTTGCTTGTACCCCCTTAGGGTCCCCTCCCTTGGCTGAATGCAGCTCTATACACCCTATGTCCTACCATTGTCTTCAGAAGCCCTTTCCTTCTCATGCTAAGTCCCTGCATTTTCAGGCTGTGTTCTGCCCCTGGCCTTCCCCTAGACTGAGCCACCTAAACAAACACAGCTACAACTTTCAGATTGCATGGCAGAAATGGGAATAAAATCGGCATTCTTCCACTTGACTCAAGGAGGCCTGCTGCACGACCTTGCCCTTGTCTCATTCTCCACCCTTATCTCCTGGCACCTTCTCTCGCACCCTGCTCAACCACGCTGATCTTGGTGGTGGTTGTTTCTTCAATGACACCAAACTTTCCCCATGCAGGGCTTTGTGCAGGCTGCTCCCTCTGCCTGGAACACTCTTCACCTGACCCCTGCTGATCCTGCTTATCTAAGCTCAATATAATTGCTTATTCAGGTGATCCTTTTCTTACCACTATCTCTAGAGAGTAACCCCCCACTCTGCTTTTGTCTCTTGTATCATCACGCAGATATTTTCCTTTGTACCACTTGTAAAAATCTAGGATTATATGTTCATCTTCCCACATTCCAAGGCAAATTCTTTGAATGTAGACCATGTCTTCTCACTCTCCATTTTACCCTTGGCTGACATAGTTGTTGGTATACACTAGGCATTTATTAAAAATCTATGTAATGAAGGATTGAATGAGTTATATATCCTAAATTTCAATTCCAACCTGGCTGCTGACTAGCTGTGTGAACTTGGCAAGTCACTTCCTTCTTTGGGACCTCAATGTCTCCTCTGTCAATGGGGAGAGAGAAGGCTGAAGTCATCCCAAAGTTCTTCCAGCTCTGCTCCTGCTGCAGCCAGGAGGTAACCTAGAAACCAGCATTAAGAGCACAAAGCACATCTCATCCAAGGAAAGATCTCACTTCCGCATGCTCAAAGTAAGGAACCAATAGGCAAGAGGTACAAAGAATACTTCCATTATAGGAGAAGTAGCTCACACCAACATGAACAGCCTGAAATGGAGGCAGCCCTGGGGCTGGTAGGACTTGGCAGAGGCCCCAAGGCCCCCTGGGCCACAGTGTGGAAAAAGATGGGGGCCTGCAGGAAAAGCAGCCCCAGGCCTTGTCCAGAGCTGGCTGCTGAACAGAGGAAGCCTCTTAGCCTGGGTTCTTGCATTCAACAGATCTCTGTACCTCTGTGAGGGAGCACCCTGGGACCTGGGATAGACACAGTACTTGTCATCAGAAAAAGGAAGATGTTTAATCTGTGTTTTAAATTTTAAATGACTCCACCTGAGAGTAACTGCGCCTGGCCCCTCTTATCTCCCAACCCAGCTCTCAATACTTGATTCAAATTCTATTACTGTGCTGACACCCCTCCTGAAGTTGAGTTCATTGCAAGGAGTCCCCCACTTTTATTTCCATGTAGGTCTCCCCCTCTCCATCTCTGCAAAGCTCCTTGACCCAAAGACAGCTTCAGAAACCATGCTGGGATACCCCACTCACTATCTAATGGGGATTCTGGGCATCCAACAGGTGAACCCCAACCCCAGTAAGGTATCTGAGAGGCTCTGAGGTTCTCAGGGCTCCTGAAATTTGGTATCCCATGGCACATACACTGTTTTATCTCCTCCTCCTACAGCCCAACTCTTAGAATTCTTTTATCACGCTGAAGTTTGGGGCAGACATCAGCTGTAGAGTTGTGCGTTGGGCCTAGGGTATTGCATAATCTCACAAATAAGTCTCTTCTACATTAGCTCTCTAAGCTTCAAGTGTGTGCCCAACCTCACCACATGGTCCTGAGCCTGCAATGGCTCTATGGGTGGTTGCACCAGCCACCATGGTGTCAAAAAGGTCTGGGGCTTGGGTAGCTTTGACTTTCCAAAGATCTTCATTTCTCTTCTCATACTTGATCCCCATGGTACCCCTAGCAGCAGCCTGCTGTGGTCGAAAAGCCAGGATGAGGAGTTAAGGGCCTGATTCTGCCCTTCCCCAGCCATAAGATCAGGCAGATCACAGCCTCTGCTCCTCCCTCCATCAGGTGAAAAGGTTGGGCCAAGTGAAGATTAGGTCTCTTGGTTCTAATATGGTAGAGAAGCAGAGCAAGTTTTAATAAGAGAAAATGAAACTGGGGCTCAAATCGCAGATGTGATTTGCCTGAGATCGCAGGATGGTTGGCTTAAGAACCAACCCTAGAATTCCTCTCTAGATCCCAGTTATTATCTCCATGGGACCACAGGAAGCTCATGGCTACTACACTGGACAGCAAAAATGTAAAACGTTTCCATCAAGACAGAAAGTACAATCAAACAGTGTCAGTTTGGAAATCATCTATATCTGCCTTTCTCCCCTCAGTTAGATTGGTCTCCTCAAGGGCAAGAATCTCAGCCTCCACATCTTAATACCTCCAGTGCCTAGCCCTGTGCTTGGTATCAAAAGTGCTAGAACATATATATCAGATGCAGCTGTTTGCTGGCAGAAAGCCTTGCCACCCAGCTGGGGGCTGGGTCTCAAGTTCAGGCTAGGGAACACTGTGCTGGATAGTGGAGTCTGCATGGGATGGATCATCCCCATCCTCGGATGGGGTGGCCAGGAGCCTGGCTGCTGGAATAGAAGGCCTCACTAATCCATCTGTATTCTACAAGGACAGGCGAAGGGAGCACCTGGCACCGAGGGGGATCCCAGGTGGAAGGGAGCAGACACCACCCACGAGGGAAGCCAGCAGAGGGCACTGCTTCCTCCACCTACATAGACAGTCCCAGCTGGGCAGCACCCTCGTTAGCACCAGGAGGCAACCCTGCTAATTACCAAACCCAAACTCGGGATTTGCATTTTTATGAAATGCTCGCACAGGAGGCAAATATTTTGCCTTAAAAAAAAAAAAAAAAAAAGTCAAGATGGATGAGGGAGAAAAACTCATACCAGTACATACTAATTCAATCTAATCTTGGTCATTTCAGTTTCTATAAGAGAGTGCTTTCATAAAGCTACAAAGCTAACATCCATAACTCTCCAGTTTCCCCAGACAGGATATCTCTGCATTAAGTTTCCCATTTATCTTCAGAGATGGCAAATCATCCGTTTATAATGGGATCTAATAAAGCAAGCTCCCGTTGCAGTCCCAGCCGCAGGAATGCACCTCAGATCCAGAGACACTGCTTGGGGCCTGTGATGGCTTTACCTTCTAGATGCCTGAGTGTGCGGCTGGGGCATCAGCACATGACTTAGTTGTGGTGGCATGTGTGTGTTGGGGAGAGGGTGTGGCCTGCAGAAAGCAGCTACCCTACTCCCACCCGCCCCAACACATACATCCCCCTGCCAAGACCAATGGAGGAGCTGGGCTGGGCTCGAGACTTGCTCTTTAAGGTAGGCAGAGCTTGCTGTAGGGATAACAATTTGGAAAGGAATAGGGTTTGGCAGGCTGATGCAGAGGCTTAGCTGAGTAGGTGGGGATGATGTTCCACTATCACAGGTCAGGGTGCCTGGGAGCAGCCCCTGAGATGGATGGAGTTTTGCCAGCAGGGTATTTAATAAGAAGTGGCATGGGGCCCACAGCAATGGTCAAGCAGGGTAAGAAGTGAGCCTGGGCAGATCGAGGAATCCAGCTTTTATGCAGCCCAGGCAGCCTTGGCACCTCACAAGGAGTTCTGGAGCCGATAAGGGCCTTTGGAAACCATGCTGAATCCAGCCAAGATGGCCAGGCCTTCCTATTCCCACATCAATCTGTCAGTGGATGTGGGCCACCCCAGAAGGGCACAACCCCAGGCATGAGGCTGTCTGCAGCTGAAGTGATCTCTGCAGAGACGGATCACGGAAGCCTGTCTGCTGACTTTCCCAGCAGCTGGTCAACATGTTCTTCATTGACAGGAGATCTGGGCTGGGCTGCATATTACAGTGTCCGCCACACCTGCTAAACAATGTGTGTCCCTCTCCCCTCCACCCAAACATGTAGTTTTATCATCCGTACCTGTGTCCTATGGTGCCAGGCCTTGGGGGTTGGCAGACATTGAGCCCAGCTTGCCGTTCACTCAGTTCTATGCCCTGAACTTTCTCTGGACAGATGTCATAATAAAGCCTGTAGACCAGGCCTGATTGGCCCCTGGCTCAACATCTGTGGGAAGCAGAAGGACCTTGGGAGTGAAGGGGTTGGGGGCCCAGCCCTAGCTAGAGCTGGCACAGGCTGAGGGGATGCAAAGATCAGGCAGAGCCACGTGAACAAACCTTAATGGAGGGTTCTAGGTTCAGAAGCTACAGCTCTGCTCTGATGGAGCACAGAAGTCATGGGGCTTATCCCAAAAGGGACTTAGCGGACTGCTGTCAAAGCACCTCCTGACCTGGTAGGGAGGCAGGTTTGGCAGCCTCTGATGTCTTATATGGGTAGGAAATGTCCTCTGCCCAATCTCCAGGCTGGGACAGGGAGTTCCGGGTTGAATCTGGTGCCATTTCCAAAGCCCAGTAGGAGTCCAGCAGTTATCAAGTGTTAGAAATGGAAGGAGGGAATCCTCAGAGGTCCCAACACCCATACAGGGCAGGGATCCCCTTGTCTTCCTTCGGGGTCTCCCAGAAGCAGATATGGAGATCAGGATTCAAATGCAAATCATCCATTTTGGAGGTGAGAACAGGAAACATCAGAAAGGAAGTGGGGAAGTGGTACTGGGGCGGGAAGGCAGCCAGTGAAGGATTCATTATCCAGCAAGTTTCCACTGTGGGGAACCCTCACTTAATCCTGCTGGAAACTCTGAGAAACAGTGGAAAACATTTGCCTCAGTGTGATCCCATCCAAGGGACATGGGAACTGGGACATTTGTGTACCAGCTCCAGTCAGTCATCACTTGAGGTCACCTCCCCGGTGGGGCATTAATTCCCTGGTGTTTGCAGTTGATGAATGGGGACCAAAATAGACTCTGGGGACAGAGAAGGCTCTAGGGCAGAGAAATGCAGGTGCTGGCTGCTGAAAGCTGGCCAGTTTGCACTGCAGAAATAAGGGAAGGAGATATGGGCATCCACAGGATCTGCTGCCCCCTCCTCTGCATCCCCAGGTATGCTCACGTTGCCTCTGATCAAACTCTTCCAGAAACAGGGAGCTTACTACCTCACACGACCACACATTGCATTGCTGGACAGTTCTAGTTCTCAGAAAGTCATTTCTTAGGTTTAGCAAAAATCTGCTCACTGCCCAGTCTTGGTCCAGTGCCTTCCATTAGAACCAGGGTAGGAATTTTTGTCTATATGTTTCACTGCTGTCTCCCCAGCATCTATATCAAAAAAAACAAACAAACAAACAAACAAAAAAAAACCCAACACCTGGCACGTGTTAGGTTTCGTCAACACGTTTTGAATGAATGAATGCCTGTATGCTTGCTTGGCCCCTGCCTCTTAGGAGTTTACAACTTTTTCCTGTTTCTAGTTTGCTTTTCCACTTATACCCATGTATTTAAGCACACAGCACCGAAGCTGGAACAAAGCTGAGCTCCAGTGCTAGTACTCACCCATTCAACAAGCAGTTGGTGAACTCCTGTCATGTGTCAAACACTCTTCCCAAGTGTTCTGGGCTCTGGCTCTCTGAGGCATAAAGTATTAAGACAGAGGTAGAAGGCAAAAAAAAAAAAAAAAAAAAAAAAACCCACCAGGGATTATGATTTTAGGAAAGATGCTAGGTGTTGAGTTCATCAGGCACAATGAGTCAAGGCACACATGTACATGCTCTTGCTCACAGCTCACTCACGTATTCCCTTTTACAGAGCTGACTCTCCCAATGTGGACACTGAGGCCTGGCCAGCCCTTGAAACACAATCTTCAGAAAAATCAGCCCTTCAGCTCTCCCCGCAAACCCTTCAGGAGAAGGCACGAAGAGTGGTTTTCCTCACAGACCCCAGGACACACTTCCTGTTGCCCATTAGGTCTGGGGAACTTGGCTCTCGGAGCCCCTCCCAGAAGGAGCCACAGTTCCCTCTGCCATTTGTGTTTCCTTTGAAATGTCTCTGTGTGTGCAGTTGGGTTGGGGGGGGGGCGGATTAGCTCCCCTGACTGAAATATGGCTCAGATGCCAGGAAGAGCAAGCTCGAAGCAGCAAGGCGAGTTAAGCTTTCTGCCTCTAGCCCACGGCTTAGCGGTGCGGATTACAACAGCAGGTGATGAGCGACGTTAGCCGCTGCCGTGGAGACCGTGAAAATCCTGTTACAGGGCAAAGGCGTTTTAGCTACAGCTCCAAATTTCAAAGAATGATTGAGCTGGAACGTGGCAGGCAGGAGGCAACTAGGGTCCCAAATTATTTGACTTAAACTGAGAACTGGGCCTGAGGGGGCCACTGAGGCAGAGAATTCTGGAGAGGGACACGGGTGTTCTGCCCCCCTGCCCACCATCCCCTGGGTAAAGACTTGGTCCTCTCTTCCCAGCAGCATGCCCCTCCCACCATCCTCCTCCCCTCCCCTCCCCTGACCATCCATAAGCGTAAGGAGCTTCCATCTGCCTTGAATCCTGTCGTCCTCACCAATCTGCAAACCTCTGGAGACCAGAGCCCATGGTGTCTTCAGCCCTGTGGGGTTCAGCACAGCTCCCAGCACAGCTTCCAGCACATGTAAGTGCTCAGTAAATTTTGTCAAATGATCAATTGGTTGCTGCCTCAAAGCTGCATCTTCCTTGCCTTGTTCCACCTGGTTTCCAGATTCCCCCCACCACGCACACCCCCCTCAACACTGAGCACTCCTGGGAACCCTCATCTTTACACAGCCACCCCTGGTTCCTTGAAAATGAAACAGCACCTGGTGGCAGACCAGAATCCAACTGCAAATGAGTCACTTAGGGCAAGGGAAAGATTTGTGAAACCAGGAAAAGAATGAGGCTTCAGTAATTTCTTTACCCTGTTCAGTGGGAAAATGATAAAGTCACAGGATTTAAGAGTATTTTCTAGAGTCTTTGAGTTCAACACCCACCACCACCACCACATCGACCCTCCTACTCTCCCGCAGCCCATATTGGCCTTAAGGGGAAGTAGCTTGAAGTGGAGGAAAGAGTATTTGGAGTCGGAGGTCATTAGGAATCTAGGTTCAAATCCTAGTTTTTCAAGTCACTTAACCTTTCTGAACCTCTGTTTCCTCATCACCAAACTGCCCACCTTATAAGCCATACACTGAGACAATGTCCACAGAGAAACTTCTCAGTGGTTAACACACAGCAGAGAGTAATCCAATAATAATGGCGTCGTTATTGCGGGAATCCTGGTTCCCCATATGCTAAACCTTCATCCCTAAGGAAACTCAGTTTGAGTATGGCCTCTATCCCTAAGGAAACCCAGTTTATGGAGGACATGAGGTCCCTTGATCTGATTTTATCCTCATAACAACCCTATGTGAGGTGAGTGATGATTATTCCCTCCCACAGAGTGGAAACTGGGGCTCACAGAAATAACTTGCCAAGCTTGCTGGGCCAGGAAATATGAAGGCTGGAACTGGAACCCAGGTAGTGAGGCCAGAGCCCAGAGCTGTTTTCTATACCAGAGTACCCCTCAGACAGGAACAACTGACTGTTACAGGGAACCCTATCCTGGGTGGGGACCTACTGTCTGGTAGACAAAGATGATGAGGGCAACTCTGTCCTCCCTCCCCTCCTCCCTCCCTTCCTTTTCATCCTTCCTTCTTTCCACCATGCAGTGATTAAGCGCTTGCCATCTGCTCAGCTGCTAGTAGTGAATATGTGGGATACAGACGGTCTGGTCGCCGCTGAAGGCAGCTCACAGTCCAGCTGAGGAAATGAAACAACAATTACACGTAATTTCAGAGCACTGGGTCACATTCCCAGAGGACTATCATGGCACTTCACGTAAAATGCACGTGTGGGGTCAGAGGAAAAAAGGAATGGTCTGCAGTGCCACAAAGCAAGGAGGAGAAACACTGCAGGGCTCTGAAGACCCTGGAATGATGAATAGAAGATCCTAGGAGACAGCTTGCCTAGGAAGGAGCTGTGTAAAGATGAAATGGGCTGCCTGGGAAGAGAGTGAGTTTCCCATCTCTGCAGGTATTCAAGGAGTGTCTGAGTGATTAACTTCAGACTCCTCCAGCCCCAAGACTCTCCAAATTGATAACAATGCCTGTTAAAGAGTCCACTATAAAAGAAGCAAGGAGATCCAGAAAGGTCAGCTCACACTCCCTCCAGAGAACCCAGAGCTTCTCTGAGGAGGGCGCAAGTCAATCACTCCTCAGCTCGGCTTAACAGAACTTCAGTCTCCTCATCTCACATAAGCCATTCCCCCCTCCAATTTCCTGTGCCTGACTCCTCCAGGCCAACATTTAGAGGATCCGTAGCCACTGCCTCTTCCTCTAAGGGAAAACAAAGGAGAAAGCAGGCAAAGACCATCCGAAAATCCCCTTGTTTGCTCTCCTCTTCAGAGTCTCTGCAGAACACAGGCTGGCTATGTCCCAAACAAACAGGAAGCTGGGCTCCACTTCCGCTGTGCCCTTTGCAAAGGCTCCTGTCTACACCTCCTCTGCCAGCAAGGTCTCGCCCTCTCAGAATGGTGGGGGGAGGGACTGCAGACCATGAGATGCTGGGGAGGTAGGCCTCTCATTCCTCCACCTCTCCCTTTCCTTGGTGCTGCAAAAATGAAGGCGTCTCAGGCTACCTACTCTGGAGATCCTCCTATGTCAGCTGAAAGGCTTTCATGCCTAGGGTCCCAGAGCTGGAAAAGGTGGCCCTCAGTAGCCATGTCCTCCAGCCTCTTCATTCACGAGCTACTGAAAATGACATAGCAGTGTCAAACCTGCAGCGATCCCCTATGCTGGCTACCAGCTGGGTAGAGCTACATTGTTACTGTTAGAATTATGTTAAAACTGATTATTGCCCCTCTGCCGTTACAGAGTACAGTTCACAGAGCCTGCATAGGCACATAACATCCCAAGATGTAGCAGAAAGAGGAGGGTTTGGAATACATCAGTGCTGGATTCAAATCCTGGCTCCTGCAGCTAGCAGCTATTTGACTCTGTGCTTGTGACATCAACTCTCCATGCATTAGTGTCCTTGTGGTAAAAATAGAGATGAGACTGACTGGCCCATGCTAGGCGTTTGTGCAGCTTACAGGATATGATGTGTGTAGAGTCTCTGGCATCTAGTAAGTAGCCCCCTTCCCTCCATCTCTGAGGCCCCTACTAGGGACTACTAGGGATGGGGAACAGAGGTGGAAATGAGCTTTCTTACTTCCTTCTCCAGAGGTCAGTCCCAGGATTTTTATTGGCCTTAATCACTGTGATTTCTGTGATTTACCAAGAATTGAGAAGGAAGGGAGGAGGGCTCTTATCCTGAGAGCTATTTGTTTTCTCTAAGATAGATCCAAGCAGAGGCCAACCAGCATCACCCTCTCTGGCCAGAGCATCCTGATATGTGCCAGCCAAGCACCTGGATGTGCTGGGGGATGGGAGGGCAGGACAGATGGCCCCTCTGGCCCAGCTGAGGTAAGGGGAGCCAGCCACTGCCCTATGGGGAGAGGCAACCTAACGGGAACTGAGGCATCTTCCAGCTGGGGCACCCAGGCCTCCTCCCAGGAACAGTGGGCTGGGCTGGACAGTGGGCCCCTTTGAAGGGCTGGCCCTCCCTGGAAAACCAGTTAAGGTAGACCAGGATAACTAGGGAAAAATAGAAAGGAAGGGTAGTGGTTAATTTTATGTGTCAACTTGGCTGAGTCACAGGGTGCTCAAATATTTGGTTAAACATGATTCTGGGTGTTTCTGTTGAGGGTGTTTGGGGATGAGTTTAACATTTGAATCAGCAGACGGCCAAAGCAGATTTCCCTCCCCAACAGGGGTGGCCTCACCCAATCAGTTAAAGGCCTGAATAGAGCAAAAGGCTGACCCTCCCCCTAGTAAGAGAGTATTCTTTCCGCCTGATTGCCTTCTAGGACATCAGCTTTTTCCTACCTTCAGACTCAAAGCGAAACATTGGCTGTCCCTGGGTCTCAAGTTTGTGGCCTTCCAACTGGAACCTACACCATCAGCCCTCCTAGTTCTCAGGCCTTCAGACCCAGGCTGGAACTTACAACCTCAGCTCTTCTGCGTCTCCAGCTTGCCTACTCACCCGACAGACGTGGGACTTGTCAACCTTCATAATCATATGAGCCAATTTGTTAGAATAAATGTTTTTATATCACACACACACACACACACACACACACACACACACCCCCTTTTGGCTCTGTTTCTAACCCTCACTAATACAGGAAGGATCCTACTCAACACTAGAAAAGATATTTGAACACCCCAAGCTGCCCAACCATGGGATGAGCCATAGTTGGGAGAGGGAGGGAGCAGCCCCAGCCTCGAATGCAGAAGAAACAGGCCCTATCCAGCATGCATGTGGGTTCCTGACTTGGATGAATCCCAGGCCTCTCCAGTGTGCCTTCCCCATCTTCCTCACTCTGGGGCGCTATCCAGCATCCATCAGGGGCGCAGTCGGAAAGTGAGTTCTATATTTTCCAAAGACCCTTCCAACTCTCAGAGACTGTGATTTTAAGACAGAGACAGGGAGGGTGTGATGTGGTCATTCTCCATAGATGTCATCCAGCGCAGTGTCCCCAGAGGTAAAGGAGCTGTGGGACATTCGTCATTGCCATAAGCCCTTTCTCCCCTTACCCACTTACATCAATGGCAGGTGAGGTGAGTTCTCTATTTCCTAACCCTGTGCTCTCTTCATACCATAATGCCAAGAGGTGTGTGAATGAGGAGGGAGGAAGACAAGACACAGAAGGCACACTGGAGAGACCTGGGATTCAACCAAAGCAGGAGCTGACAGAACAGTGTGTGGGTCACCCAAAGGAACAAAGAGAAGGGTTCCCAGGAGCCTTGCCCAGCTCCACAATTCAGGTCCACCGTGTGACTTGAGGGCCTCCTGATCACAGCGGCCTGCATTCCTCATCTCCAGCAGGAAATGATGGGAGAATGATAAAGATATGAGGGCTACTCGACCTAGAAAAGAAAAATTCTTTTCTTTGTGTACTTTAAATAAAGATTTAAAAGAAAACAGCATTTCTCTTTCTTGAAATGTTTTTGGAATAAACCTATTATGAAGAAAAAGTGGGATAAGGGTTTGCTTCCTGGCTGTGACAGCAAGTTTGGGATGAAAGAGAATCTAATTGCCATTGGTCTCTCTTCTCACTCCTCTCCTCCACCTCTTTCCCACTTCTATGCCCTCCCCACATGCCCCATGCCCAGCAACATCAAAAATGTGCCCCTTCTTGCTCTCCAGCTGGCTCTGCCCAGATATCTTCAAGGAGACCTGAAATGACCAGCTGAAGGCTATGGTTCAGAAATGAGTCAGCCGGGGTGGTGGTGGCCCTAGTGGGAAAGCTGACAGCATAAGTGCAGGAATGGCAGCAGGCAGTGGAGCTGGCAAGACATAAGGTGGGGCTGCTGAGCAGAGCCTGGGGTGCCCTGGGGTTCAGCCTCAGCACAGGGAGCTCCTGAGGGGACTCTGCCCACCCCTTCCCCGAGAAAACTCAGCAGATGGTGTCAGTGAAGGGGGACACACTCGAGCCACCAATCTCTTTTGTAATGGATTCTAGGGTGCTACAGTGAGCCAGGAAGACCCAGAGTGTTAGGAGTTGAATTGTCTCCCCAAAATTCATATGTCAAAGTCCTAGTTCCCAAGGTCTCCAAATATGGCCTTACTTGGAGATAGGGTATTTATAGAGATCATTAAGTTAAAGCAAGATCATTAGGATGGACTCTAATCCCATATGACTGGTGCTATGGACTTGGGATGTGTCATTCCTCCAAAATTCATATGTTAAATGCCTAACTCCCAGTGTCACTGTATGAGGAGACAGGGCCCGTGAGGAGGTGGTAAAGGTTAAATGAAGTCATAAGGATGCAACCCTAATCTGATAGGGCTCATGGCCCTACAAGTAGAGGAAGAGACACAAGAGCTCTCTCCACTCCATGTGAGGATACAGTCAGAAGGCAGCCATCTGCAAGGCAGGAAGAGTCCTTGCCAGAAATTGACCCTGACAACACCTTGAGCTTGGATTTCCAGTCTCCAGAACTGTGGGAAATAAATTTCTGCTGTTTAAACCACATAGTCTGTGGTATTTTGTTACAGCAGTCCAAGCAGACTAATAGAACTGGTGTCCTTATAAAAAGGGAGAAATGTGAACACAGAGACACACACAGAGGGAAGATTACATGAAAAGACACAGGGAGAAGATGGCCATCGGCAGCCAAGGGGAGATCCTGGAACAAATCCTTCCCCTCACAGCCCTCGGGAGGAACTAACCCTGCTGACACCTTGATTTCAGACTTCTGGCCTCCAGACCTGTGAGATAACACAGTCCTATTGTGTAAGCCACCAGTCTGGGGTGCTTTATTAGGCAGCCCTATCCAACTCTCATGCTGGGCTAGACGGTAAACCACAGGTCGGAGGCAAGTAGGATCAGGTTCGCCCTCCATGCAGTCCTCTGCTCTCAAACCTCCCCCTGGCCTGGAGGGGAATGGATTCTTAGACATCAAGGTCTTTCTTTCCTATTGATGTGTCCTGGGCCCCTAGAGTTCCAACTTTCCATCTCATTTGGGGGTGGACACCAGACAAGGCCGTAGTTTGCTATGCAAGAAGAAATCATTTTTAATCAGGAAACAGTGACTCTCAGAGAGAAAAATCCATGGAGACAGAGCAGGCCTGGTGCCAGGGAGAAGGCCAGTTGCCAGAGCCCAGTTCCCTGTTTTAATTCCATGGCTCATGGGGGAGGGCATCTCCGCCCTGCTGAAGGGGAGGAGAAAGACAGGGGTACTTATCAGCCAAAGCAGATGCCCTCCCAGAGGCCTGGCTAGTGTCCTCCTCTTGCTGGGCCTGCCCCGGCACAATGGCAAGCTGGATTGGGAGGAACTGGAGGCAAAAGCAAGCAGAGGCAAAAGGAAGGGGGTGGGCTCAGAAGGGAAAGGTGGTGGCCGGCACCAGCTGCCTAGCTGTGCCCCGCCCCTTCTTCCCTCCTCAGTGCCTGCTCCCCCATCACACAAGGAAGGAGTCCCTGCCATGCAGTTCCAAGGAGAGACAGAGACAGGGCATGGAGTCACACAGGCAGGAAGGAATCTGGTAGGCATCCAGAGGAGGCTGGCATGAGAACAAGGGACAAAGATGGGAGTTAAACACACTCACACGAAGCTGCCTCCAAAGGCTGCCGAGACGCTTCAGAAAACACATCAGTCCGGCTTTCCAGCTGTCTCCAGATTACGCCACCAGCACCTTTGGGATTCTCCCATCACTACACATTAACGACAATGAGGCCATCTGCCCCTGTCCAGCTGAAACGCTCCCCCCATCAGCCCTGAATGTGGTCCGTGTGATGGCTGAAGAAAGGAGCCCACTCCCAGGAGTGGGGAAGGGGAAGAAGGAACATGGATTTCCAGATCATAGAGTGAAATCCCTAAGCCATCAGGTTGATTTGGGATTCTGGCAGACAAGCAAATCTGCAGAGGGGAAGATGCTAGGGCGGCTTAAGAAACAAATTCAAAGCAAAAGACAATGGCATTGATAGCAGTCCTCCCCACCGCAGGCCCTCTTACGAGAGCTTTGAATTCTCAGCGATGGATCCAGAAGACAGAGCAACATCATCTCAGCCAGTGGTGGCACCAGCCTGTGTTTGCAGGAGCCAGGCACATCAAGTTCAGTTCCAATAAGTGCACTGAAGAATCTGAAGCCTACGACAGTATTTTCAAGGCACTGTGGAAGACAGATAAACTTGGAGTAGGCAGACCTAGGTTTGGATCCTAGCTGCACTTCTTACTAGCTGGGTGACACAGACTAGTGACACAAATATCTCTGAGCTTGCTTGATTTTTAAAATAGGGGTTTGAGCATCTACATTATGGGTTTGGTGAGTGGATTAAATGAGATTAGTACAGAGTCAGGCACACAGTAGGTAGATGCTCGATAAATATTCTTGTTACCCCCACCCACATGCACTTCCTTCCTACCTAATACACCCAGCTCCTAGATAAGACTCATGGGAAAGGGTTGCCATGGCTCTGTTTGAAAATCTCTAGTGGCAGAGAACTCACCACCATACAAAGGGGACCACTGCATTTGGAAAGCTCTCCTGGTCAAAATGTTATTTTGCTTATTATAAAATAAATCAAAATCAGCCTCTTTATAATGCCTCATTGGTCTTTATTCTGCCCCACCCCTGACACGCTGTCACAAATAAGCCATACGAAGAGAAGGAGTATGCTCTCCTTCACCTTTAATAACAATTCCTGTTACCATGTGTACCTTCTGCAATCATGCCTCACTCCATCTATTCACTTACTCACCTATTCAACAGGTGACCAGCTAGCTCCCCCAGGACACTGTGGCAGGGCACAAAGATAATGGTCCTGAATTCATTGTGAACCAGGAATCCCCAGCTGGCTAAAATCTCAGAGTGCCTTTGCAAACTCTTTTTTTCCCTCCAGAGGCACTACAAAGAGAAGGAAAGGCATGAACTAACTTTAGCAGTGCCTCCGGAAGGAAGGCCATGCTCTCCACGTCTCCAGAGAATCTGAAGGTTGGCCGCAGAGGAAGCATGGTGATCCTAATTTCTTGTTCCCAACAGGGCCTAAACTCACCTCACATGGCAGGAAACCGCTCTTTGCTTTGAGATGAGCCAGCTCAGTCTTATTTGCAAAGCTGTCCCCAAACTCTCCATAGGAAGTATAATGTCCCCATAAAGAATCCCTATCTTCTCATGTGACTACTTCTCGCTCTTTAAAGAAATAATCTGAGTTTGCAGTGAGCAAGCTTCCTCCTCTCTCCCCCTCCTTCACCTGATACTATTTTGGCTCCCAATAATTACATTAGGTATAGAAACTGACTTTATGTTGCTAATAATTATACATGCTTACAAAACAGATGGGTCTGGGGATCTGGAGGGGGGTAGCGTTTATGGACTCGGAAATGAGATGTTTTGTTGGTAGGAAATGGATAGTTATTTCCAGGTTTTATTGCTGTGTTTCTCAGGACTCTTCTTAAATCTTGTTGATAATACTTTGCCTGTATTGCCTTCCGTGCATTTTATAAGACTTAGATCATCAATCCTGGGTATGTGGGAGAAATGGCATTAACTGCCTGGAGCAGGAGGGGAAGGCAGAAATGACAGGGACAGGCCGGTGCCACTCAGAAGAGGCCTGTACTGGGGAGTCAAGAGATTCTTCTTACCAAGACACTTGGTAGTGGGGGGATATCCCATTAAATATCTGAATCAGAAGGAATCTTAGAAGAAGTCACCTGGTCATGCAGTTAGTGTGGTCCCCAGACTGGCAGGACCATCATCAACTGGAAACTACTGGAAATGCAAATTCTCGGGCCCTACACAGAACCCTGGGGGCAGCCTCCAGGAATCTGCCTTTCTCCCAGGTGATTCTGAGGATTGCTAAACTTAAAAATCACTGATCTTGCTCAATCATGTTGTATTAAAAATAAGTAAACTAAAGCCCAGAGGGACTAAGTGATGTGCCCCAAGTCTCCCAGCCAGTTAATGGAAAGGCAGGGCTAGAACTTACAATTCACCACATTAGTTCTCTCCCCAAAACACCGTGTTGCACTATGCACACCTAGGCACTACGCACATGATCTAATTGATGTGCTTCTCCAACACTGGGGTGTGTGGAAACCACGTAGAGATCTTGATAAAATGCAGACTCGGATTCAGAAGTTCTGGGCTCTGCATGTCTAACAAGGCCTCTAGGTGACACGCTTAGAGGTCCATGTAGGTCCATCCAAACTATGGCCCTGGTGTCACAGCTGGACAGAGGTTCTGGGATTAATCAGTTGTGGGACTTTAGGCAACTCACTTCCCCCCTTCAGCCTCACTTTCTCCATTTGGACAGAGAAGGAGCTACTGCCTTTTATGTGCCTTTCGCAAGATGAGTCTATGCAGCAGTGACTTCGTGTCTACTGCTCAGCTCCGGATCATTCTCTCTGGAGCTTTGGTCAGTGGGCCACTGCCCAACCAGTCCTTCGTCATCTCTCTCCTCTCCAGGCTGCCACGTTAACTTCAGGAGGGCTGGTCATCTCCCATTTTCTCCAAAATCTACATGACACATAGATAATAGGCTCTGGCAAAAATGAAACGTGTCTCCCTTTCTTTCAAGGAACACCTGGGTAAAAATCCCAGGACCCGTTCTTGTTCTCTCTGGTTCATATTTCTCTTTGCTCATTGGTAATGGGTTCCTCATGATAGCTGACCTAAATCCCTCTAGCTTTAAACACCCCGTCATTTAATTATTCACTTGACAAGCACTTTTTCAGTGCTCTCTGAGTGCAAGCACTGGGATAGACACCAGGTAAGTGAACTTCCTCTTCCCTACCTTCTTTTCCCCCATCATTTGGGGCTCCAAGTGAGCTAGGTCCAAACCTAAAACCCTAGCCAGGGCCACTTCTTGCTGGACATATTTGCTGAACATCTTCTAATTTCATCTGACTGACTTATCTCCCTCCCCAACCAGGTGGACTTGCCTTATCCTCCTAATTGGGAACACCCCATCTCTCCAGCCCCCAAACATACCCATTTGTCAGCTGCCAGCAGGTTCGGCTCCGCCTCTTTCATATCCTGTTTCTCTTGGAATCTCACTCCCTCCCCACCAGGTCCCTTTCTTTCAGACAACATTGATAATGAATAAATCTCTTTCAGAGTATAGAGTAGGCTGGCATGTCCATGGGGAAGGCCCAGCAGACACAGGCAGGATGGATGGCTGGTGGGAGCGGTGCCGTCGGCTCTAATTAACGTATTGTTCTCTGGGCTCCTGCAGGATTATGGATGAGCTCCACAAAGCGGCCCACTTAACCTGAGCATCCTAGTTCCAATCTATTACTTTCTCCACTGGCTTCAGCCTACAGTTTGGCCTGGTGTGGAGGCGCTGGGTGTGGGGAAAAAGCCAAGAGAGCTCAATTTGAGGAGCTCACCAAATGTACACGCCCAGCTTGCTTCTGCCTGATAGGTTAGCCTGCTGGAGGCCTGAGCTTATTCCCCCAGGAGGCAAAGAAAGTACCACCAGAAGTACCATGAGGCTCTGATTTGAGATCTAATCTACATAGTTTTGCAGGTAGACATAGAGGGTTACCAGCCAGCCAAGATGTGGGAGCTTCCTCCTGATTGCTGGCTGACAAAAAACAATCAAAACAACTTTAATGCTGGCCTCTAAGCCAAACCTTTCATTTGCATATCACAAAAAGTCTCTCATCTTCTGATCATGTTTTTCATGCATTAACTTTTGTCCGAGGGCTGTTCTATCCAAGGGTATGAACTGCAAGACTCGGCTCTCACCCTTATGAAGCTTACAATCTAGTGAAGAAGATAAGACACATTTGTAGAAGCCCCCAGCACCAAATGAGTGTCCAAGGGAAGTGCTGCATGGAGTACAAGTGCAGTGATGTGAGAATGAAGATGATCGTGGTGTTAAGAGAGGGATCTTAGAGGTGTAAACAGGTAGGCAGGAAGGAGAGCCACTCTGCAATAAGGATCCCCGGGGAAGGAAAAGGACAGCCTGGCAGTAGCATTTGCTGCGCTCAGGGGAGTCAAGCGTGAGCCATCTGGACAGGTAACCTGGGGGCAGAGTAGAAAGAAAGGGCTCCACTAAGGAGTTTGGGCTTTATGGTAGCAGAGGGTCATGAAATTGTCAAGCAGAAGAAAGACATGGTGAAAATCTATGTGTGCAATGGAGAAGATTAATCTGTCAGGGATGTGCAGGAAGGATTTGAAGAGGAGTTATGTGGTGCTGGGGAGACCAATCAGGAGGAGGCCATTGCAGCCTGAAAGGTCTAGAATGATGATAGTGGTGACAATCTCCAATTCACAGGGGAAAAAGGGTGGTGGTACTGAACCCCACAGACTTTCAGTGAGGTGCCCAAAGTTACACAGTTAATTATGGTTTGGTCTCGGCATGACTCCTAACCCAGGATGCTTTGTTCAAGGTCATATAATGAGAAATCAAGGTAGCTGCAGTGGCTCCGACCGGTTGTCCTGGCGCACAAGGAGGAGAGGCTACGCGTTCAAGGCCAACCTGGGCAAAATTGAAGAAAAAAAAAAAAAGGTGCAGTGGCTCATGCCTGTAATCCCAGCATTTGGGGAGGCCGAGGTGGGAGGCTGAGGCAGGTGGATCACAAGGTCAGGAGTTCAAGACCAGCCTAGCCAATATGGTGAAACCCCGTCCCTATTAAAAAAATTTAAAAATTAGCTGGGTGTGGTGGTGTGTGCCTGTAGTCCCAGCTACTCAGGAGGCTGAGGCAGAAGAATCACTTGAACCCGGGAGGCAGAGGTTGCAGTGAGCCGAGATCGCGCCACTGCACTCCAGCCTGGGAGACAAGAGCGAGACTTCATCTCAAAAAAAAAAAAAAAAAAGAAAAGAAATCAATTCCCAGCATCACCCAGGCATATGGTTATCAACTAAACTAAGCTACAATGGCCTAGGCTCACACATGGTTTCAGATGCTCCCCAGAACAGCAGGCTGCAAGGACTCTGCCCACTCCTGACATCACTAGCATCCTACTTAAGTTTCACCAGGAATGTCTGCCTTGCAGGACAGAGAAGGCTGACTCTCCACCCACCCTACTTCCAACCCTATGCCCAGTGGGAGCCATAGCAACATAGGAGATAGATGGGAGATGGGGGCCAGGAAGTCCTGGACTCACAATCTCTCTCTCCCACAACCTCAGACAAGCTACTTAATCTCTCTAAGGTAGATTAGAGAAGGTAGTGTTATCTACATACTTTATGGGGTGGCAGAGACAATGAAATGAGAGAGTGTACACAATAGAACAGATAGGAAACCAATAAATCATTAGATATTACTGTCATTATCATTACATTCTTATAAATGTCAGGGCTTCCAGACCTAGAACATAGATCAGGAGCAGTGTTCTGTCGGTAAAGCTTTATACTTCAAAGTAACATGCTAGAAGGGGAAGGCACAGCCACTGGAATGGAAAACCCAGCTCTGAGAACTGATTCCACTTCCATTAGCTGTGTAATTCTGGGTGTGGTGGAAACTGTCAGGGCTCACCGATATCTGCATTCACCTTTTCTTCCTGGACTACATTTCCCAGCCTCCTTTGTTGTTAGCTATAGCTGTGTGTTTCTATTCTAACCTATGGAATATGGAAAGAGGTGATGTGTGCTGCCTCCAGGCCTGGCCCAGAAAAAGCATTCCACAAACAACCCTCCCCTGCTCTTCTCCATTGATCAGCCAAATCAAGAAACTCCAAATACCTTGAGGACAGCAGAGTCACAGGGAGAAGCAGCCTGGGTCCTGGACCCTACTGCATCAAGAAGAGCAACCCTGCTGACTCTCACTGAAGAGGGCATATTTGAGAAACTCTTACTGAGCTAACCCACTGAGATCTGGGAATGTTTGTTACAGCAATTAGCCAACACTGACTAATACACTTGGCAAGATGCTCACCTTACCTAAGCCTCAGATTCCTCATCTATAAAATAGGCCCTTTAGCTAATACCTGTCCCATTTTTATTACAAGATGATTGTGATGATA
Organism: Homo sapiens; assembly: GCF_000001405.40. Taxonomy (NCBI): domain Eukaryota; kingdom Metazoa; phylum Chordata; class Mammalia; order Primates; family Hominidae; genus Homo; species Homo sapiens. The sequence continues at coordinate 116,187,748 of NC_000011.10, forward strand.
GAAACGGCATAATGAAGGAGGAAGCATTTCTCCAAACAGCCCAGGATTCGCAAATGTCCATTATTTGTACTGTTGGCATTGAGCAGTCCACCACTAATGTCATGCCATGAGCCCCTCATCCAGCTCCCTTGTGCTTTGAGCCCTGAGTGTGAGTCAGGACAGAGGCTACAGCAGGGATGGGCATCAGAGTTAGCTATCTCCTCCTACTTTCTTCTGGAGAAAAGATTCAAGTACTTTACCTACATCCTCATGCTCCCATTTCCCCATCCATACACAATGCACATCCATACAGAGATTTCCTAACTCCCCCGAATGAACCCAAGGCAGGTGCCAGATTGGTCCTGTTGAAGCCATTATACCCTAGTCTGGGATAAAGCAGGCACCCCTCAATCATCTTTACACTAAAGAAGCCACGGGGAGCTGCCACCCCATGTTTGATTCTTTCATTGCAAAAGTCAAGAGGGATGCAAATCATCAAGTACACATGTCCTCATGGCAGGAAGTAGAAGTTGAGAGTGGACACAGGTGACTGAAAAGAGACTAGCACTGCTCACAAAGGCACCCATGCAAAGGAATGTGCATATGCACCTGTGTGCATATGTATATGTGTAAATGTTTCAGATGTGTCAGTATGTCTGTATTTGAAAGGTACGTGTAGATATTTGTGAAAATCTATTTGAGATGTCCAAACACATGGGTTTGAGTGTGCATGTTTATGAGGTGTGCACATGTGTTTGTGTGTGCTTGAGGACTGTCTGTTTGTGTCTATGTAGATGTGTCTGAGATGATCACACACGTGTGTGTCTGAGAGGTGCATGTGTGTATAACTGCATGAGTGTGTTTGAGATGCGTGCATATACTTATGTGTGTCTGAGGGGTGCACGTGCATGTACCTATGTGGATGTGTGTAAAGTGTATGCACTCATATGCCTGAGGAATGCCTGCACATATACTTATGCAGATGTGTTTGTGGTACAAGCATACACGTGTGTTTGAGGGGTGCATGTTCATGTATATATGTGGATGTGTTACAGGTGCATGCATTTGTGTGTGTTTCAGGGGTGCCTCTGTGTACCTATATGGCTGTGTCTGAGGGATGTGTGTGTGTGTACTCTGTGGATGTGTCTGAGGGGTGTGTGTGTGTGTGAACTCCGTGGATGTGTCTGAGGGGTGTGTGTGCACTCTGTGGATGTGTCTGAGGGGTGCATGTGTGTGTGTACCTATGTGGATGTGTCTGAGGGGTGTATGTGTGTGTACTCTGTTAATGTGTCTGAGGGGTGCATGTGTGTGTACTCTGTGGGTGTGTTTGAGGTTCTCTCACTGTGTGTTTGTGCATATGAGTGTTGTGTCTTGGACAGGAGGTGACAGGGGAGAAAAGGTTAAGGGCCACCTTTCTGTAAGACCTTCAAGTCTCACTCCTAGAGGAGGAGTAACTAGAACCTCAGGGAATATCATCACTGTTAGGAATATTCTGGTCCCCCTTCCTAAATCTTTTTCCTGGAAATTTTAGAATAGGAACTTCTTCCCTCCACTCCCTGAAAAAGGCAGAACCATTTGCTTATTCATCTGCTCTTTCATGCATTCACTAAACATTTGTTCTGCTCCTACCTGCACCAGACCCTGAGCTAGGCTCTGGGCTCCAGCACCCTGGGCCCCTCAGCCCATCCAGCCTCTCCTTTCCAGCCCTGGTTGAGTGAAAAGTGTGCGAGAGAATTTTCTTAGAAACAAAGAAGGCTGGGAGTCCAGGTTAGTGGAAGAGTGGGGTAGGGAGGAGGTCTACAGCCCCTCCTGGGCAGCGAGGGGAACAGAGCTGAGCAAGCTCTCAATTCTCAGCCCTGCAGGAGGCCAAAGGAGAAGCAGCTCCCAGCATGGCGGGGCTGCCGGGTTAGTAACAAGCCCCTGACACAAGGGGTTTGCACAGGCGCACAAATGAAAGAAAATCGGAGGAGATGAAACCATACAAATTTCAGGTAATAGAAAGAGAGGAAAGAGATGTGCGTGTGGCCTGGGTCTCGGCTCAGAAAGGTCGATTCCAAGAAGAGGCTGCCCAACTTTATATTACTTTTCAGAAAGCCAGTGAGCTGAAAAATAACTCTCACCTTTTTTTTATATTATTATTCGTTTTTTTTCAGAGCTGCTTCTTCACATTGTTTTGTGCATCTCAGCTGTTCATTTCTCCCTGGCCTGATTTTATTTGGAGATTTGGCCTGGAGCCTGGAGGGGAAGATGGCCCTTTATTTCAAATTCTCAGCAGCCTTTGCTGGATCTGCTGAATCTCAGGAGCTGGGGGTGGAGGGGAGAGGGCCAACCCCCTTCTCTCATTCACAAGAGTCTGTGTGTTGTTCATGGTGGACATAGGTATGCATGAATGTGGGCATGTTTGAGTGGGCCTGAGTTTCCTGATAAGGCATGCACATGTGTCTGCACATAAGTGTGAATGTGCCCACTGGATTTGCGAGTGTGAAGGGATCTGTAAGCATGCAAGTGTGTGTGAGTGAGGTACTCTTAAGTAGGCATATGTGTGTGTATGGAGGACTTGTGAACACACATGTGTGCGTGTGTGTGTGTGAGGTAACCATGAGAGTGTATGTGGTGGGGGGAGCATGCATGTGTGCATGTGCATGAGTGCATGTGTGGACCCAGCCCCCCCACCAGGTGGGAGGGACCTAGTGTAGCTAGGTATTCTGTTTCACTTGAGTCTACAGTGGCAGTAACTGGCTCCCTCACCTTTTGCCAAGCTTGGCAAGGCGCAGATGTTGTTTGAACCAAGGAAAATGTCAGCCCCCAAGAGGAGCCCAGCTTTAACTAAGAGTGAGCCCCTAGGAAGCGTGGCAGTGTATTCTGGGTATTGTGCTTTGGATCCATTTGCATTTGCTCTTTCCAGTAACTAAGGGCTGGTGGGTGGTGTGAAGAAGGGGAGAACTTTTCCTAATTGCCCCCTGACCCTCCCAGCTTCCTGAGGCCCTGGTGAGTTGGCACCAAAGGATGCCATGGAGTAGCAAGAACAAGAGCCCTAATGAATCCCCACATCCGCACACCCCAAGGCAACCCAGAAGGATTCTTCTAGTAGCCTGAAGAGCCAGCTATTGGGTTTCAGGTGGGAGGCCTCACAACAGAATCTGGGTGCTCCAGGTTAGTCACAGTCCCAGGACAGACACATATGGAAAGTGCTCCTGGGGTTCAAGACTGAGTGTTTTATGGGGCAGGTGGCAGAATGTCTGAGCTTTGCTGGAGCCAGCAGAGGAGAGGATACAAGTGCCTTCCCTTCTTCGTTGCCAGCATGAGCCTTCTCCAAGCCCCAGACTTAGGGGCTCTATGTGATGCCCATCCCCTCCTGGGGGCGCCCAATGCTATGCAAGAGGACAGCACTTACAAAGGGCTCCTTGCAAGGGAACTGCGCCTCCAGGGCCCCATCACCCCAGGGACTAGGATTCATTAGGACCACCCCACCATTTAAGCAGATGGGGAAACTTTGGCTCAGAGAAGCTAAGTTACTTACCTGGGGGCACACAGCCAGTAAGCAGAAGAGCCGAGTGCAAACTCTGCCTGAGTCTGTCTCATCAGAGGCAACCGATATGCAGGGCTCCCTCCTAGACCAGGCAAGCTGGGAGGAGACAGGGCTCAGGGAGAGTAAAAAGGAGAAATGCTTTAAGCTTGGATTTTACCAGGTCACAAGCAGACCTGGGCCCAGCCCCAGGGAAGCCCAGTGGCTGGTGAAACAGGACCTTCAGCAGGACTGAAGTCACGGGCGTCTCAGGCGCAGGAGGCCCACCAAGGTGCTTTCCAGTCTAATACTCAGTTGCTGTCATCAATCTATATCCGCTGAGTGCTGAGGGAGGCAGTGGGGTGTAATGAAAAGATTCTGTGTGACCATGTTCAAGTCACTTAAACTCTCAGCATCTGCAAAATGATGATGCAGATGGCAGCCTCATTCACAGGGTTGGGGTGAAGTTGGAATTTGCTGATAGGTGTGGAAATACCTTATGAGTTTCCAGGCACATGGCAGACTGGGTATATTTCTCTTCTGCTTCAGTGGGCCAGGGTAGCCCATGGGTGAGCTTCACTAGTGATCCCCCCTCTGCTCAGCCCCTGCAAACAACTCACCAACATCATCACCATCAGAAGCTGGTGGGGAGGGGGTGGGAGCCATGGAGGTCAACTCAGTCAAGGCAATGCCCTGCTGTGGGCAGTCCCTGGTCCTTGCACTCGCTTTGCTGATTCTATTGTGTTACCAGCCAGGAAACCTCTCTCCCTATCCTCTCTGTTCAGGACCAGAAGCAACCGACGGCCACATCACAAAGGTTCCAGTTTGCCCTCCAGAAGGTCTCAGAGAGAGGATGGCCTAGGGAGCCTGCCTTTCCCTTAGCACCCTGGACCTCTACGCACCAAATGTGACTCTTCCATTTGGCAGAAATCCCCTAATCATAACTGACATTTTCAAGCTCATTATCATTGAAAAGCATCTTTGCAGCATCTCAAGATATTCAGGATATGGGTTTGGGCTGCAAAGAACTTGGGTTCATTGGGTGGTGTTGGCCTGTTCCCTGCTATGTAAACTGACTGCAGTGATTCCCAACCCAGAGGGATGTTGAAAGAATTAAATTAGGTAATAGATGAATTCATGTGACCCAGCAGCCTAATTAGTCTAAAATGAACATGATAGCACTAGCTGTGTGACCTTGTGCAAATTACTTAAACCCTCTGTGTCTCCATTTCCTTATCTGTAAAATGAGGCTAATAATAGTATCCACCTCATAGGGTTAAATGAGTATTAAATGAGGATTAACAGAGGATTACATCAGTTAATATTTATAAGGCACTTAGACGAATACCTCCCACGTGGTGAGTGCTCAACTAATTATAATCATAATACTTACTAGAATTGTTGTTGCCATCACAACTACCCTTTGAAATAAAGAGTATTGCTATTCCATTTCACAGATGAGGAAACTGAGGTTAGAGGGCTCAGTCCCTCGCCCAGGACTTGCACTCTAGACTTTCTGGTGCCAGGTGAGGCTTCTTCACCCTCCCCTCCTCCAGTGGCTTCAGTGGCCTTTCCTCTATGGGAGACTGTCCAGGAGGACTCTGCCTCCCTCAGTGTTCCTCACAGCCCTGCCAAGACATCCTCCCGCTGCCACCTCCTGCTGAAGCCACCACCATCCAGATGGATGCCTGGGTCAGGCTTCCCCTCAGGAGGGAAGGGAGACAGGGACATCTGCTTTCTCCCCGAGGCAGCAGCCGCAGCTGAAAGGGGCCACCAGGCTGGCTTGGAATGACTCCTGCGCCAGCCAGGGCTTTCCAAAACCCTCATATCAATACTCGTCCTCTGGATCTCTGTCCTTTGGCGGATCAGAGGCTGGAGGGTCAGAGCTGACACTGCGGGCGTACACAGGTGTGTGTTGGGGTGGGGAAGGTGGAAAAGTGGGGGCTCCTCTTTCCAAATCACCCCCAGGCGCTCAGCTGCAACTGGAGCCCTCGGTGAGGGTCTGGATGACACAGCGCCTTCAAAGGCGTCTCCTGGGGGGGTGGGTTGGGGGGGTCCTTCCTCAGCCGCCCCCACGCACCCCCAACACACATACGGGCACGCGCGCACACACACACACACACCGCACACAGAGATGTACACAGAGGAAATGATCAAGCGCAAAGAATCCTCATGTGCTACTTTATATGGCAAATAATTGAACCGTACCCTTGTGGTCTCAGTGAGGAATTTCATCCATATTCATGCCTCGCGTTTCCTGTGGAAACGAATACGCCAGACATTCCAGCACAACGCGGGAGCAAGAAATCTTAAGCGCTAATTCAGCGTCTCTCCATTCCCCATTCCCGGCTCCGGCTCCGGGGAGAGCAGATTTAGATAGTGTCTAACCAGGCGGGAGGCAGCGCGTTCACCACGGAGCCTTGTCCATCCTTCTTTGTCCCTGCTCTCCCTTTCTCTGCCTTTGTCTCCTTTCTCCTTCCTTTACTCTCCCGCCGTCTTCTGCTGCTTCCCCTGCCTCTCTTCTCTCCCCCTACTACCCTATTGCCTCCCCTCCTGCCCCCTTCCTCGGTCCTCTCCCCGCAGCTTTCCCCCTGCCTGCACTCCCTCCTCCCTCCTCGGCCTCCCAGGCCTCCTCCTCCAGCTCCTGCAAAGTTCCGGTCGGAGCTTGGAGTTTCACTTTTCCTGGTCTGGGTTTGATGGGGAGGGGGTGCGGCCCGGGTGCTGGGAAGCCGGTTTGGCGAGTGCGTGTCCATGAATACCAAGCATGTTAATAGGTTAAAGTAAATCTAAAGTAACATTTGAAAGCAGAGAGATGAAAGCAGATCACAGGCCAAAGATCAAACAATCTAGAGCCACTTCTAAGCCTTTTACAGCTGGAGATTATTAGCATTTGAAAGTGAAGAGCATTAGAGGGAGAGAGGGAAAAAAAGTTGGAAAGAATTTTTGTTGTGGAGATAAAAACTGAAATAAATGACAGTGGAAAGGGAAAACTAGAAAGAGGCTGACTTATTTAAAAAACCACGTTAAGACAGTGGAAGGGGGGGATACCTGTCATTATATTTTTAGCTCATCAACCAGCATTGGGCTCAGTGCTGAGTGAGGCTTGAGGCTGCCCCGCCTTCCTCTCTCCTCCTCCCTTCCTTGCCTTCTCTGGAGGAGGTGTCCAGTTCTGCCATACTCTCTCTTCCTTCCTCTGGGTGGGGAGTGTGGCAAGGTCGAGGGGACAGGCACTGGGGCTGAAACCAGGCCCTTCCTCTTTGCTGCCAGGCACCCCAGGACCTTCAGACCATCCCCTCTGGGAGCTGTCCAGACAATCTTTATAATCCTAGAGTATTTGAGTTGGTGCAACCAAGAGGTTATCCTACCTGTGAGGTTATCCACCTGTGATTCTTTTTCTGCAATCACAGGCATAATCCCCCTCCAAACCACAACTGCAACCCCCAGATCCCACCCAGCCTACTTATTTTACAGAGGAGAAGACTGAGGGCCCCGCCTCCAGTGCAGTAACATCGTTAAATAAGAGAGCATATAAAACCTCCCACCTGCCATACTTTTAATTTAGCTGGTATCTATTTCCTAAGACCTCATATGTGCTGGGCACTCTGCTAGGTGCTGGAACAACCATGCTGAACAAAACAGGCAGGGTCTCCATCTGTGGGACTCTTGCAGGCTACTGGGGGAAGCAGATGATAAATAAAGACTTCAGGTGAAACAATGGGAATGGATCCCAATCATTTATCACAGTTCCCTCCTGAAATTACACTAACATGAGATTCAAGCCACTAAAACCCCATCAGAAAAAAGGAATGGAAGAAATGACAACAGCAGAGGAAAAATGTCTTCCAATTTGGGGAAGACGAAAAGCAAATGCAAGAGTGACAACTTGGCCAGGCACAGTGGTTCACGCCTGTAATCCCAGCACTTTGGGAGGCCAAGGCGTGTGGATCACCTGAGGTCAGGAGTTCGAGACCAGTCTGGGCAACATGGTGAGACCCTGTCTCTACTAAAAATACAAAAATTAGCCGGTTATGGTGGTGTGTGCCTGTAATCCCAGCTCCTCAGGAGGCTGAGGCAGGAGAATCGCTTGAACCCTGGGAGTGGAGGTTGCAGTGAGCCAAGATCGTGCCACTTCACTCCAGCCTGGGCAACAGTGCAAGACTCCGTCAAAAAAAAAAAAAAAAAAAAAAAAGATTGACAACAGACTTAACAGAATGAAGGATGTTTAAATTGTCAGGCCTGCGGAGGGAGGGGTCTAAGAAAGATGATATGGCCCCTGTGAATCCCCAGGAAACCAGAGGGAGTCAGGGACACTGGCCATGGCAGAAGGTAGCCTGAGGCATTGGTTAGACCTCCAGGTTCCCTTATTCAGCCTATGCAGTCAGGCGAGAACCCTCCTCCTAACCTGGGTGGGTTGAGGGGCAGGGTGGGTGACTTAGCCTCTGAAGGAAATGAACAAAAGAGGACTGGAGGATGCCATGCCCATCGGCAGGTGGGAGTACAGTACCGGACATAACATAGGAAGATGAGGCTGAGTTCCACATCCTGGGCAGAGAGACCCTCAGCCCCCTTCCCCAGTTGTACTTTCGTAAAGGGGAGCAGCCAGGATATCACACAACTCCCATGCCTTACCCCAGGCTAAGGCAAGAGAATTCTTCTCTGAAAAAATGGAATGACCTATGGAAGTAGACAACAGTACTGATTTGGGGGAGTCCTCCGAAGAAAAAGTCAGCTCCCTGTCCATTTACCTGACAATGCAGCTCACCAGTCATGGGATGCATTCATGCCCGTAGAGCTGCCAATCAGGTTGTTTTTTTTTTTTTTAAATGGCCCACACTCTGAAATATGGACAACTAAGGATCACCAGACGTTTTCAGAAAGCCTCTGCCCATAAGACCACACAAACAAATAGGGGGAGAAAAGGAACTTGGAAGAAACAGAAACAAGGTCAGAAGTAGAAGAAAACTTCAAAAACATATATCATAAATACCTTCAGAAAGATAAATGCAGACATTTCACCTGAAGGAAGAGCAGGAGAAAGAAAATAGACAGATAGATGATAGAAAGATAAAAATAGATTTACACTACCACATATAAAATCAAAGCACAAGAAATAACTCTTGGCTATTAAAAATGATTGCCAAAATTCAAAATTTAATAAAAGCTTTGAAAGATAAAGTAGAGGAAATTTCCCCAAAAGTGGAACAGAAAGAAAGAGAATGAGAGACAGAGAAAGACAGACAATACGAGAGAAAATGAGAACATTAAAGCATCAGTTCAAGAGGTCCAGCATTTGACCATTAAGAATTCTAGAAAGATTCAGAGAAAATGGAAGGGATAATTATTGAAGAAATAATAGAAGAAAATTTCCCTGAACTGAAAGATGTTGGTCTGCAGATTGAAAAGGTCACTAAAGGTCTAACACGTGATCATGATGTCTCAGACGCCAGAGATGAGAGGCATCTAAAACCCCAGAAAGAGGCAGGGGCAGAGCCACTCTCAATAGATTGGAGGGCAGTTTCCCCGCAAAAAAAAAAAAAAAAAGTAAGTTACAGATTATTTGATGCACTTGCTCATGTGGCAAATAATATTGTTAGAGGTTTTCCAGTTTTCCAGTTCTGTTGAATCACAAAGAAAAAAGAATGAGACATGCATCAAAAAGAAAGCAAGTCAAAAACGAGGGAAGAGTATCAAGTAGTACAGGAAAGGAAGCATGATCATTGTATGACACTGTCTCAGGAGTGAACAGCTTTCCTTATTGTTGTATAAGAGAATATTGACTTAATTTTTAAAAGTGTGACATCAGTACATTATGGGAAGAAAAGCAGAGCTATGAGCTAAGGCTCATGCCATAATAGGAAGTCAATAGATAAGGTCAAAAATTGTTTTGTCAAAAAATAGAGTCGAGAGAGAGAGAGAACAAGAGAATGGTGGCTGCTTGCCTTATGTGGGTAGCAGTTGGCATTTATTGAGAAGGTATGTGAGGGAACTCTGTGGGGTAATGGTAAAGGTCTGAGTTTTGGTGGCGGTTTGGCTCGACAGTTAGATGCATTTGTCTGAATTCATGGACTGGTACACTTTAGATCTGCACACTCCACTGCATGCAGAATTTACCTAAAATAATTTAAAATAAACTGCAAGCAAATATGGAACTCTAATGATATGCACAGCGAAGAATTTAGGAATGAGGTGGACTCATATCTGCAACTTACTTTGCAATGCACCAGATAATAAGATGCATTGATTAATGGATGGAAGGATGGTAAATTAGAAAGATATGTGATAGAACAAATATAGCAAAGTGTTAAGTGTAAAAGTTAGGTGGTGGAGGCCAGGTGTGGTGGCTCACACCTGTAATCTTAGTACTTTGGGAGGCCGAGGCAGGCAGATCACCCAAGATCAGGAGTTCGAGACCAGCCTGGCCAACATGGTGAAACCCTATCTCTACAAAAATAATTAGCCAGGAATGATGGCAGGTGCCTGTAATCCCAGATACTCAGGAGGCTGAGGCGGGAGAATCACTTGAACCTGGGAGGTGGAGGTTGCAGTGAGCCGCGATCGCACCATTGCACTCCAGCCTGGGCGACAGAATGAAACTCCATCTCAAAACAAAAACAAAAACAAAAAAATTAGGTGGTGGGTTTAAGGGTATTCACTGCAAATTCTTTAAACTTCTTTATATATTTGAAATTTTTGTAATAAAGTATTAGGCGAAAAAAGCCGAAGTAAGTTGTTTCAATTAAGGGGTCTAAATACAAGAGAAACAGCCCAGAGTTAAAGGTGGCTGTCTCTGGTGGGCAGAAAGAGACATGATCAGGGCCTGATGGATTTCCCCAAGCAAAACCTCATGACGTTATTTGATTTTTAAGTTCTGTGTATATATTGATTTTTTAAAAATCTAATTCAAAAAAGAAAAGTGAACTTATTTATTGATATGTATATCAAAACATGAAACCTATTTACACAAAAGTATACAGTTCCATAATTTGGGAGGTGCTATGAAAAACAAGATCCAGGCATCACAGCAGTGAGAGGAATGCCAGGGGCTCCCCAGGACTGAGAGTTCTGGAAGGCAGCTCAGAGCTCCGTGGAGCAGAGGCAGTGCAGTTCCAAGCAAAAGGAAGAGCAATCACAGAGGCCCAAGGTGGGAATTAAGAGAAGGCCCCTGTGTACTGGAGTCAGAGGAGGAGGAGGAGGAGGAGGAGGAGGAGGTGGAGGAGGAGATGAGTAAGAATGGGCCTCTACACCAAGGTGACCAGCAGGATTCAGGGCAGAGGAGGGCTCATCGGCCATTTGCTTAGTGTAATTGCTGCTCTTTAGTCTTCCACCAGTTTTGCTTTGTTTTTATAAAATCTGTGCTATGGAAACCCAGAAAAGGGGTTTCAGGCCCTCATCTGTGTGTTCAAATTACAAAGGTTGGAGAAAGGGCAGCAGGACCTGGCCTTGGCACCGGAAGCAGGGGGGCTCCTGCAGGGGGCTCCCTCTCTCTGCCCCACTATCACCTGCATCCCTCTCTCAGGTCTCCTCTTCTGCTAACCCTGGAGGTCCTGCCATTTGTTTTAACAAGGGCCACTGTTGCCTCTCACATTTCCACCCACCATGCAGGTTCGTCGCCTGAAGGGGAGTTGGGCATAGAGTCCAGGAACATCTATCTCCTTGCCCTTGAACAACACTGAGGTGCTCATCTCCAGCAGTATTTTGCAGGGTCCCTGTCTTACCCTGGGTAGAAAGAAGTTGGAGGGGCAGATAGGGCATCCTAGCTCAGAGGGAAAGGGGAATTAGAAAAGAGAGGCATGGGAGGACAGGGAGAAACTGAGCCCAGTCATGCTGCAAGGCCAGAGTCTTCCAGTCAGGAAAGTAGACGGGACTGGGGCATCTGAGGCCTTCCTGGGGATGGGAAAGTGCTGGGGACCAAGGGTAGGGGGGCCATTTGCCTCTGGGGAAAAAGTCTGGAGGTACCAGCGCAGGCTGCGGGGGTGCTGAGAGAGCTTCCCAATGGAGATGCCGGGAGTCTGGGGAGCCTAATATGAGAGACAGCCATGCACCTCTGGCTGGCAGATGCCTGCCCCCGGTGACAGTGAATGGCACTGAGCAGGGACGCCCAGGGCTCTGGCACAGAGCCGGCAGCTGCCACTGCAGAGGTTTTTATGCTAATGCCACTTGTCAAGCCGTCAACGCTCAGGGCAGCTGGACCTGGCAGGGAAGCAGCTGGGTCCCCTGGGTTTTGCCTCTCCTGAGCCTCTCCCAGGTCCTCAGAGACGGCCAGCAGGAGCTCAGAGCAGACTCTCCAGCAGAGCTGGAGGGAGAGGAGGGGAGACACTGGGGGCAGCCGTGGGGGCTGCAAAGGGGAGAGGGGACCATTTGGCCTCCCCAGGGCTTCACTAGAGGAAGTTCCATCCTCCCCTAAAATTCCACCCATTCTAAAAGTGAGACCTCAGCAGCCAGAATGGATGGTACAACTGCATTTTCCCTGTAGGAGAGGAACAGAGAATTCATTCTAGATCATTCAGTTGAGCCCCAGGGGCCCTGCCTGGGGTATCTGAGGGGAGGCCACACATTGCAGAGAGGAGAGCCCAGGGCAGGGGAGATAGAGATCTGAGTCCTAGTTCTGGTTCTGTCACTCTTACTGTGTGACCTTGGACAAGTAACTTTGCCTCTGCAGACTTCAGCTTCCTTCTCTGGAAAGCAACTGTGGATGGTGGTGATTCAGATGTATTCATTTATTAAGCATCTATTCACTGAGTAATTCTCATGTGCCAGGAAGCCTGTTAAATGATGTAGAGACGAACTGACACAGTTCCTGATTTCAGACGGATCGCATTCTGGTAAGGAGAGGGGGACATTCTTCAGATCTAATGGTCCAGGACTTGGGTTCGAGCTATCTGGGAGGTCCCAGGTAAGGGTATGCTTCACGGGATGCGAGCCCAGCATGGAGGTGATAGTATCTGCCCCAGTCAGCGGCGGTGGCCCCACCTGGGCGTGGGGTCTGCAGGATTCCTAAGAATGACTTTGAGAGCAGTGTGGCAGGCAGGATCTGTGGTGAAATCTGCTTTCCGGCCTGAGCATTGGTGGCCTGTGAAAGTGCTGCACTTAGGTTGGGAGACACATCATTAGTTCCCAGCTCTGTTCCTCAGGAGCCCAGAGACAGAGGCAGAGTCAAAGTAAGAGTAAGGACTCTTCCTGTGTCAGAGTTTTGGTTTTTCTCTTGGTAAGATGGATCCCATTCATCTTGAGAACTCGCTGCTTCTAAAGGGCCGAGCTCACTGCTGACTCTTTCTGGGGAATTGTCCTGCTGGGAGGTGCCGTGTCCTAAGGAGGGAGCCAGCCAGGGTGCCACGGCAGGTGCGACCCTCAAGAATGCCTGATGGCTGCAAGGGTACGCTTGCTCATTACCCACCCAGCTGCCCACCGGCACTCCCTGCAATGTGTGGGCAAGTTTCCTGTAATTGGCTTATGGATGGTTCGCTTGGTGTTGTGTCTGGCCATAAAATATACTCACTTAATAGTCTCCAGGGAACTGCGAGGCCTTCCAGGCTATAACTCCCAGGCCCCAGCCCTCCTGCCTGGCGTGACACCTTGTTTGGTGAATCTGATTTGATTTTGATCTTAAATCTGCCCTAAATGTCTCAGAGCAGTAGCCACTGGGAGGGGGTGGGAGTGAGGGAGGGAGAGAGGGTTGCTGAGAATTATGACCCAGTCCCATGAGGAAAAGACAACCGCTCAGCACCAGCCCCTTCTAAATCACACCTGAGGAGACTCCCCTGAATCCGGAGGGCATGCCGGGAGAGCAGAAGCATGGAGGCTCAGGCACCCCTCACTCTGCACAGGCCTCTCAGTAACTGCTATGACCTGGACATTCCTTCATCCCTGCCCAGCAGTTCTTTCCTTCCTTTGCAAGACCCTGAGAAGTGGTGCCCAGCAGCTACCGTATTACAGGGGGTGGGACCCCCATGGCGATAAGGGCAAAAAGCACCAAGGTTATAGTCCTCCTGAGAGAGGATGAGAGTCACTCAGGTGTTCCTCTGTGACCCCACCTCTTTTTCTCTGAGGAAGGGGTAGGCAAAGAAAAATGGAGAAGCAGGATTGCTGCGGCTTCCTCTCCCAGTAGAGCAGGTCACACCAGCTGCTGGCCAGAGGTAAGGTCCCTAGTCACGTCTATGTGCAGAGTGCAGAATGTCTTCCTACTCCAGAGCTATGGACAACTAAGGATCACCAGACATTTCCAGAAAGCCTCTGCCAATAAGACATACAACCTAATAGGAGGAGAAAAGGAACTTGGAAAAAGCAGAGACAAGGTCAGAAGTAGAAGAAAACTTCAAACTCGAAGTTTTGAATAACAGTTCATGTATTAGAGCTCTAGCATAACAGCTCCTCGTGTAGAAAACCCTTCCCAAACCTCCTTGGAAAAAGTGAGCCCTCCCTTCTCTCTCTTCTTTTAGCCTTTGGGTCAAAAGACTGTTTAATGCGGAGGCTGAGGGCCTGAGCTCTGAAGTCAGACTGTGTAGGTTTGAATCTGGATTCCACCACTTACTGTGTGACCTTAGACAAGTTCCCTAACCTCCCTGTGCCTCAGTTTCCTTAACTATAAAGTGCAGATAATGAGAGTGCACACCTCTTAGGATCATGGTGAGAAGTATATTGTAAGAACTTGATAGATGGAAGCTGCTGCGCTCTTCTTTAGCATTTATTACCTAGCAGGGTGGAGCAGTGAGGAGGGGTTCAGGAAGTCTGCAGAATGATCACTTTCCATTAGGCCATGTCTTTTTAATTTTTCCAAGACCTAGGAATAAGTGAATGAATGAATGAATGAATGAATGAATGAATATCACTGTGCATGACAGTATGAGGGATGCAAAGACCCCAAGGCATGGTTTGTGCCCCCACAGCACTTACACTCTGGGGAGACAGGACACCCATCACAGAGAGAATGTTTGGTGGCCCGGATCACAGATGACCACTAGGACCAGGGGTTCTGAGGGGGGAGTGACCAGATGTCTGAGGTTTGGGAGGGCGCAGACACCCTCCCCCCACCAACATCACAGCTCTTTAGGGAGCACTTAGGGACACTGAGGCTCAAAGGGCCACCATGCAAAAGAGCAGGGCACTACAAATCACTCCGTTTACTCTAAATTAACCCTTCTAAGGTTCTACTTAGAGTTCAGATTTCCTAGGTCACTTTGATCCCTGGGTATTAATCAATGGATCATTTAGTGTTAGTGGCTGGGATTCGAAAAAAATCATAAAGCCATGGTTTAATTTTTTTTCTTTAGAACTAGAGGAGCTTTAGAAACCAACTAACATAACTCCTTCATTTTATAGAAAGGAAAACTAAAGCTCAGAGAGATAAATGGCCTTCCTAAGTCTTCTGAGCTTCTCTCCCAAATGTTTCCTTGATAGTTTGCCATTGTATCCTTAGCCCCATTGTTGGTGGGGAGAAACAGGGATAATTTTCCCAGTTTTAGGGGATTGAAATAAAGAATTGACACCAAGATTGGTGAAATGCCTCATCCAGTCACACTACAGACCAGCAACAGAACTAATCAAACTGGGGGTTCTGACCCCCAGGCAGGCCTCTCCCCAAAAGATCACCTGCTCCCCTCCCTGTCCAACCCCAGCTGGCCCCTACTGTCAGAAAGACGCCGAACCTATGATCTGTCCATCTGGAGCCTTCTTCCCAGCGGGAGCTGAGCACTGTGCAGGCCAAGATGCTCCTGCTGGGGTAGAGGGAGAGCCCCTACCCTGAGCTCCTGACCAGAGCTGGCCCTCCACACACCCTCTGTCAACTGCCCCTCTCAGCAGAACACACCACAGCCCAAGAAGGAGCCTCGAGTGTCAGGGAGGCTCCAAGCTGGTATCAAGAGGATTTTCATAAACACAACTGTCTGTGTCTGGGCAGCCATGTGGAAAGTTGCAATATAACCCACTGATGTCATGTGGCAGGGGAAACAAGATTTCCAGAGGCAGCGTGCTGCTCTCCCAACCTCCAAATGGAGCAGAATCCCAGACAGGCTTCTGAAAGAAAGGGAAGAAAAAACCCAGCAACAAATTGCAAAACAAAACCTTGGTTCCAAGGTCTTGAGGGGAAGGGAGGGAAGAAGATGGGGAAGATCTGGAGTCTCCAGGGAGTATGCTGGGCTGGGGCCCCTGGATCTCCCTCCAGGGCTCCATTAGAAAGGCATGGGCAGTCTGGGGTGGAGGAGCTGGTGTGCACTCACCTTCTTTGCCATCTAATACCTCAGATCCCTGCACTTTCAGAAAGCACCTTGGTCTTCCTCTTATCTCAGGCAGGATCTGTTCTCAGCTTGGACCAGACACCCACTCTCCTAGCCTTTAAGGACTCCAGGTTTCAGATTTCTGTAGCCCACTCTACCAGCAATTCTGGGCTCACATCTAAAGTCCAAGCAAATTCATCCTTCTGCAATTTAAACATAGCACTGGTCCTCTAGAGAAGTGGGACCCTGGCAGAAGAGGGGAGTGGTGTGGAGGTGTGAGGGTATGTCTTTCATCTCCTCTGTTGCTGTCTTGTAGGATATCACTTCATTTCTCCCATCTCTGCTGGCTCAGTCATTTAACTTCTCAGGGCTGCAGTTCTCTCATTTTTTAAATGGAAAAGAAGGAAAAATATTTAAGGTTGCTTTTAGCTCAAGAAACCTATTATTTTACGGCTGTTTACAGGTAAGGAGCAGTAGTAGAGTAACACAGATTACATAAAGAATATTTTGTGGCTTTATTAATGTGTCTTGGGAGCTTTTAATTATAAAAGTAATCATTCTAATTGCAGAAAACTTGGAAACCAAGAGTAAACACTTAAAAAAAAAAAAACAAACCACCTATTTCCCAAGTACAACCCAGAGATAATCTCCATTAACCTTCTGGAAAGTGTTATTTTAGCCTTTAGTCTTTGTATAACGATATATTTTTAAAGAAAAATATTATAATATAGTAATACTCTGCAGTCTGTACCTTAATCACTTTGAATTGCATGGTAACTATTTTTCTTACACCAAAATCCTTCTATAATATGGCATTTTCTTATATTTACACTTTTTCTCATGCTTTTTAATATTCAGGCAAATCACAAATGAGAAGAAATGCTAATGGTCAATAAACATAAAAACCATTAAGCATCAACAATAATCAAAGACAAGAAAAGAGATATTGTTTTTACATATCAGATTAGCAGAGATTCTTTTAAAGAGCTGACAAAAATCTAGTTTGTTACCTAGATCAAGAAATGGACACTCTTTTGCAGGGCTGAAGGGTAAGAACCTATCTATCTGGAAGATAGTTTTATGTATCAAAATATAAAATATGCATGATTGTTTACTTAGCAGTTCTATTTCTAAGAATTTACCTGATGGGAATAATTGCTTAAGTATGAAAAAATATAACTACGAGAATGTTTGTTGAAGCATTATTTATAGTAGCAAAATTTTAGTGACAACCTAGATGTCAATCAATAGGAAAATGCTTCAGACACATACAAACAGCAAAATAGTATGCAATCATTAAAAATGATAATGTAGCTTTGTACTTATCGACTTGGAAAGATGTCTTTGACATCTTATGGAGTAAAAAAAAAAATCAGATAACAGAATAACATGCAAAGTCTGAACCCACTTTACATAAAGTTATATGCACAAATCTATAGGTGTCTTACAGAAAGAAATGCCTGAAGCATTGCTGGCTCCAGATAGGAGGGGCTTAAAGGCTGCAATCTGGTTAGAACAGGGGAGTGGGGGTGGGGAGAGGATTTGGGGGTCTCACTTTGAAGCTGCATTTGCTAACAAACCAATCAAGTTTTTTTTTTCCTTAGAATGCATGTTCATTTAGGATGGTGTGGAGGGACACTGATGGAGATTATGAATACCTCCATCTGCCAACAGATGTTAACCAAAATGTTAATAGTGATTATCTCTTAGAGGTAGAATTTGGGATGTTTTAATTTCCTCTCTGAACTTTTAGTTATTTAACTATTTTACACAAATATTTTGTAATATTTGTTGTTAGGAAAGGCTCACAGTGCTGGTTTGTATGTTGTTTTGTTGTTGCTGGTTTTTGTTTTACAATATCCTGATGGCCTATATTTCCGCATCTTGCCTGTCAACCTCTGCAATCTGATTAACTTTTCTCATCTTGCTGTTCCCCTTCCTCCCAGAACTTCAGTTCTCTCCTTCTGGGTTTGGGGTATCTGGGTCATTGCAAACCTACAGGAAGCTCCAGATTCAGAGCCTATAAGCATCACAATCCCCAAACTTGCCTGCCACCACCACTGTCAGAAGGATGGTGTGCAAAACTCTTCTCTCTGGGCTGACCAAGGGCACTTCCTAGGCTTTGGTTCTTGTTCCCTCACCTCCCTCTGCCACCTTCTTTCAGATTTTCCCCTTGGATTCTGATTCTACCACTGAGCTCTCATCAGACACCGAAGTCCCTGCGATCAATTCTGCTCCCGACCTCAACTCTGTTAATCCTGACAATACCCAACCTGGCATCTGGCCTTGTTTTGTCTTTCATCTTTGGCTTTGCTGCACCCTAGCAGTTTCAGGTCACCCCCCACTGCCCTAGGTGTGACTACGCTTTATCCTACTTGATCCAACAGTTCAAAAAACATCTATCGAGTGCTCATTATGTGCACGGCCCCTGGACTGGGTCTTGTGGACTTGGAAACTGTGACTCTAGGTCTCTACCCTCGTGGGGAGCTCAGTCTGTCAGAGGAGACTGAGAGATGGCTACTATGCTGGCAGCTGACACTGAGAGTTTCTTATTGCCAGACACTGTTTTAAATGCTTTGCATGTATTATCTCATTTAACCCTCACAATAACCCTATGAAGTAAGTACTATTGTTATATGCATTTTAAAGACAAGGAAATTCAGGCATAGAGAATAACTTCTCCAAGGTCACAGTGAACTAAGTGGCAGACTGGGGATTGGAACCCAGGTACTCTGGCTCCAGAGGCATCATGTTCATGTTCTATGAAAAAGTGAAACCACCTGCTGAGCACTGTGATAGACATTTATCCAAAGAGCTGTGACAGTTCAGCAAGATGAGTTACGCCTTCTCCTGGCTTTCAGACTCTTGGCTTCTTGCATGAGACCCAGACACATAGCCAGTTTCCTCTTTACTGCTCACCAACCCAACATTTTTCTTCTATCTGTGTTCTGGTGGGACTTAGACCCAGCATCTATTCTCGGTGGCCAGTGCCTGTCAGGCTGGCCTCCAGTCCTGTGTCCACCTGGGCTGAACTGGAAGGCCCTGACTCTATGTCATTTCAGACCCAGCAGGCCAAGTGCCTGGTCCCCATCCCAGTGCACAGTATTGGACCTAGAGCTTTCCACTTGGGTCAGGACTTCCTCCCAGTGCTCCATTGGCCTTCAATTGAGGAAAGGACTCGTGAACAGTCCCCCATGGGCCTTCTGCTTCCACGGGCAGGACATGTTTTCTGCAATAAAGGTGTTCCAGAAATGCTTGGTTCAAACTAAAGGTTTGTAAATTGAATCCTATTCAGAATATATTGGAATAGTCAGGTAATGATACAGTAGCATTGAGTGCTTACTATATACCAGGCACTTTGCTTGTAATATTCACTTAATTCTGTAAGGCAGGTACCATTTTTATTATCCCCGTATAAACAATGAAGAAATCAAGCCCAGAGAGTTAACAGAGTTGCCCAAGGTCACACAGCTAAGGAGTAGCAGAGCTGACTCCTGGCTCGGCACTCAGTCTCAAGCCACCACTCTTGTGTGTCTTCTCAAAGTAGTACTCAGTGAATCCTTAGGCACACAATCTCTTGGAGACATAAATTTTCCAAGTTCCAGTTTCTAACTTTTGTCAAAGAAAGAAAGAAAGACCTCATTTCCTTGGCTCTATCCTCAGCCTCTGGGCTGGGGTGAGAGGCCATCTATGAACCCTGCTGGATGATGTGTAGGGAAGACAGTAGAGGGTGCTCACCACCATCCTCCAGGAGTGGGGACTCTAGAGCTTCCCCTTCCTCCACTGCAGAACGAGCATGGATGTGTGCACAAACACATACAGACATGCATATGCACATTCATGCACACACACATACAGACACAGACATGCATGTGTACACACATGCACACACATGTGCGCTCTTCTAGTCTAGCTCAGGACTGCTCCTTTGACCAGAGCAGCTGCCTGGGCACATGGGACTGAGCCACTGGGAGCCTGGGCAATTGAGAGCAAGGCAGCTGAATAAAGGCAGCTAATACTATATCTATGATACGCAGCTTTGGTTGTCATAAACACTGCAGCTGAATATTCCCGCGGGGACCTCCTAATGGAGGAGATGGATACACTCCAGAACAACCCCAGGGGCTTCACACGCAGCTCTGACTAAACTCCCTATAAAATCAATCCTGCCTTTCCACCAGTTGTGACAGCGTGTTCTAATATTAATCCACTCTCCTTGTCAGTCAGCTCCCCCAACAAAGGCTTTAATGATCTTTAACCAGGCATAATAAACACTACACATTCAAGCAGAGAATGCCCGAGCCCGGGGAGCCCCCGCCCTTCACAACCTCCGTTTGGAGGCTCAAAGGGGACAAAGGAGAGACACTGTTGGCCCCCTTGAGCCACCGTCCTCTCTCTCTGCAGGATGGGCTATGGAAGACAGTCCCCAAGGAAGACAGGCTGGCTGGGTGGAGGGTGAGCGACAGGCCCTCGGCCCCCCTGCACGAGTTGCGGAAGCCGGGTCTCCTCCGCAGGATCCCAGAGGCTGCGGATCTGGACAGACTCCCTGGATGCTGATTGTTCCGGGCAGCCCTGCTTCTGCAACTCTGCCTCTTACTCCTTTATCTTGAGCATCTCCTCTGTGCTTCTGACAGCTCCTTTTTCTCTAGAGGGAAAGTGGATCTGAATGGAGGATCCTAGCAGCCAGGGGAAGAAGCAGGGGTGCCCGGGTTTAGCTTCTGTGCTTGTCCCTCTTGGCACCCCAAACCAGCACGCCAGGAGCTTGCACCCTCTCTCTGCTCCCCCTCCGCCCCCGTCCTTAGACACTCCATGCCAGATAAGGGCCCCAGAGAGGGGTAGATCTGGGATCAAACAGAGTGGCAGGCAGTGGTGGGGATGGGCAGACAGGTGGTGGTAGGGCCCAAGCTTGGGACCCTGGAGTGAGGAAATACACGGGAGGATGACTTCCACCTCCAAATCCATCTCTGCATCTTCCCTACACTGGCTTTGGGAAGGCTCCCAGGGCTTCTGTCGCACACATGAACCTATTTAGGAGGCCACTGTACAAGCTGTCTGGTCTGAACCTCCCAGCAGACTTCCTGGGTGACAGCAAGCTCAGAGCCTTGAGTTTGGCCTCTGACTTCAGAAAACAACCCAAACCAGCCTGAGTTTTTTTTTTTTTTTTAGACGAAGTCTCACACTGTCACCCAGGCTGGAGTGCAATGGCGCCATCTCGGCTCACTGCAACCTCCACCTCCCAGGTTCAAGCAATTCTCCTGCCTCAG
Source organism: Homo sapiens (assembly GCF_000001405.40). Lineage (NCBI taxonomy): Eukaryota > Metazoa > Chordata > Mammalia > Primates > Hominidae > Homo > Homo sapiens. Next base: position 116,208,705 of record NC_000011.10, read on the forward strand.
CCTCCCGAGTAGCTGGGATTACAGGCAACTGCCACCGTTCCTGGCTAATTTTTTGTATTTTTAGTAGAGACGGGGTTTCACCATGTTGGCCAGGATAGTCTCTACCTCTTGACCTCATGATCCGCCCACCTCAGCCTCCCAAAGTGCTGGAATTACAGGCATGAGCCGCCGTGCCCAGCCCAGCCTGAGATATTTAATGCGGCACACTCGCTGCTCTGGCCCACAGAAGGGCAGAGAGGCCTCCCTGGTAGGGTCCAGCTTTTCCTGCACCCCTGAGGGCCCCAGAGGGCTGCAAAATGCCTGGAGAAGACAGAAGTGATTTCACTCTTTCAATAAAACTTAATTTTTTTCACATTACAAATGAACATATTTTGCTTACGAACATGGACAAAAATACAAAAATTAGCCTGACGTCATGGCTCATGCCTTTAGTCCCAGCCTCTTGGGGAGCTGAAGCGGAGGATCGCTTCAGTCTGGGAAGTCGAGGCTGCAAGTGAGCCAAGATCGTGTCACTGCACTCATGACAGCCTGGGTGACAGAGTGAGACCCAGTCTCAAAAAAAAAAAAAGACAATGTAAAAAGTAGAAGGGGAGGTCATAACCTACATCAACCACTGTTAATATCAACCACTGTTAATATTTGAATGCATCTCTTTCCAGTTTTTTTTTCTTAAAAGGCTTGACTCAGGACTTTGCCTTTGGACTTGTACCAGAGAACTTCCTCCTTCCCCTATGAAGGGGATCTCTTGCAAAAGACCATGTACAGGTCTCTGGTACAAGTCCAAAGGCAAAGTCCTGATTCAAGCCTTCCTTAACTCCTGTGCCTTCTTTTTCTCAACTACAAGAAGGAGATAATAACAGTATTGATCTTATAAGGTGATCATAAGAATTAAATGGGTTTCCTATACAAAAAGTACTTAGAACAGTGCCCCACATATAGTATACGTGAAATAAATGTGGTGGTGCTATTACTGATAATATGATTACAATTATTGGTACTATCTTCCCCATGAGGAATGGGGGTAGGGACCATTCACCCTCCCTGTAGCAGCTGTGGCTTCCCGGGTGGTAGCCCAAGCACCTAGCTGTGTAACAAGCAGGCAGGACAGTGCTCAAGAGAGGATGTTACTCTGGGAGGACTGAAGGCTACACAACACCAATCCAGGACTCTGACTTTGCTGGGGTGAAAAGAGAAGAGGCAGGACTACCCACCCCCAGGAAAGCTCTTATGCCCATCTAGCTCTGTGCCGGTGCCTCTGTGACAAGCAGCTGCTCCTCTGTCTACCTTGTCCCTGTACAGATTGGGAATCCAACACCTCCCTCTTTTCCCCTGTAGCCAGCCCAGGCTGCAGATTGCCTCTATCGCTGTGGTCCAGTGGGTTCCTCCAATAGCCAGGGCTGGCCTATGAAGGACACCTACTTGCCATTTAAACTTTCTGACTTCAGGCGTCAGATGATCAGAACATCCCTGGAAGGAGCCTCGGAGAGCCTCGGGATCTAATGATAATCACAGCTCATACTGAATCAGCACTTACTATGTGTCAAGCCCTTTGCTAACTTCTTTCCATATATTATCTCATTTAATCCTCACAACAAGACTATGAAGTGAGGAACTGTCATGATCTCCACTTCACAGATGAAACCATGGCTCAGAGTGATTGAGTCATCTGCCCAGGATTGATGCCCTGCTGCATCTGTTATGGAGGCGACTTGAATTTCACTATGGAGAGGTTGTCCTTTGTTCTGGAAAACATTGCTGAGGACCTTTTAGTTTTCCACCGCTATTCGTCTAGGGGAATGATGCCATTGTTAACCTGAATGCTGAAAAACGAAGTGTTTATTTTGATCATGTTAGCTGGGTATATCTTTTATCCGAAACATAAGAAAAGACAAATGAGAAGGAGAAGAAACGGAAACGCAGAGAGGGCAAGTCACTTTCCCTGGCCACACAGAGCTAGAAACAGAACCCAAGTCTCCCCAATCTTATGCTCTTTCTAGGACTTCCTGCTCCTCCTCTGTCCTCTTCCAGAGGGCAGAAGCCAGAGACCATGTCGCACACTTCTCTGGTATTTGCCACGCAGTATTCAGACCAGCCTGGGGCTCACAGTAGGTGCACACTCAGTCCCGGATAGCAAATTGAGGTTAACCCTCTGCAGGAGAGCTAGAAGCACACATTGAGTTGTAGATCCAAGCTGCCACCTGTCATGGGTGGAACCAAGCTCGTTGCCAGCCTGAGCCCAGCCTAACGCCATAATTCTGGAAAGCCGAGTCTCCATTCCATGGCCCCTGTTCTCTCTCCACCTTCACCAAGTCCACCTGCTCTTTCTTCTCCTTTTCTCCTTCCCTTTCCTCCCCTGAAAAACACTGCACATTCCCAACCCAAGAAGGTGTCCCCTGAGAGGCTAATATAGTACAAAAAAAAAATCCCAGAGAGGGAGAGCTGATTGGATTTTTGGTGATGCCGGTGCCTGATTTCCTCTGGGCCTTGCCTAATTTCTGCCATTCAGAGGCTGGGGACTTATTTCCCACTGCCTAACAGTGACTGCCTCAGCCTGAGCTGTCCCTGGGACCTCAGACTAGAGGCAGGCGGCTCGGACAGGCTTCCTCTAGCAGTGGTATATCTGGATGGTGGTAACTCTGCATTTTTATTGAGGAAGCGAGTTAATGGGCATGTAAAACATACACAACTTGTCAGCCCGTTAGCTGCTGCCATTGCCACTCCTGCCTCAGGCTCAACTAAATTGCTCATTCACTTGCTCTCTTCCTCCCTCTCCTCGCCTTGTGTTTTTTTTCTCTCTCTCATTTTGCTTAGGGTCTCTTTCTCTCCTCCCAACATGCACCTCCCTCCCTGAACAGCTGAAGAGTTCCTGGGAACATTTTTATTTATTTATTTTTAAAGATTTTCCTGGGCATCTAGTTCCAGAGATGTCTCAGCCTTGGAAGCTCTGCCGATTCTGCTAAGTTAATGCTTTGTCTTCTGACCCTGACCAGGAGGCCAACGGCCAAGGACAGCAGCAGTGCAGAATGAGCTTCAGCCCAACAAAAGAGGGACACATAGCTTGGGAGCATTTTCCAGATGCTGATACCACTGTCTACATGGACACACCTTTGTTTGAACACCATCCTCAACTGTCCACATTGGCAGGCACACTGGTAGTGTGCACCCACCCTCGACAATCACAATCCTACACATATGCTCACGACTGTCCATTTCCACATGCATACTCTCCACCACTTACATACCCCAATAACCAAAGCCTCCTTGCACACTTCCAGTGCACATGCACCCTCACAGGCCACGCACACCTCCCGGATACACTCAGCCTCAACAAGCCATGTCTGCAATGCACACTCTGGCATACACATCCACCGTAGGCAGCCTATGTCTGCATGCATACTCCCAACATACATATTCCCTATGTATATTCTCCCCAAATCCCTATATCTGTTGAATATTTACAGAAACCATCACTCCCACCAGCCCATCTGCAATTAGGTCTTTCCTGTATACTTCGCGTATATTTGTATACACCTCATGTACACATGCATGCTATATCCCATTCTGCATATTTATATCCCATAAACATAAACCCTCAACCCGCATTTGTATGTCTCATGTAAACATCCCACAATATTTTATTATCTGCATGTTAACATCATATGTATCTACATAAGACCCCATTTCTGGGCCCATGATCATATTTTAACATCTTCTTATCTGCATGCACATTTCAAATGGACACCCCCAAATACCATACCTACATGTGCATGCATATATGCCCTGCACTAACACCATGTCTGCTTACATACACCCTAACTCAGGGACTTGCACCTAAACTTGCTGTTTCCACATGCAAATGTAGCCATGTATTAATATGATTCCCTCTACTAGACCATGGCTCTATTGAATACCCACTCTCGATTCAATTTAATGAAACTAAATACTTTAATTAAATCTAAAGTAGACTATGAACCCTTACTAAGGATCAGACCTTGTGATAAGTGCTGGAAAGTTGCAAATGAAGAAGAGCAGCTCTTACCCTCAAAGAGCTCCCCAGTCAGGAAGAGAAATTCAGACAATTACATCAGAGTGTGATGCGCTCAGTGATGGAAGTATGTACACATCCAAGCACACACCTTCCATAGCTCCAAATTTACAGGAACATTCTACATGCACATCTTAGACATGCAAATGGGCACAGCCGAATTCACAGGCACACACATCCCCACTCTGTGCCCACATCCCACAGTTTTAACCATGATCAGTTGCTTTAGTTAAGGCACGGTGGCTTACAGTGTCCCCTGTCAGGATCTTCCCCAGGTAATGCTAGAGCTGCCACTAGGGCCAGGATGTTCACCTCCAGCCATGGTTGCTGCTTGGATGGAATTTCCACTCTTGGGCTGCACACTGAGTACCTAGTCCAGCAGTGACAGGCCCTCAGGTACAGGGAGTGATCTCCCCAGTAGTCACCCAGCTTCATTATCAGCCTGACCTCGTACAAGTCCACAGGCCTTGCAGTTAACCTTTTTGCTTGCTACGGAGGTTGCTGTTGCCACAAAGAGGCCAAGGGTTCTCTCCTGCTCACTCTTCCTTGGTTGGGTGGTTGGCACTAAGAGCTCTCTGATATGGTTATTTTCAAAAGCAAATCCAATTCTAGTCTAGATTCCTAGAACTTCGGCCGGGTGTGGTGGCTCACACCTGTAATCTCAGCACTTTGGGAGGCCGAAGCGGGCAGATCATGAGGTCAGGAGATCGAGACCATCCTGGCTAACACGGTAAAACCCGGTCTCTACCAAAAATACAAAAAATTACCCAGGCATGATGGCATGTGCCTGTAGTCCCAGCTACTTGGCAGGAGAATCGTTTGAACCCGGGAGGTGGAGGTTGCAGTGAGCCGAAATCGTGCCACTGCACTCCAGCCTGGGCAACAGAGTGAGACTTTGTCTCAAAAAAAAAAAAAAAAAAAAATTCCTAGAACTAAGGAAGGGTCAAAAAAAACTATGGCCTACAGGACAAATCTGGCCCATCATTGTAAATAAAGTTTTATTGGGCATTCATGCCTATTTATTGACATATTGTCTGTGGCTGCTTTAGCACTGTGATGACAGAGCTCAGTGGTTAGAAGTAAGACTGTAAAACTTCATTAGCTGGTCCTTTACAGAAAAAGTTTGCCAACCCAGTGTAAAGTGGGAGGCAATAGCCCCATTCTGGTCTTCTCTGATCATACACCTTAAGAGGAAAACAGAAAGTGTAGGCAGAAGGCAAGGAAAGTAAAGGAATTCAAATACTGTATTTAACTCATCCAACGAATATCTATTGAGTGCCTCCAATATGCCAGACACTTGGCTGGGCACAGGGTTATAGCAGTTAATAAAACAGAGCTCCTGCTCTCCTGAAGTCCTCAGTCTATTGGGAAACACTGAATTACATCTTACACAAGTGACTGACAATATAGTGAGAATTATTATAAATATCAAGAAGGGGAAAAGTGGGGTTTGTTGAGGCCAGGAAAAAAAACTTAGAAGTCCTTTGATGATTGAGCTCAAATGTGTGAGAAATCACAGGTGGAGGGATTGGACAAACTCTCTGGATACTCCAAGGTGAGACCTGGGGCCCGTAGAGCACAGGAGTTTCAGGCAGATGCTGTCTCCGTGTGAAGAAGAGCTTTCTAACCTTCCGCACTGCCCTACAATGGATTCTAAACCATGGGGTTGTATGCCCCATATTATTAGGGAAGAAACATCATTATTATGGATAGAGAGGACTGATGCTCAAGATTGGCCAACATGACCTCTGAGGTCATTCTGCTTTTGAGAGGCTCAGAGACCAAGTGTGAGCGTCACCACTGCCTCCCAAGATGGTGCCAGGTTAAGCTCTGCCATATTCTCTCCCTCCTTCTCAGGATTCCTTGCCATGCTGTGGCAGATATAAGAGCAACCTCTCTTTTGGTTTTTTTCCTTATATTTTCTTTTCTAATTCTGGTGCGGGTGTGCAGGGCAAGCTCTCTTGTTCTGACTCTTGGGCAGCCATGAATAGCACCTTTCACAGGGTGCTATAAGGGTGTCCACCACTCCTCTGGTCATTATGCATTAAACCTTACTGTCCCTGAAAGTGAGTTTCCATACCAGCTGGCTTCTAGAAAGACCCTCAGAAACTTCTCTTGCCCTTTCCCATTGGACCCCAACTTTCTTCTACTCGCTCTTTCCTCTTTAGTTCCAAACTCTTCCAGCCCTGTGTTGAGCCTTCCAGACCCTCTCCTCTCTGGGACCTCAGCCACAGCACCATGCCTGATCCCACCTTGCAAAGAATTCAGAGGAAGACATCAAAGCTCTGGCCCTTCCTTAATGCAGGATTGTGAGTGCCCTTTCCTTGCTCATTCCATGCCACCAGAGAGAGGCTGAGCTCCCAGCTCTGGACACTGAGGATATGGAAGAGGGCAAGAGAAAGGAGAAGCTGGCAGAAAGAATAAGGCAAGATCCAGAGGAAAAAAAAAGAAGGAAACAAAATGCAAGGCAGACACAGGGGCAAATGGGGAGAGCCTTAGGAACTCTATGTTTAAGTGGTCTGATAATTAAATGAATAGTGTTTGGTGGGGGAGCCCACCTTTCAAAATCCCCACTGGTGGTAAAGCATATAAAAACCTGAATAGCAAATATTTACTCGGAATTAACACAGAGCAGATTCCATCAGGCAACCTTAGGGCTGTTTCTGGAGTCTTACCTTAATGTCTTGTGTGGCATGGGAGCCCAGGCGGGCACTAGACCTGGCGTAATATGCTAAACAAATCTAATGGTGTGCTTTATTTCCCCCCTCAGCAGAACTCTTAATTATGTATCTTGCAAGTGCACAGAGCAAATGGATTAGCCACGGCAGCTCTTTGCTGCTAGAGCAGCACCCTCCCCAGAAATCTTTGCAAGGAGACCATGAGCCAGCCCCACAGTCTGGGCCAGGGAGCTGGCAGGAGTCTGGAAAGAGCAAAGGTAGAGGCTGTTACAGAATAGGAGTCCTCAGCCAGGAGATGTCTGTTTTCTGGCACCCCAGAAGGAGAGGTAGGATGTGATTAACGGGTGTGTGGTAGTGGAGGCCAGGCCAGTCTTGCAGCTGCATGGGCTGAGGCAAGCTCTTTGAAAGGTTTCTCTGCTAAGGCCCATCTCTCCTAGTTTCCCTCCCAGAGCCATGCCTGAAAGACTCACCTGGCCTACCAGCCAGGATGTTGTCTAGTAGGATGACTCCCTACTGCCCCCTTAGCACCTCCTAGCAAATTGCAGGAACCCATGTGTCAGCGTAGCTAACTGTGACTTAGTGGAGTAGATGAGAGGGACTGGGACCCATGGGGGAAGAACAGTCAGGAAAATTCACAACTTGGGCTACAACTGGGGAAGGCAGGCCAATGAAAAATCAATAGAAGGTGCTCTAAGGATGTGGGTATAAGGGCAGAAACCCATTTTGAAGTAACAATATGGGGACTATGCTGAAGACCTGCAGGTGGGCAGAGCAATGACACAAAGCTGGACACTGGCCAGGGACAGAAATATCACTGAGACTACCTGTCCACCAAACTCAGAGAGGTCAGAGGTGCCGAAGTGCGTGTGTAAGTGTGATTGTGTGTGTGTGTGTGTGTGTGTGGCATGCACACATGCATTGAGCAGTCTCTGCCTAGGGCCTAAAGATCCTTCTCCACAATGCCTTTGGCACTGACATCTTGAGCAGGAGAATTCCAAGCAGGCATGGAAGTTACCCTACTCTAACAAGTCCCTGGGATTTCGTACCCAGGACCTGGGTTTGCGTCCCACTCGACCACTCACTAGCAGCTCTCATAACCTCTCTGGGCCTCAGTTTCTCCTCCTGTTTTAGCATGTGAAAGATTAGCATGATGCCTCAAACTTATCAATAACAATATTTGCATCTGAGCGTTGAATGGTCATTTTACTTATAATGTATTTCTCCAAGGGTCATAGGAGGGCTATTCATTGAAATTCATGAAACTGCTTTATAAACTGAAAAATGCAAGAATAATCCTAACAATAACAGCACTTATTGAGCACTTGCTATATGCCAAGCAACATGCGAGGTGTTTTACATGTATTACCTCATTCTGTCCTCACAATAATCCTATGATATAGATACTATTAGTATCCCGATTATTCAAATGAGGAAACTGAGGCACAAGAGAGGTTACCTAAATTCCTGAGGGTTGCATGACTAATACGTGGTGAAGCCAGGGTTCAAACGCCAGCATCTCACAGTGTTACTGTTATAAGACAGTTGCCTGGAACCGGGGAGCTCAGGAAAGAACAGGAGGCAGCAAGCTCATGCACTGCCCAACATCATAGGAAATCAGTGGCCAAGGCAAAGCTTTAGGCTCCAGGCATGTAAGCAGCCTGGACTAAGGGCATATGTTACATTCAGAAGTCAGAATCAGGCAAGTTTAGAACAGAAGCACTCTGCAAAGAACAACAAAGCTTTGAAACAAGGCAACACTGCTCTCCACGCTCACCAGACGGCGCTGTGCAGTGTTCCCAGAAGCGTCTATTCGGTTTCATTCAACCAGAGAAATCATGGAGCACTTAACAGTGCACCAGGCTTGGGAGATGGACGACAGAAAGCCATGATCCCTGCCCTTGTGTAGCTTACAGCCTACCAAGAAAGGTTGATACTACACAAGGAATTGCAAGAGTGATGAGTTTAAAGGAGAAAAAGGTTTGGATGTATATGTTAGGGTAATGCTAACTGCAAAAACAAAAAGACCCCAAAATGTATTATGGCTCAAATTTAAGAACTTTATCCCTCACTCATGGAACAGAACACAATGAATGCTCCTGATTGATAAGAGCAGCTGTCCTCTTCATTTCTTCCAGAGTTAGGCTAACAACAGCTCTGCTGTCTCCAGCATACATCCCACAAGGGCTCCCTGGGGACCACCATCCTAGTCAGCCAAAGGTCACCATCCCAGTCTTAATCTTTTGCAAGAAAGAGTGTGCCCAAAGGTTTTCATGGGCCAGGCCTAGGAGGGGCACACATCCCTTCCACTCACATGCAAATGACTAGACCTCAGCCAGTTGCCACAGCTAACTCCATAGGGACAGCTGAGAACCCGGGAGGAAGAGGAGGCCATGGATTTGATGAACTGTTAGCCAGCTGTCCCTGTGGGCTACAGAGGATCCTTGCACAACACATTCCCTCTGCTTGGAATTCCTCACCTTGCCCAAATTCCCTTCTTTTTACCCAGCAAACTCCATGCCTTTATAAACAATGGTATATAATACTGTATTAGTCTCTTCTCATGGGCTGATAAAGACATATTCAAGACTGGGCGATTTACAAAAGAAAGAGGTTTAATGGACTTACAGTTCCACATGGCTGGGGAAGCCTCACAATCATGGCAGAAGGCAAGGAGGAGCAAGTCACATCTTACATGGATGGCAGCAGGCAAAGAGAGAAAGCTTGTGCAGGGGCACTCCTCTTTATAAAACCATCAGATCTCATGAGACTTACTCACTATCAGGAGAACAGCACGGGAAAGACCTGCCCCAATGATTCAATTATGTCCCACCAAGTCCCTCCCACAACACATGGGAATTCAATATGAGTTTGGGTGGGGACACAGCCAAACCATTTCAAATACTCAATTTTAATTTCTTTCTCTTCTCAGACATTTAATACCCTTCTGTTCTCAAAAGCCCTATAAAAATTGTCACTCATACACAACTTACACTAATGGTGCCTTGGGAAGTCAGAAGGTTTTTGATCACATACTGGGCAAATCTGGGCAGGCAGCAAATCAAGCAGAAAACAAGACCTGAGGAGAGGGCTCCAGAACTGAGGCAGGGGCAGGAATTCAGAACCACAAGGCATCAGCAGAACACAAGGCCACCCAGAGAACCCTCAAAACTATGGGGGAGAGGGACTCCCCAGAGGTGTGTGGGATGGAAGCTCAGATTATTTTATTTAGGTATTAAGAAGAAAGTGAAGGGCTATTAATAAAATCTGGAGGAAACCTAGGGACGTTAATGAAGACTCTAACACAATATGTTTCACAAATGTTCATTAGATCAAAGACTAAGACACATTATTTATTATTGTGTACCAAGTACTGTACTTCAAAAAAAAAAAACCTCAACAGATGGGGTCTTGCTATGCTGCCCAGGCTGACCTAGGACTCCTGGCCTCAAGTGATCCTCCCACCTCGGCCTCCCAAAGTGCTGGGATTACAGGCATGAGCCACCGTGACTGGCCCTTCCAAGGACTGTACTTCACAACAGCCCCTTAGGTAAGAATTATTATGCCCAATTGACAGATAGGAAAATCACCCCAGAGACAACTGCACAGACCATAAACAGGAGAGCTGAATTCAAGTTCAGGTTCTTAATCACTATACTGCCTCCTGCCTAAATGAGAGAATGAGTAGAGAAGGGTAAGAGGACAGTATTGGGTAAGAGCTTGGGACAAGGGTGGGCATACTGGAGATGCAACTGTAACAAGGGATCAAAGTTTTGAAAAGCTGGACTTCCTGGAGAGAGGGCAGCCTGCCAAGAAGGGCACAGACAGCCTCCAGGTGCCTGTGGGAGGTAAGCTGGTGATTCCAGCTTGCCAGCCGCCCCCAGGGAAGAAGGCAAAAGCCTGCTCACCCAGACGGTGGTTGCTCCTCTCTGCTGGGGCAGAAGGAAGGGAGCTCTTGGCAATGCTTGACTTGCTAAGCCTCAGGGGAGAAAAACCAGGGAGTTTGTGAGAGCAGCTCCCTAAGGTGCCTCAGGCAGGATGCAGCACTTTCCAGCAGAGAGTGAAATCAGGAAGAAGCGAATCAAGACCAGATGGAGTTAGTGTTCCAGCAAGTGCGTGTGGTTTTAGAAATGAAGGAGAAACATGGATTGAGGCCAAATTCAGTCCTCAGAGTTCCACAAACCTGCAGCCTCTGGGGAATTACGCAGACATAGGACGTGGAAGCTAAGAGGCATCTTGGAGATCATCCTGTCCTTGCTGCTCATTCCACAATGGGGAAAACCGAGGCTTAGAGAGAGTAAGGTAGTGAAAGGGCTGGGAACATCTCCCAGATCACACAAAGGTAGTGGGCACACAAAGGGCCCGCATGGTACTCTTCTCCTGCATCGGCACTGCTGAGCTCTGCTAACTGAAGCATTTCAGAGCTGCTGAGGTGCAGGTGCCTCTATGCCAGCTCCTCTCCATTTTCCCCCTTTCCCACTACCTCAGTCCCTACTCCAGCCCTATTCCAGAGCCTCTGAGTGCTTTGGTAGCTGGGTGACCCTGGCAAGACACTTAGCCTCTCTGTTAACCCAATTCCTTCACCTATAAAATGAGGAAGAAGAACAAGAAAATCTCTAAGTCCCAATGCTTGACCTATTGAGGAGTTAGACCTTTGCCAAACCCCTTCCTGTGCCTTCAAGGGCCACAATATAAGTTCAAAGGCTGAAACTGGGAGAAGTCAACCAAGATTGTCCCAGAGGATGCACAGGTCTTTTCCTAGCATCGGTGGGGCCCAGGACAAGGATGCAAACAGAGGCCCACAAACCATAGGTCTAAATATTTAAAAGGTATGAATCAAGATAATAAACTTTGATAAATATGTTTACCTTCTGCTATAAATTGAGTGCTTGTGTTCCCCTAAAATTCATATGTTGAAATCCCAGCCCCTAAGGTGATGGTGTTAGGAGGCGGGACCTTTTGGGAAATGTTTAGGTCCTAAGAGTGGAGCCATTATAAATGAGATGAGTGCCCTTATAAATGTGGCCCAAGAAATCTCTTTCCCCTTCCACCATGTAAGGACACAATGAGAAGCCACCATTTGGGAGCCAGAAAGCAGACCCTCCCCAGACACTGAATTTGCCAGCACCTTGATCTTGGAGTTCCCAGCCTCCAGAACCATAAGAAATAAACTTCTGTTGTTCATAGGTTACCTAGTTTATGATATTTTGTTATCACAGCCAGGACATACTAAGACATCCCCCTACCTTGACAAATACACTTTCATGCATTTGTCAAAACATAAGTATAAAGTCATGGATTTCTTTTATTATGACTGAAAGTTGGCAAATATCAAAGATAGATGAATTTAATTATTGCACATGTTTGGGTGCTGACAATGTTTGGATGAGTAATAAAACAAAGATAAAATAATTCAGAAACCATTATATATTTACTCTGAAATTATTTTTCTTGCCTTTATTTAAACAGAATCCCTAATTATGTTGTTATAATTAAGATGTTTACATAATTTGTATTCTATTGAGATCAACGCCAACTTAGACAACATTTCTTGAATTGTTGTAGTTCTTAAATCGTTTTTTCATTAACTTCAATTGGGAAAAACTTCTCTGCTGAGGCAGTAGAAATTTGAAAAGACAATTTAAAGCCACACTTCTATATATTCAGAAATGACCATTGAATTTTACTTGTTTCCAAACAGTATACTGTGGTCACATACGATAAATTATCATTTCAGAAAATACTATAAAATAGTTTATTTTCATCACTGTTTCTTATAGCAATATCTAAATTCATAATGTAGAGAATCTGTGTCAGTCTGTTTCACACTTTATACATGTTATATCTAGACATTTAAGAAAAATATAAGTTGTTTAATGTTGCAAAATGATTCTCAGTTTTTACAAGCAACTATTGCAAATACCATGCTAATTAGTGAATACCTCCAGAACCACGAATTTAAACACAAAGAAAACAAGAAAATAGATGCTCAGCACTGTGGATACTTCATTATGAAAGACTCTATTGCACCCATGCTATCTGAGAGGAAGGATTTGACAGGTAATTAATTGGTCTTATATCTAAGCATTCCCACTGCTTCAATCCCTGGTTCCCCCCCCACCCACTCCAAAGCATTGTCTCTCCTTTGTGGGCAACAGCACAATCCACAAACTTTCATGGCATTCTGACTCAGCTGCCTTTTGTTTCAAGGACATAGGGCAAAAGACATGTAGAAGCACTTCTCTGGGGCCTAAGCAGGGTTAGTCTTGGGTGTGGATGTTTAGGGTTAGGGATCATTCCAAGCCAGGGGTGAACACGGGAATCCAATAACAGAGGAACCCATGTGTTCTTTAATAAACCTGTTAGGGGAGAGGGTCTAAATGGGCCTTTCAAAGTGCAGAGGCCAGGTGAAGTTCTCCGTTTGCTCAGATAAGGATGTTATATTAGAAGTCATTTCCAAGTTCTTTTGGGGAGCATGTGACAGCAACCATTTCATCCTCTCCTGCCCCATGCACTTGCCCACCAAGTCTCACCAGACTACTCAGACTTCTCTGTGATGCACTGTTGCCCCTCTGTCATTCTGTTCATGTGCTCACCTCTGCCTGAAATGTGTTTCCCCTTTTTCTTTGTCTATTCAGGTCTTATACAGTTTGTACTCAGTAGGGCATAAATCTGATTGTTCTCACACTGCTCATAAAGACATAGCTGAGACTGAGTAATTTACAAAGGAAAGAGGTTTAATTGACTCACAGTTCAGCATGGCTGGGGAGGCCTCAGCAAACTTACAAGCATGGCAGAAGGGGAAGCAAACATGTCCTTTTTCACATGGCAGAAGCAAGGAGAAGTGCCGAGCTAAAGGGTGAAATGCCCCTTATAAAGCCATCAGATCTTGTGAGAATTCACTCACTATCACGTGAACGGCATGAAGGTAACCAACCCCATGATTCAATTACCTCCCACTGGGTCCCTCTCACAATACGTGGGGATTATGGGACCTGCAATTCAAGATGGGATTTGGGTGGGGACACAGCCAAACCATATCACCGACATTTGTTTTTCTAGCTACACCTTCCATCGTGCTCTTTGGAATCTCTCATTAACAAACTCATAGACAGACACCTTATACTCCTAGTCACTTTCCTGGGTCTGGAGCCATTAGTGCTGAGAACAGGAAGGGAAATCAGGAGAAATAGCTGGAATGATTGTAATAACTGGTGGCCTGATCCCACAGGGAAATCTCTAATTGGCTCAGCCTGCTTTCATCTCCTGCTGGTGGCTCTGCCCATGTGATGATTTCTGTGCACAAGATACACATTTTCTTACATAGGTGTTCTATGTCACCTGCCCCTCTTGGCACTGATGTCGGGAAGCGACAGCATGGCTACCTTGGCCCCCTGCCTAAGTCTATCCCCCAACCCCTAAATGAAGGCTCTCCCTTCGTTTAATGGCCACCTAGACAGCCCCACAGAAACTCCTCCTCCTCTGTTCCTTGCTCTTTCTGATCCATGACCTTCTGGGTCTTCTTTGGGGCCCTTTGAGAGCAGAGGAGGATTAAGATTCAAGGGAGACTGCCCTATCTTCTTCCCAGGCTCACTATTCTACAGTTCTTTGTGGCCTTGGTCCAAGCTGTTTCAACAAGCCACTCTGCTTCTTACTTCCTATCACCCCTACTCCCACTTCAGAAATCTCCAGGAAAAAAGCAAGCAGAAGACACAGAGCAAGCGTTCCCAAGAGCCTGCTCGCCATCCTCAAATCCAGTCAAAGCACTGCAATGTCTCATTTTCCGGGGAGTGAGATGTAAATCTCTCTTCTTATAGGTACCCCCAATCTCCATCAATAATTCCTGTAGAGCCCCCTCCCCCTCACCTGGCTCTGGGAGGGAGTGAGAATGTCTCAACAGTCTCTAAAAGACCATTCTAAAAGAATGGTTTGCTCCTCTCTCTTCTTCCATAGCCTGGGATGTTGGGTACTAGGAAGTGGTGAGGAGGTGGTGACACAACCAGATCTGCCTCTTAATAACCCCTGAAGAAGTCCATATGGTTGATGTCCCTCTTTAGAATGTGGTTCTTACCACTTATTGTACCCAGCTTTCAATCCCATCGCCAAGTCAACATCCTAATACATTTGCCTAGTGTAGGTCCTTCAAGGGCAGTCAAGTTCCACCGCTCCAGAGTGTGCCATAGCCCCCCAAGCAGCCAGTCTTAATATCTGGCCTCCTTTGCTGTTTGCAACCTCTTTCTTTGGCATGTGAGTGCCTAAAGGGCAGGGACAGGGGCTGATGCATCTCTGTATTCCCAGGACCTTGCACCAGATCTGGCACCTCTCAAGCCCACAACAAAAATTTGTTGGATGAATAAATAAAATAAACAAACTTAATTAAGAAATACTGAATAAGTCAACTATTGAATAAAGAAGGAAATAAATAAATGAATGACTGAAGGAATGAATGAGCAAGCCCAGAATCTGACTGGGTCCCCCTCTTGTCTTCCAACCTCCCATGAAGCTCTCAGGAAGCCCATTTGCAGATGGCCCTCAGCTCCTTAGATTCCAGGAGAGCAGGCTGCCAAGCCCATGGATATGGAACTGTTAGCTCAGGAGGCAACAGCCTCACCGTGTAAAATCACAGTCTATTCTAGCCAAATTAACTAGGTAATACTCTGCATTGGTGTAAAATTCTCCATCAAACCATGAAGACTGGCGTTTAAAACATTTAAGACCCGAGAAGGGGAGGAGAGGGCAAGAGAGACCATTGCTTTTCCTGGCAAGTAATGGTGAAGGGTTTCCCAGCCTGGCTAAGCAGGGAGGAGCCCCACCTGGGATTCTCAAAGCCAGTGCCCGCTCCATGCCCCTGGCTGGGCCTCCTTGCCCAGAGCTCCTCACAAGGTCTTTCCATTCTTGGGGTCACTGACCCTACACTGGGCCCTCCTGTGGACATTTAGTTGGATGATGCTGAGGGCATCAGACAGAAGGAAGACTAAGCTGGAATCTCCCCAGGCAAACACACTATGGCATTTCCTGACACCCCACCCCCACCCCCAACCCTCCTTATGGGGAAGCCACCCCTGCACCGATTCCAGAGCACCCTTCATTTTTAGAACCCAGAAGATTCAGCACCTTACATTCCCAGTGGTCCCCGGGGCTCCCCCTAGTGGTCCCATAATTGAAGTGAACAGAGATTATCCCTGAGTCTTGGCTGGATGTTACAAAGAGCATCTTTTTCTGTCAATAACATTTATTGGGCACCTCCCACAGCCAGGTGCTAGGACTCTTGCGAGGGGTCACAGGCCTTGATTACAGGTAGCCTGTGAGCCTGCGGGGCAGTACCGTGTGTCTTTGCCTTTCTGGTGCCCACGATGGCATCGAGTCAGTGCTGGCAAACGCTGTAACAGATACTTGCATTCAGCAATGAAAAGTGAGTAACAGAAACAGTAATACAAGATACCTCCACGTACACCCATCAAACTAGCAACCACTCATCCCAACCCCTCGGGGTTTGGTTCTGGGGCCCCCCCGCAGGAGGGGGAGAAAAGGAGGCAGCCTCCCGGGGGATTATTCTGTGCTGAGGTAGCATACTGGCTGCTGTGCCCTGGGGAGCCAGCTCCCTGCATAAGTGCACAGATAGACAGATAGATCGTATTAAGCATACAACATTCAGGGGCTTCATTTGGAAAAGACACTGATTCTAAATGGCTGTTTGCCATTGACAAGGCACATCACCAAGGCTAACGCAGACAGCTCTGGGTTATCCAGCTTGTATTCCTGCCACCCCTCCATCCCCTGTGTGGGCACACACATGCACCCTAGGGCCCCACTTGCTCTAGCCTTGTGCCCAAGCTGATACTGCATTCCGGGCGGCAGACTGTCTTGGCAGAGACCAGATGCCAGCAGATCCCTCCCTGTCCCCTGGGGATCTCAGGCCCAGCTGTAGTAGCCAGGCAGCCTTGGGACCCTACAGTCTCCACCCATCCCCCACCCCCAGAGCTCATCAACACAACTCCCCATCTCCCTGTCCCCTCTCCCACCCCATCCTCCCTCTTTACTGCTTATGCCTGTGTAGGCAGGAGGCAAAGCGATGCGAATACATTAACATTTCCTTAATTCTATCTGTGCCTCCAAAACTCTGAGTCACAACTGGGTGGGTTTTCGTGCCTGGTGAACTGTCAGCCTCATTCAGAAATGCCATTTTCTACTTTGCTCCTGGATCAGCGAGAGGACAAGTGGCGGGTGGGGGGGCACGGGGATGGGAAGTGGCACACCCAACACTGACTGGCCCTTGACTGATGACAAGATTGAGGCCCCTGCGGTCCCTAGGAGAAGCTGTGTGAGTTTCTACTGAGAACCCTAGAACTTTGCCTTTGTATAGCAATGTTTACATTTTACAACATGCACTCACCTACCTTATTTTGTCATTTGTACATCCATTTCATATAAGTGAAAAGTGAAGTACAAAGATCTGAAATGCCTTGCCTGGATATGACACAGCTAATAATGACAGAGTCAAAGCTAATATTTTTATCTTCTGGGTCCAAGTTCATGCTACGCCTCCTGACCTCGCCGCTGCTGGAAAACTTCCAAAAATGTCACCTTTTCCCTGAAGTTTGAGAGTTCAAGTTTGACCTTGTCACAAGATTCATGCAAAGGAGACTTCAAACACAGATTTTTGGCCGGGAGTTGTTTTTCTTTTTTTCTCTTTTTCTTTTTTTTTTTCTTTTTTTTTTTTTCTGATGTGTTTCTGGATGTTTTAGGCAGAGCACAATTTCTCCAGCTGCTCACATGGTCCCCACCCCCTGCTGTGTTATAGGACCAGTTCCAGTTCACATGTGTCCATTTCCTGCCTGGATCTAGAATTTGAACTTCACACAAGGTTTCTGTCACCTAAGGCCAGTTCTCTATTCATACAAAGAAGGGGGGCACCAGTGGAGTGTGATCTCCATAATGCTGGCCAGCCCCCTTTGCTCAAAAATGACTCACTTTTAACACATATTAATCCTGTGTGCAAGGCAGTCAGTCTGTTCGGCACTGAGTAGATACAAAGACGAATAAGTGTGGCCTTTCCCTCCAGCAATGTAGTCGGACATGGAAAACACACACAATAATTATATCTAAGCCAATGGTGTGGCTACAAAAATGCCATAGAACCAGGACAGCCTAGGGTACTGGGGAAGAAAGGGGAACAGGATGAGACGGTGGGTGAATGATGCTGAAAGAAAAAGTGAGAGGATGCTAAAAAAAAATAAATAAATCAAGCTAACTTTATCTCCCGCTTGCCTCAAAGACCTGAGTGGCCAGGTATCCCTGCACTCAGCCATCCAGGACTCCTCCCTGGTCCAAGACCCTGCACACGTCTCTCCACACCTGCATATGCCCAGGGTTCTGATATCAAGATTTAGTGCCTCAGCCTTGCCAGCTCAAGGACTTGATCATGGTGGCTGAGTTCAGTTGAGGGTCTGCCCTCTCTGGCTTAGCATCAGGGAAACTGCAAGAAGCTGCCAGACTCCTGCCTGAACACAAGGAATGCTGGAACCTGAGCAGCCAGGGCCAGTGGGAAAGGAGGAGGGGCGGGAGTGGAGGTGCGGCCAGGATGAGGAAAACTCATGGGGTCAGTTGGCTTCTCAGAAACCCAAGAGCACAGGGAAAGTTCAGACCTGTCTAGAGCCTGCATGATATCCAGGGGTCCAATCCAGTAGGTGAGCCCCACAACAGGAATGTTATATAATAGGCATGTTTCCAGAACAGTATGTCTTAACCCACAGGTCTCTATGAACTGACAGGTATTTCAGAAGTAATGCATCCCAAATAATAAAAAATTAAAGTTTACAAATAACTTGTTTGATTAAATCAGCGTAAATTCAAATGTAACCATGGAAAAACATTTTTTCATTTATTCTTTGGCCGTTCGTTCATTTCACAAATACTAACCCCTGATTATGCAAGCTAAGCACTGTACCTCTCATTCTTAATCATTGTATTCCTAAGTGTACTCTTTTTTAACAGCTTTATTGAGATATAATTCAAATGCTACACAATTCACCCATTTAAGGCGTACGATTCAATGATTTTTTAATGTATTCCCAGAGTTATGCAACCATTACCACAGAAAATTTTAGAACATATTTATTCCAAAAAGCATCCCCACATCCTTTAGCTATCATCCCCTATCCTACCGCAGACCTAAGCAACAACTACTCCACTTCCTCTCTATATAGATTTCCCTGCTCTGGACTTTTCTATGAATGGAATCATATAGCATGTGGTCTTTTGTGACCTGGCTTCTTTCACTTAGCATGATGTTTTCAAGATTCTCCATGTTGTAGCATGTATCAGTACTTCATTCCTTTTTAAGACCAAATAATATCCCATTGTATGGATAGACTACATTTTGTTTACTTATTTTCCAGTTGATGGTCTAAATATATTCTTCAATGGTAAATAAAAGTGTTAAGAGACCGCTGCAGGGATCACTCATAACCCAGTCATGCCAGCAAAGTGTCCTGTATGTGCCTGGTATATCTATGTATGATGGTGAAACAAGTTGAGAAACCCCATTCCAAAGGCTGGCTGGGCACTTTCTGCACCAACCCACACCGTCGCGTGGCCATCGGCCTCTGGGGCCTATGGCTGGGCCTGCAGCCCGCAGGCTGTGTACCCTACCTTGATGTGTCAGGCTCAGAATCTGCTGCATAGACTCATGCAGTGTTATCGGACTCATGGTTATTCAAAGCACGCTCCTTCCACCGTCCTCTGGAGTTTCAGTAACTTCATCTTCAGATGTCTCATATGCACACACACTCACACTACCTCTTCACCCGATGACATTTCAAGGCCCCAACACTATCTCCTTTTCCTGTTCTTTGTCTCAAGACAGACAATGCTCTCTTTCCTCCTTGCATGTATTATACCCCTTTCTCATCTAGAGAGGAGCTGATAAACTCATTTCCCTTAGTGTGCTAGTGCCCAATAACAGCCTAGTGTGCCCCATCTGGAGTCCCTTCTGGTCAAATCTCAGGCTCTTTTAGCTATAGGAAGATGGTATTTGGGAGGAAACTTAGATTAGGATTCTCTACTCCCACTTGGTTTTAGAGATTAGAAGGCTGAAGCCCAAGGATGAAGAGAAATTTTCCCAAGGACTGATTAATGGTTGTATCAGTTAGCTATTGCTGCTTAACAAACCACCCTCAGAACTTAGTGCCATAAAGTAACAAACATTTACTTAGCTTGCAGTTTGTGGGTTCGAAATTTAAGCTGGGTTCAGCTGGGATCTATCATTTAATCTGTGGCTCCCTGAAGGTCAGCTAGGTGGCTCTGCTTCTGGGCATCGGCTAGCATCAACTGGGCAATGGGGGCAACTGGGCCACACGTCTGGCACCAACTCATCCAGCAGGCTGGTCTGGGTAGTAGCAGGGTTCTCAGAGAGTGAACTCGGAAAGTCTCAAGCAAGACTTTCCAGGCTTGGAGCTGGCATATCGTCACTTCTTATGCATGCTATTGGCCAAAGCAAGTCACAGGACAGCCCAGATTCAGAGGCTGGAAATAGACTTTACCTGTTGATGAAAAGAGCTGTAAACTCACATTGTAAAGAGTAGGGACATGAAGAGAAGTGATATTGTGGCCGCTTTTTGCTATCTTGAGCTAGGACTGGAGCCCAAGTCTCCTGACTCTATTCTGAGGGTGCAGCACCCACTTCTGATTCTATCTGCCCAACCTTACCTGTTGCCCGTTCCAGGCCCCTCCCCTACAACTCAGCAAAATTATGTTTGCCAGAAGAGAAAAAAACAAATCCAGCATAGGCAGTGGGTCAAGCTCTTGTGTGTCTTTTATGTAATCCAGAGAAACAGGAGGAGCACAACTTCCATGCAGCTATACCAACATCCCTCCCTGCGGCTCCCCTCACCCACAATTCCCACTTCCTGTAGGACAGAGGCCAAGAGAAGTTCCCCTCCGCCTCCCCTCCGCAAAGGCTCAGATCCCAGATCCCCTTTTTTTTTTTTTCATCTATCCCACATTACTACAAGCTTTCCACTGCTCCACAGTCCTGGAAGAGGAGACAACAGCCAATTTTCCAGCACTGAATAAGATAGCCCCTGGAGTCACTTTTGAAACACCACCAATGTGTTATGCCAACTTCTTTTCTGGGGGAGAACAAAAGCTATTTTTCTCTCTTTTCTTCCCCTGATGGAGAGAAGCAAGACCCCCTTTTGAATTCAACTTTCTCTTCTCTGGCATAAAAAAAAAATTTAAAAACAAATCTGTCAAAATTCCCACCCTGCCTTCCTAGTTACATTTTTTAATTCAGTTGGCTCCATGTGGGGGAGTCTTCTATTAATAGGTATACCAGGAGGCTTAGCAACTCAGGCAGAAGAGTACCTAGGAGAAAGCTGGAGAGGGCTGACACCGGAACAGTGAGCAGGAATCAAACCGGGCTTAATTAGGAAAACATGCCTTCCCTATTAACGTCCCTGTCCGTGTGATGCTGCCGCTAGAAAAAAAAAATGCCAAGAAGCTTATTTGTTTTGCAATTACGGATGAAATAAAAAATTACTTGGTCTAATTAGACCTCTTTTACTAAAAGAAGCGTGTAAAATAACCTCAGTTTCATTAGCAACTCAAAATATACTACTCGGTGTGCTACATATGTTTAAGTGAAATGTGGAGGGTCAATTTGCTATGTAAATTTCCACAAATTTGGCTAAACTAAAACGATTAACCTAATGTGTATGCAAATTAACTTAATTGATAACGACTTTTCTCCAGGAGCTTTAAAAGAGGGGGAAATATATTCCAATTCTAACAATCCTCCAAAGTGTTCCATCACCCAATAACAAAATGATATCTTGACAAATTAAAGAGAATATAATGAAATCAGATTAATTAATGCCAAGACCAATTAGCATATGCAAAGAAACAAATCTCACTAATAGACAAATCCAGCAATTTGAATGAGATTTTTGAAAGCTTTTCCTATTTGTCAATTTGTGTGTGTGTGTGTGTGTGTGTGTGTGTGTGTGTGTGTGTGTGCGCGAGCGCGTAATTCCATCTTTGAAATGTTGTTCCCTTTTGTTTAGGATCTAGAATGTCAGACCTGGAAGGGTCCCTATAGTCTGAAACCCCCTACTTCAACTGATTAAGAAACTGAGCCTCAAAAAAAGGTGAATTTATCTGGCAAGGTGCCACTGACACCCTGGCAGCACAGCCCTTTCGTAGCACCCTGCCTGCCAGCAACACCCACTGATGCCTGGAGGCGGGGAAAGCATTCTTGAAGGCCCTTTCAGCTCTGGGACTACCTGATCCTATAGTCTACATTGGAATGTTTACCATATTAGAATGCCGTCTACATTAGAATATACCTATATATTTAAGAATTGAAGGGATTTTCATCTTGAGTCTCTTTTCCTTGACTCGGGCCACATTTTTCACACCAAAAGCAATCAGCAAAGCAAGCGGCAGAGCCTCAGCTCCCGAGGAGAGTCGTTTTCCCAACCCTGCTCCACATTGGACTCCCCTTGAGCTCCTATGCAGTTAGCGGTGAATTCTCCAGGCTAATCACTGGGCTGTGAGAGTTTCAGCCCACCTGTGCTCACCCCCTCCACCCTCAGCTAAGGACTCTGGGCTAACAGGCAGAGCTCTGACTTGGGTTTTTATTTTTATTTATTTTTTCTTGTTATTCCAGATGGTTGCTGAGAGACTGAAGTCTCGGTTGCTTCCAGTGGGACCCTCAGACAATGGCAACTGGAAGGAGAGGCAACCCTGGATGGCACTTGGGCAGCAGAGAGCAGTCAGACCCCAGCGATGGCAGCAGAGGCAATAGGAACAACACAAACAGAGCCCACTGGACTCATTCCATGGACTCTGGCCTGGGGGTTGCCTCTTTTAGGCCTTTAGGTGCAGCTCTTGCCTGGATCTAAACAGGACTATAGTATGGAAAGCTGGAAGAATAAGAGCAGGAGAAACAGACTCTGCTTGGGGAGTCAGGAGACAGACCTCCAGGCCACTGACCTTGGCCAAGCCATTTCTCCTCTCTGGCTCTTAGTTTTCTCATCTGTAAAACCACGAAATGAGGATATAAGCTAATAATCCTTTCTGGCTCCGTCTCTTAAGTCTCAGCCTTCTGGGTATAGTTTTAGCCTCTAGAATAGCATCGACCCCATGGAGTTGAAAGGGTTAATGAATAAATACATGTGAAGTGCTTAGAATGGTACGTGCCACTTAGTAAGTGGTCAATAAATATTAGCCCATAGTTTTTATCCTGTCAGGCGGTCCTTCACCCCCTCTTAAACACTTCAGTGGTATAGAAGGCGACAACAATGGTATGTGGATAAATGTTTACCAACCGGTCGAGTGAGGGTGGGTCTCTGCTTTGCAGTGTTTGCCGATTACCATGGTGTAAATAATCCCACTATGGCTTGTTTGAAACTGCCAACATGAAGTAAAACAGCTCATGAAATTCCTGAAAATGTAACAACTGGTTTTTGAAAACCAGGGCTAGCCAGCTCCAGAGTGCCACTGACATGCAACACCCTTCCATTCTCCATTCTCATTCTATTTAAACAAATGTCTCACTGTTGCACCTCTTGCATATAGAGAGAGACTAGATGCTAATTAAATATAAAGTACTTGTGACTATCCTCCCACATAACACTCTTTTGGGACACCACAAATTTCTTCCCCATCTACCCACTCCCACCTCCTTCCCCCAGCCCTTCAAGCAGAACAGTCTGTGTATACTTTGGAAACATAAACTCACATTATCATTAATCTAAGCCAAGCATCATTGAGAAAGTAAATCTGCTGCAAAGGAACATTTATTCATGTTTAAATTTTGATGATGTGTATATTAATCACTGATGGGCATTACCCCCTTCATGTACCCTTTAGCGTGCCAACTTGTCCTCATTCTCTCTGTCCTCTGCTTTGACCCCAGCCTCCATTCTGATGGCCATGGCCTATCTTGGGATTGCTTTACCTACATCCTGAACTTGACATTCCTCCTGCTCTCAGAAAGTTGGTTATTTACCGACTGAAAATGGAGAGTGAAAAGAAGAAAAATAAAACACCTTTCCCAGTGGAGCCCATAAAAGGCTCATGAAGTCATAAAGACAATTACTGGCAGGCCTATATGGAATACCCTCCGTGAGTCATCTGTCTTCTGCTGGCAATAAAGGCACATAGCAAATTAACCATGAGGGAGGCCCGCTCACTTACCCTGTAATTAGACGGAGCTGCAAGATGCTTCCTTTCAAACTTCACGTGGGAGGATCTGTTTTGGCTCCAGGAGGACCTGCCTGCTAGCCCAGCCAGGCCTGGGCTCTTCCTTTGGCTACTGCCCCTACAGCGCTGAGCCTGGAGCTATGAGACAGTGACAAGGCAGCAGCAGCAACACAGTCCCGCCCCTCAAGGCCCATGCGGTCTGTTTAGAGAGGTAGGCAGTGCATAAAGAAGCAGAGGTGATCATAAGGTTCTCAGACTAGCAGAGAGGCCTTTCTTTCCCACTTCATCTTTCACCACTTGCTGTCATGCACTCTGTGCTCTAGCCACATTGAACAGGCTCTTTCTCAAGTTCCTCATCTGCCTTCTGGCCTCCATACCTTTGCACATGCTGTTCCCTCTGCCTGGAATGTTCCTATCCCTACAAGATCTTGACTTGCAGAGACATAGTGCAAATTACATTTGCACTAAGCAATGTAAATAAAATGACACCTTCCTGACAAGTCTCTAAGAAGATTAACTAGCTTCCCTCTCCCTGCAAAACTTTGTGCAAAATTTCTACTTAGCACTTATCACATTGATTCTAAACACTTGTCTCACAATCTTTTTCCTCTGGATTTCGACTTTGAGGCAGGGCAAAGATTAACTCATCATGGAATTCCATTCCCCATCCCACCTCCATGTCTAGCGTCTAGCTCTGTGTACTTATAAAGTAAGTTCTCAATAAATATGAGTTGGAGGAATAAAATACAAAGAAATAGAATCTAAATCTAGTATAATCTGGATCTGCGATGAATTCAGAAGGAGTAAGGGCTGGATGTAGCTCCTTAACCAAGTCTCAGTCCCAGGGAAGGTAATGGAATTCCAGGACTGATCCCCCTGCATTTGGCAGGGGCAGTTCCCATCCCTTCCCCAGAGGAGATGAGAAGGGGTCAGGGTGACAAAGCCCGGTGTGTCAGAACATCGCTTGAGAGGTTTAGCTCCTGGAGAGCAGTTAGGCATGTAAATTAGCACCGGCCCACAGGCCCTATGCTGAAAATAAATCTGCTGGAACCAAGATCAATCAATGGTTAAAAATAAAAGTTGAGGCAGTGCTAATTCTGTGTTTTCCTGAGCCCAGTGCGTAGGCAGCCAGAAACTTCTTTCCCAGGACACTGTTGAGTGAGCAAAGGGCAAGAGATCATGGGAAAAATTAGACAGCTTACAAGTCTATGCCTGGGATCTGAATCAGTGGCCCCTTTGGGGCAGGGAGGAGTGGATAGAAGAGCTGCATCAGATGCAAGATGCCAGATGAGGATTTTCACGCTGGGGAAAATCATCCTTTTGAAATTCCTGTTACCAAAGCCTGTCCCAAGCTTCCTACAGGACGAGGGAGGAAATCAGAGCAGGGCCTTTCAGTTATGCAATACATATTTATTGATTTATTTATTTAGAGACAGGGTCTCACTATGGTGCCCAGTCTGGAGTGCAGTGGCTATTCACAGGTGCAAACATAGTGCACTGCATCTCTGAACTCCTGGGCTCAAGTGATCCTCCTGTCTCAGCCTCCCTATAGGCACCTACCACCATGCGCAGCTTATTAATTGAGTGTCTACCATGTGTCAGGCACTGCTTCAGATGATAAAGATCCGGTGATGAACAAAATAGTACCAGCCTTCACGGAGCTTCCAGTCCAGGAGTGAACACGGGGAGGCCGGATACACAGTAATTAACGATAATTAATCATTAATTAATGATAATTAACGATTTGCCATGAGAATATACGATAGGGTCCTACCCAAGTCTGAGAGGTCAGAGAAAGCTACCATGAGGAAGTAACATGTGCATTGAGACCAGTAGGATGAGTAGCAGTTTACCCAGTCAGAACAGGAAGACTGTTCCAAGGAGAGCGAGCTACCAGTGCAAAAAGGCCCAGCAGCAGCAAGAAGCTGCCAAAGGAATCCAGCATGGGTACCAGGTGAGTGAGAGAGGAGACTGATGTTTGCTGAAACTTGGCAGCTAGCACATCACCTGTAGGTCACATTGAGGATTTGGACTTCTCTCTGGGCTCAGATGTTTCAGGATGGCTGTGTGTACTTGCCCACTGCAGGTTGCCCACTGCAAGGGTGCTGGGCCCAGGGGATGCGAGGGGGCATAAGTTCCACCTACTTGGCACTCACCAAGCAGCACATCCTGGCACAGGGCTTCATCCCCCAAGAGAGGGCACCTTTTCACATTTCACAAAGGCAACATCTGCTGGCCAAGCCCATAGCACTGTGACCATCCAGTGACAGCATTATTTCAAGTTCCCACTGAGGTGCCTTTGGCACCTGATGAGTATGTGAGACTAGACAATCTCTGAGGCTCCTCCAGCTCTTGCCACCTCTAAGCCCTTGAAAGAAGCAAGCAATTGTATCATAGTGGGGGAGCTGAGGAAATAGACCCAAAGCCAGAATAGCCTTCCATCTCTTCAGTGTTCTATCTGGACCACCAAGCAGTCTGCAGCTCCAATAGCTCCCTCGCCCCTCCTGAACTCAATGGAGGGGACAGATTGGATGGGGTCTGGGATGTGAACATGGTGTCGGAGCAGGCTGGCTGTGGATGCCATCGTTAGGGCTGCCTTGGGCAGACAGCCTCTGTGGTCTTGCTGGCTCAGTGCTCCATGCTGTCATTTCTTTCAGAGGACTGCCCAGGGAAGTAGAGCCCCCAGGGAGGAGGCATTGTTTGCACAAAGTATCTGTCATTGCCTGAGGCCTGCAGCTCACCTGGACTCAGTCCCCTGCTGGCTGGGGGTTGTATTCCCTGTGCTGGGAGGGAAGGAGGACACTGTCAGATCCCATCCATCAGGATAGGCACTGCAGGCACAAGTGGCCCAGGGCTCTGCCTCCAGCCCATGCGCTAAGAGAGGAAAGGCGGCTTCTTTTCCCCTGTTCCACAGGCTTGCAACGGCCACAGCCCAATGCCAGCCTCTCTCCCCATCCCTATCACACCCCTGGCAACCCATTGCCAAGCTCAAACTTCCAAGCCTACATTGGCAGGCTAAGCATATCAAAACTGCCATCCTAATTTGGTTGTTGGCGCCACAATAATAATAACAGTTTGTATGTATTGACTCTACCAGGTGGGGCAGTGGACCAGGTGTACAAAGGTGGAGATGCATCCATGAACAGACACAGGCTCGCCCCTGTGGCGTTATTGAAAAACTCTGGGCATTTGGCAACTATGTAACAGGTTGAGCTTCAGTTTCCTCATCTGTGAAAAAAAGAGGTAGTAATTATATTGCAAGGGATTGTGGGTTGGGGGGAGCAAATGAGATAAACATGGAAATAATAGGGTTTCTAGTACAAAATCAATCCTCGATAAATGTTAACTATTACTATTAGCTCCTATTTCGTGAGCATCCCTGGTGTACCAGGCACTGTGCCATAGGATTTACAGACATTATGCCATTCAGTGCTTACCACATCCAGACGAGGTATATAGTATCATCCCATTTCACACTGGTAGGGAGGAAAGCACAGTGAGTGGGATATAAAGCCAGGCCAGTGTGACTTCAAGCCATTAAACTAGAGGCTGGGTGGGGTGGCTCTCACTTGTAATCTCAGCACTTTAGGAGGCACACGGGGGAGAATTGCTTGAAGCCAGAAGTCCAAGACAAGCCTGGGCAATGTAGTGAGACCTCAGTCTCTAATTTAAATAAATACATAAATAACTGTACTGCCCACTAGGTCTGGGACTCGGGGCCCCTCATCTCTTCCTATGGAAGCATTTCTTCACCCAAGTTCTCTCATCAGCCCATGAGAGAGGGCGCTCGGGAGTGAGGAAAAGGAGACCAATGCAACCGATATCTAGGGCAAGAGCTGTTACTCTGAAATGTTTTTAGTCAACCTGGATGCTCACATTGTCTACACCTGAACAAAGGAAAAGACGGTGGGAAGTCTGGAGGTGGAAAGTAAGTGGGATTCAGAGTCTAAAGTCCTGTATCCCTACCTATTAGCCATGTAACCTTGAGCAAGATAAGGAACATCTCCAGAACTCACTTTCCTCACCTGTAAAATGGGCTGACACCACAATTGCCTTCTCAGAGCTGCTCTGAGGATGAACTGAGATGCTGCCTGTGAAAGTGAGCTGCTCCACTATAAAGCGATATTCAGTTGTGAGGAATTGTTATTTATTAAAGGGCACTTGCTTAGAAGACACACATTAAGTTGTGAGAGGACCTCAGTTTAATTCAACACACGAACATGAGGACTGAGCACCTGCTGTAGTGAAGACATATATTCAGATTCAGAAAGGAGATCATGAAAAGGCATGCAATGGCTTATCGCATGCTATGGGACTCACAGGACCAGGTTCAGCGTGGAGGCAGTATTTCTTCCAGAGGCATCTGCACCAAACTTTCAAGAAGAGGATGGGCAGGATGTTGATGGGCAGCACGGTGCAGGAGAGTGTTCTGGGAAGAATACAGATTGAGCAAAACAGAGGCAGAGAAACCAGGACTGGGCAGAGTTCCAGGTGGCTGGAGCGCAGCCACCTTATACTGGAGAGGCTGTGAAGCTAGTACAATTGTTATCCCCATTTGACAGATGAAGAAACTGAGGTATGCAGCAGTTGCAGAAGTCACAAAGCAAGTAAGCAGTGTGGCAGTTGGCCAGGAATCTGGCTCCAGAGTCCACACTCTTGACTACATAGGGCCCAATCTCAGACCATGGCTACAGGAAGAAGATGAGAAAAGAGAGGCCTGCAGAGCTCTTGGCACTTTATGGGATGAGAAGACGAAGAAGGAGAAGTTGGGGAGTTGGAGGAGTTTGGGAATTCAGGTGAGTGAGCCTATGGATAAGAACCAATAATCACAAGTCCGGCTAAATGTTTCCAAGGCCCTTTCCTAGCCTTCATGTAAAAAGCTTCTCCCAGTACATGCTGGCAGCATCCCAGGCTTTGTGGGAGCAGCTTGGTCGGGGGTCAGGGGAACAAATACTATTATTACATTGATGGCATGGTGAGTGCCCCAGCCTCCCGGAGGTTCTCCTAGTTATTGGCCACTGCAGTTGGATCTAGATGATCCCTCACTCTTGTCCCTTAAGACTGGAGCCTTCACAGAAATCCTGGTCTGTCTTTGCTGTGCAGCCTGTAATACGTGTCACCCTACAGCATCTCTGTGTGCCTTCCCGTAGAGTGAGGCAGATTCTTCCTCCCTAGAGCATGCAGCTCCCTGACCTCACTTACTTGGGCAAGGGAGTATGCAGACAGAGGGGCACAATGGAAGAACTTAGGCTTTGGAGGCAGACCAATGTAGATTTTATTCATGGCTGTGCCACTCGCAAGTTGTGTGACTTATCACATGCTATGGGACTCACAGGACCAGGTTCAGGGTGGAGGAAGAGAAAACCCATCCATCTCTCTAGGCCTCAGCTGCCTAGTCTGTAGAGTGGGGGCTAATAATATCTACCATGCAGAAAGGAGAAGTGCAAGAACCTAAACAAAGTTGATACAGGCTTATCCCAAAGGGTGCCCTGTACATGCTAGGCCTCTTTTCTAAGGCCTCTTCCCAGCCCAGCGTTTAGAGAACCTGCTCAATGGCATTTACTGTTTGCACAGAGCACCAGCCCAGATAAAGACAGGTAGCCGCAGGCCTGGCCCCCAAAGGCACAGACAAATGGAGAGGCCCCCTGGCCACCTCAGAAGACCATAGCTCCCACTCCAGCTCCCAGAGAAACCCTTTGATGTGGATGCGACCCTGGCCTGCAGCCTCATTGCTTATAAAGAATGTGCTGAAAAATTTATGGAGGAGATCCGTGTGGGACATAGCAAGAGGAAGGCAAACAGGAGAGCAAGAAGTGCATGTGCCTGGGGACGGAGCATCTGAGAGAAGAAGTGATTACAGACCTGTCCATGTTAACGAAGATGTGAGCAGGGCTCCATGCACGTTGGCTGGCCAGCCTCTTGAGACACCCAAGACAGGGAGGAAGCAAACTGGTGGCAGACACCTGCCGTGAGCAAGGCCCACTCCTGCATTGGCACATTTGACCCTCATAGCAATTCTATGTTGGCAGATGAGGAAACTGAGGCCAGAGAGGTTAAATAACTTGCCTGGTGTCATACAGTATCACAGACTTCAAAAAAGGTAGTGCTTGAGTTGGGCCTTGAGAGATGGGTAGGGTTTCTACAGACAGGAAGCTGGCCTGGAAGGATCCCCAGCCTCTGGGCAGGGCCACAGCATGGGCAGAGAGCATAGGATGAGTGAAGACCAGGAGGATGAAGATGAGCCAGGTGTCACTGAGGATGGGCCTGGCCAGGAGCTTGTGTCTAGGTAGAGAGCTTACCAGTGTTAGGCATGCTTGGAGTCTAACGAACTTGGGTAACTCACACAGATAATAAATGTAAGGGAGAGAAGTCAACATCTACCTCCTGACCTTTTTACTAAACCAAGATGCGAGCCCTACACCACTTGAAGAAACAAAAGATTATTGGATGAAAAAGGCAAAAAAGAACTAGGAATGCAAAGCTCAGAGAAGAGACTGGGGCACGAGACAGTAAGTGTTGTTACAAAGCCTGATGACCAAATGTTCTCTTCCATCCTCCCCAGAGGACAGGAAGGGGGAGATGGTTGACATTTTCCAGACCTCGCCCTCCCCTCATGACCACTGCATCAAGTGTAAGTCCTTAGCCCCAGATTCAGTCTCCACGCCCACCCGGCTTCACCCTCTCTCCACAGCCCAGTCTCCCAATGTTGCCCACAGTGCCCTTGCTTCAAACAGGGCTCCCACTGCCTCACACAGCTCCAAGCCCTTCCTCCAGCCACTCTCCTTTGCTGGCTAGCCCCACCTCCTTCTTCTTCACTTACAAAACGCAAGGAATCCCAACTACATCATGGATTGTTTCAGGATTCAATGAGATGACTCATTCTCACAGTCCAAAAATATTTCTTGAGCATATTGAGCACCTGCTTCGTGCCAGGCACTGGACTTGACACCAGAGGAGATCAACACTGAGCCTTCACCCTCAGGAAGCTCACAGACTGATCAGAAAGGCAGAAAAGGCCTTGGTCTACTTGAAACATGGGGGGATCAGGGGAGGCTTCCTGGAGAAAGTGACAGCAAGGCTGAAACTTGAAGGATAAGCAGAACTTTTAAAAAGGCAACAATGGCTGGACACAATGGCTCCTGCCCGTAATCCTAATGTTCTGGGAGGCCTAGACAAGAGCATCACTTGAGGCCAGGAGTTCAAATCCATGCTGGGCAACATGGGCAGACCCTGTCTCTACAAAAAAATTTAAAAATTAGCCAGGTGTGGTGGTGTGCACCTGTAATCCCAGCTACTCGAGAGGCTGAGGAAGGAGGATCGCTTGAGGACAGGATATGATCTGTGATTGCCCCACTGCACTCCAACCTGGGCAACACAGCAAAACCTCGACCAAAAAGGAAGGAAGGAACGAAGGAAGGAAGGAAGGAAGGAAGGAAGGAAGGAAGGAAGGAGAGAAAGAGAGAGAGGGAGAGAGAAAGAAAGAAAGAAAGAAAGAAAGAAAGAAAGAAAGAAAGAAAGAAAGAAAGAGAGAAAGAGAGAGAGGGAGGGAGGGAGGAAGGAAGGAAGGAAAGAAGAAAGAAAGAAAGAAAGAAAGAAAGAAAGAAAGAAAGAAAGAAAGAAAGAAAGAAAGAAAGAACGAACGAAAGAAAGGAGGGAGGAAGGAAGGAAGGAAGGAGAGAAAGAGAGAGAGGGAGAGAGAAAGAAAGAAGGAAAGAAAGAAAGAAAGAGAGAGAGAAAGAGAGAGAGGAAGGAAGGAAGGAAGGAAGGAAAGAAGAAAGAAAGAAAAGGAAAGAAAAGAAAGAAAGGAAGGAAGGAAGGAAGGAAGGAAGGAAGGAAGGAAGGAAGGAAGGAGGGAGGGAGGGAGGGAGGAAGGAAGGAGAGAAAGAGAGGAAGGAAGGAAGGCAGGAAGAAAGAAAGAGAAAGAAAGAAAGAAAGAAAGAAAGAAAGAAAAGGGAGGGAGGGAGGAAGGAAGGAAGGAGAGAAAGAGAGAGAAAGAGAGGAAGGAAGGAAGGACGGAGGGAAGGAAGGAAGGAAGGAAGGAAGGGAGGGAGGGAGGGAGAGAGGGAGGGAGGGAGGGAGGGAGGCAGGCAGGCAGTCAAGAATGTTCAAGGCACAAGGAGCAGCATTTGCCAAGGCTGGAGGGGAATAAAGGGCATCACATTTGGAGAAACCGCCTGTAGATCAGTACCGATGGAGGATAGCATCACTGTGCGTGGGGGGAACTAAGCAGTCAGATATGAGGCCAAGTGTGTGCAGGAGCCACATTCCAAAGGCCTTAAGGCAAAGGCCCTTTAACCTTGTCATGCACCAGGAACCCCTTGGGGATTGTGGTGAAGCCTTTGGACTTCTTCCCAGAATTATGTCTTTAAATGCATAAAATAAAATACATAAGATTACATAGGAAATAAATTATATTGAAATGCAGTTATGGAAATATTTTTTCAAAGCTAATTTGTGATATAGTGATATACGAGCTTTTTATTAATGCATTAAATAATACATTCTGGTGGCAGGTCTAATTATATAATTTTGAAGTAGTGCTGAGAGAAAACAATATTTCAAGATAAGTGTAATAACTGTAATATGATATAAAAATATCTTTGATTTCAAAATTAGCCAGGCATGGTGGCACGCACCTGTAATCCCAGCTACTCAGGAGGCTGAGACAGGAGAAACGCTTGAATCCGGGAGGTGGAGGTTGCAGTGAGCCGAGATCACGCCACTGCACTCCAGCCTGGGGAACAAGAGTGAAGCTATGTCTCAAAAAACAAAAACAAACAAACAAAAAAATCTGTGATTTCTCCGGATGACAGAGTCACAGGTACTACCCAAATTGCTGTGAATTACATGCTAGGGACAGTGCCTACATTTATAATTAAGGGAATGCTACACTTCAGTTGGAGGGCAGTGAAAATGAAGCCTTTTTTTCCTCATCCATGTTTATGATCCCCTGCTTTAAAGACTTGCTAAGGAGTGTGTCCTTGATCCTGAACTCCTAAAAACACTTACCTTGGCCCCAGTGCTCCCCATCTACAGCCTTCCCACTAGACCACTCCTTTCCAGCTCTAGTGGCCCCAAAGCCATTCCCAGAACCCACCAAGCACGCAGCTGCTTCAGGACCTTTGCACATGCTGATCCCTCTGCTTTGATTACTGTTTCCAGAAATATATATGTGGATCCCTCCCTCCCTTCTTTTAGGACCAGGCTCAGATGTCATCTAATCACAGAAGTCTTCCCTGATCACACTATGAAAATAGCATCACCCACGCTCCCCCAGGACCCATACCCTTGCCCCCGCTTTACTTTTCTGTATCACACTTAGATTTTCTGACATTTTATGATTATGTTTATTGTCTTTTTCACTCCGCTAGAATGGAAGCTTCATAATAGCACAGACTTGGTCTATTTTGTTCACTGCTATCTCCCTAGCACCTGGAGCATTGCCCAGCACACAATTCACATGGGAAAGCTATTCCTCTCCACCCCCTTCTACTTTCTCAATCCTTCAAGACCCAGACAAGGCCCACCAGCTCCATGCAGCCATCATCCTCGCTCCAGCCTTCCCTGAGCATCTGCGTTCAGAGAGACAAGGCTACTGAGGATGGAAACCATTCCTTGCATTTCTGCGGCTTCTCACTGGGCCTGGGTGTAGAGCAGGCATTCGCTAGATAAAGAGGCCAAAAACTTACATAGCAGCAGGCCCAGGAGGCCATGTGGGTGAATAAAGCAGGCTGGATGAGGCTATAGACATCTATCTGTAGTGAGCTGAAAGGTGGCCCCCAGAAAGATATGGCCATGCCGTAATCCCCAGAACCGTGAATGTGACCTTATTTGGGAAAAGCATCTTTGCAAAGGTAATAACGTGAAGGATCCCAAGATGAGGAGTCATCCTGGATTATCAGTGTGGGCCCTAAATGTCAGCACAGTGTCCTTCTAAGACAGGCAGAGGGAGAAGACATGGACACACAGAGGAAAAGTCCACGTGAAGACAGAGGCAGATACTGGAGCGACATGGCCACCAGCCTGAAAATGCTGGGAGCCACCAAAAGCTGGAAGAGGCAAGGAATAAATTCTCCATCCATCCTCCAAAAGGAGGACAGCCCTGGCAAATTGTGGACCTTTGGCTTCCAGAACTGTGAGGGAATCAATTTCTGCTGCCTTAAGCCACCCAATTCCTGGCACTTTGTTACCACAGCCACACAAAAGCAATGCACTATCTATAGGTTTTCTGTGGGGAAACACAGGCCTAACACAAGACTTTTTTTCCTTCAAAGGAAACTGGAGATTCAAACTTTTATGTGAAATCTCCTGATTTCTAAATGTGGCAGTCTGGGTTTTCGATTGCAAGCACAGAAGCCAACTCTGGTTGGTAGTAAATACTTTATTAGAGGGACAATGGTGAGCTCACAGAATTGAAGAGAACGCTGAAGAAAAGAACTTGGAAAACAGGCAGGATCCAAGGGAGACACAGCCTGCCATTTCCAAACCTCAGGGACATCTGCTTAGGACACTGACACCACTGGCCACTTACAACCACATCACTGGCTACCACTGGACACCAACAGCGAGGTCACATGGGAAATATGTGACCAAGTGGGCTTCAAGCTCAGGCAGTCAGGATCAGGATAAACGTGTCTAGGGATGCTCTGTAATAAGGCAAATGTTTGGTGCTGGGCATTTCAAATGAGTACAGAGGCTTTCCAGTTTGTTTTCTGGGGCCCACAGCAAGAAATGCATTTTAGATCACAGACTAGCACGTAAATACACCACATGCAAAAATGGAATAACACCTACCTTACCATGTGCAACCCATACTGACCGTTTTCTCTTCTTTTATTTCTTCTCTTTTCTATTCTATTCTATTCCATTCCATCCCATCTTATCCTATCCTACTTATCCTATTCCATTTTTGTTCTCAAAGTGGAGCTTATTTATGAAAGTAAGAGCAAATAATCCCCCATATATTGAAAGACTCAGAAAATATACTGAAGAATGAGCTTAGAGACAGATTTCTCCCAAAAGCAAAACTTAAGCATAGGCAACTTGGGTTCCCCTTCTAGACTGATTTTTAAG
This sequence comes from Homo sapiens, assembly GCF_000001405.40. Taxonomy (NCBI): domain Eukaryota; kingdom Metazoa; phylum Chordata; class Mammalia; order Primates; family Hominidae; genus Homo; species Homo sapiens. Next base: position 116,243,703 of record NC_000011.10, read on the forward strand.
AACCACCCAGGGGTTATAAACCACAGTTTTAAAAATGCGACACTCAGCCAACTGATTCTATTTAAAACAAGAGTCAACAAGCAAAAAATAAAGAGAGTTAGCCAACAGTATTTGGGACAAACAAAAAATGTCTTCAAGCTGGACACAGTCTGTGGATTGCCAGTTTATGGCCTCTTCATTAAAATCTTGAAATATTGATTGATTAATTGAGTCAACTGTAGTAAGGGACAATGTGAGAAGAGGCTCTCTGGCTTAGATTTTTGATGACAGCATTAATTCTAAGCAGCTAGTTCAGGGCCTGGCACACATTAGGTGCTCAATAAACACTGAAGTGCAACTGAAGACACATGGTTTTCTTCAGTTCCTTGTACTGTTGCAGGCCCCACTGAAGATCAGGTGCAGCTGCTGATAGCAAGGGATGTGGATCCACAGGTGGCCAGAGGCCCTGCAGCACCTCTGCGCCATCCCAGCCGGCCTCTCTCTCCCCGGCCCCATTTATCAGCATCTTCATAAACACCCAGCCAGGGAAGGCTTTGTTTTCACATCAACCAGCGTGGCCCTCTCCACCCCCTCTCCTTCTCTCATCTCTCATTTGGCAGTGACGTTTGTTAAACTGCAAAAACACACAAAATAAGGCTCTATGGTTATAAGGTGGAGGAGAGGAAGAGATGAAAAAGGGGGAGAGGAAAGAAGTGCTTTTCCAACTTTGCCTCTAATGTCTTCATTAATTGAACTCATCAGCTAAAATCATTTGTGAAAATAAAAAAAGAGAGAGAGAGAGAAAGGAACTGATCATATGCAGGAGAAATAACTCAGATGTGAAAATCCTTCAGAGTAGGAGATTGCACTATTTATTCACCCAAGTGTCCTGCTGTGTCTCTGAAATGCAGTGATTTAATGAGGTGCTGCAAAGGTATTTGTTATTAAGAAATTCTGTCTCTGCTTATTCTCCTCTGTGTGATTAGGACGGAGCCCGGCGGAAGCTCCTAACCAGCGCGCTATTAAAGATTTAGGAGGCTGCTGTTCTCCCCATTGCTCCCCTCTTACCAGCGCCTTTTGAAATGGTTCCAAAATTAAATATTGTACAAGCCGATCAGCCTTGTTTAACGCAGATGCTGAGTGAGATTTAAAAAGAAATTAGAAAAGCATTTGTGTTAACAGATGTTCTTCCTTTTCTCTCTTGGAGCTGAGATGATTGGGTCTGGGTCCCTCCCGAGCCACACAAGAGCCAAGAGGGATAAGCCCCAAGTTGGTACTGAGAGGGGGCCTTGCAGGCCAGGAGAGCCTGGAAGGGACACCTGGGTTCTTGGTCTCTCTGTTAGTAAGGACTGGGGGACCCTGCAGGAAGGAGCAAACCAAGCTGCCAGCCTGGCAGGCTTTTCCCCAAAGCTCCCGGATTTTGCTGGAGCCTCTCCCAAGGCAAAGGCTTCGGCAGGTGTTCACTGGAAATCTACAGCCATGCAAACACCATTACCCAGAGCTTCGGGGAAATCAGCAAAGGAGCAGAAGTCTCTGTCTCCAAACTGATTCAGCTATTGACCCTAATGATTGACAAAGTCCTCCTGAGACTTCTAATCTAGTCCCTTCATCCAGACAAGACCAGCTCTGATCCAGCCCTCCAATAAGTTAGACACCCCCACTTCCTTACAGTTGTACTATTTCCTTTTTTTTACCTCTAGTTCTGACATCCATCTGGGCTATCTCTTGGTAAGTTCTAATGTCTGAAATCTCTCATACATAGACATTTTGTTCTGTCCTTGGTTAGAACAAATGGGGCCTTGTATGAAGAAAACCATCCATGTGTCCAGCACGTCAAAGCTTCTCCAAGCACCTTCCACCTGTTCTGTGGATTAATCTCCATAACTCCCTATAGGACTGAGGCTCAGTGGTGGGAGTACTAGTAAGGGGCAGGGCTGGAATTAGAACCAGGGCCTGGAAACTCAGGTAACTGTCCCATCCGATAAGGTTCAGTTGTTAAGAAACAGATTGGGATGCTCACTGCAGATTTAGTTTTGCTTATTTTCACTGGGAAGACACAAGGCACAGAAAGAGATGATTTGCTCACGATCCCACAGAGTGCCAGGGGCAGAATCAGGCAAGAATCTGCCTCCCAAAGGTCCAGTTGAATGTTTCTCCCATCAGTCACCCCATCGCACTATCTACAAACATCTATCAAGTACCTGCCTCTTTCTGGGCTCTGTGTGAGGCACTGAGAATACAGGGGGAGACAGACTGGACCCTCAAGGAGGTCCCTACTCTCAGAGGAAACAGGCCCTGAAGATACAATCGCAGATTACTAAATGCTGATAAAAGGATTTTTAAGTAGAGGTATGGAGGTTCATGGGAGTGTATAAGAAGAAAAATGTAACACGTCTGGACTCCACTGACTCCAAGGTAAAGCAACTGAACGAGCAATGCCTTTACCACAGCAAAAAACCAACTGCAGATCAGCGCCATGCCTGCTGCCGGCTGTCCCTTTACCATGGGGCATCTCAGCCATATTCAGCTAGCTCCTAGTGGGTGACCATCCTCACTCCTCCCACCAGCCCTTGCTCCCTTAGCTGTTGAGCACTGCCTTTCTTGTCCCCTCTCCACTCTCAAACATGCATGGAAGAGGAACAAGCTTCCCCCACCGTCACCACCACAACTAGCCATTTCTTCTCTGAAGAACCAGCTCCGTATGCCTGCCCCAAAAGCAAGAAGAATGTTAAGCAGAAACAAGAATCAGGCAACCTTTGAATTCACATTCTTGGGAACAGCCAGACCTCCCCTGCACACAAATGAAGAGAGGCACCAACAGTCACCCAAGCCTTTTTATCATTGTTCATCACTATATTAGTCTGTTCTCACACTGCTAATAAAGACATAACTGAGACTGGGTAATTTATAAAGGAAAGAAGTTTAATTGACTCACAGTTCCACATGGCTGGAGAAGCCTCAGGAAACTTACAATCATGGCAGAAGGCACCTCTTCACAGGGCGGTTGGGAGAGAAAGCGTGCCCAGCCAAGGGGGAAGCCCTTTATAAAACCATCAGATCTCATGAGAACTCACTGTCAAGAGAACAGGATGGTGGAAACTACCCCCATGATTCACTTATCTCCACCTAGTCCCTCCCATGACACATGGGGATTACAGGAACTACAATTCAAGATGAGATTTTGGTGGGGACACAGTCAAGCCACATCAGTCATGCAAAGGCTTCAGCATAGACTGAGCAACAGGCAGAGAGAGGCTACATACTGAGGTGAAGGTGGCTCTGGATGGGACTGGGAAGGACAAAAGTCTGAATGATGGTGCTGCTTTAACAAGCTGCCGGGCCTGGACAATGCTTCCCTCTTCCATGGTTCTTGTCTGCTCATGTGCATAGTGGGGAGTTAGTTTGGTGCCACCTGGGATCTGAAGACTCAGTTCTCCCTCCTGGCCTCCTGCCCTTAAAGCTGCTACTGTGGAGTTCAGCTGATAATCCCCACATCCTCCTCTTGTCATCTATGTCAGGGCTCAGTCACCTCTTCTTAGCTCTAAAATGCCCCAGTGGGCATCAGAATCACCTAGGGGGCTGTAAATAAAGACAGACACCTGAGTGCCCACCCATCGAGACTCTGGTTCAGCTGATCTGGGTGAGGACTCCGGCACCAGCTTTGTTTATTTCAGCCACTTTAATGGCCAAACAGCACCAAGAACACTGCCCAAGTTAGCAGGACTAGAGCTCCTCCCTGGAGACAGAAGAGGCCCTGGTAGGCTTTCCCTCTTTGGGTCCTACTATTGAGCCCTCCCAAATTCCATAATAGCACCAAGGGCAGGGGGATATTAAGTAGTATTGTGATTCTCAGGCCTCAATTCATGCTTTCTTCTAATCTAGATTACCTCTTCCCACAATATCTCTCTTCCGCAAAGACCTCCTCCATGAGGTCTTCCTCAATCCCCCCATCCTGCCAAATCAGCCTTTCCACCGCAGTCATCAAGTATATGTCTATGTAGCCCTTAGTGCTTTCTGTCTTGCCCTATAGTTAGCTGTTAATGCATCTGCATTCCTCTTTAGACTGTAAATTCTTTAAGAGGGGAGTTGTGTCTTATTCATCTTTTTCTCCTTACACCAAAGTCTTGCATAGTCCTTTAAACATAATAGGGGTTCAGATCTTTCGTTGGGGAAACAATAGTGGCACACATGAAACAGGTAGAGAACCATACACAAATCTATTTTGGAGAAAGCAAAATAGCCTTAGGTATAGGCAAAACAGCCCTAGCCTAGGAATCAGAAAGGGGGGATCCTGATCCCAGCTCCGTAGATTTTGGGAAACCTGCAACATCGCTGGGCCTCAATTTCTGTATCTATAGAAGCAGGTGGTTGGACTCACTGTCTCTAGGCTGCTTCCCCAGCTTCCACATTCTGTTTCTCTCATTCCAAGCCCCTAATTGCCTCTAGGCATTCAGAGAAGCAGCCCTGGCTCCACCTTACTTGAAGAATCAGCACATGAACAAAATCAGGGCTTTCTGCTTTTTCATTCTGGGACATGACTGGAAAAGTGGAGTGGAGGTTTCCCTTCCCTTCTAAAAATATGTGCGCATACACTGGCACACTCACATGCATCACGACTTCCTTTGTCTATCATAAACGTCTACCCTCATGGTTTATAAAATCCAGGAAGTCGGCCAGGTGCAGTGGCTCATGCCTGTAATCCCAACACTTTGGGAGGCCAAGGCAGGTGGATCACCTGAGGTCAGGAGTTTGAGACCTGCCTGGCCAACATGGTGAAACCTCATCTCAACTAAAAATACAAAAATTAGCCTGGTGTGATGGCAGGCACCTGTAATCCTAGCTACTCAGGAGGCTGAGGCACGAGAATCACTTGAACCCAGGAGACGGAGGTTGCAGTGAGTCAAGATCGTGCCACTGAACTCCAGCCTGGGTGACAGCGTGAGACTTTGTCTAAAAAAAAAAAAAAATCCAGGAAGTCATTAAAGCTATACCAATGATGTCTTTGAAGTGGACCAAAATCCAAAAAAATTATACTAGGTGGAATTCTATTAAAAAGTCTCATGATGCCCACTCTTACAGAACTAAAGTGTCCCGCCTTTATCTAGAGGGGAAAAACAAAAAAACACAGAAACTTATTTTTCTGGTAGTAAAGACCTGCTGGTTTAAGCTTTCCTCTCAGCTGAGGATTCCTAGAGCTGCAGACCAGGAGGTATGGTGTTGGCAATCAGTTTAGAGACTAATGAGCTATGGTAAAGGCTGCTAGTTGTTCCCCAGTAGCTTCTGTCTCCTGCTTTCTTAATAATAGAACAAAATCCTGACTTTTAACCAGGCACCTAGCTAAAAGATGACATTTTCCAGCCTCCTATTTAACTAGCGTGATCATAGACTAAATTCTGTCTAGTGAGATGGAAGTGTTGCATGAAACCTCCAGAAAGTTTCCTTAAGGAAAAGGCCTCCTCCTTCTAGTCGTTGGATGTAATGGTTGGGGCTCCAGGAGCCACCTTGGACCATAAGAGAACTTGGGAAAGAAGTTACACATGGCAAAGTGACATGATAGAAAGAGTCTTGGTCCTTAACACTGCAGAGCTGCCATTCCTTCTTCTGATTTACTTTACATCAGAGTGGTCTTCTATATTGCTTCTGATTTATTTTACATCTGAGTTGTTTGTTTCTGATTTATTTTTCATCAGACAGTAGTCTTTGTTAAGTCACTGTTTTTTTGGGTGTCTGTTACTCATAGCTAAACCTAGTCCTAATTGATACTGCAGATAAAATGGACAGGATACTGAACTGGGAGTGAGGATTCTTCCTGGCAGACTCCTGGGTCAGCTGTGACCCTGGGCCATTTCCTAAATTGTCTGGCCTGAGTTTCATTATCTAAAAAGTGAGCCCAGGCAGGAAAGGGAATGAATTCCAGTCTGCAAGATCCCTTCAATTTCAAAACTTAGATACTTTTGTTAAAATTTCAAGATGTTCCTGTGACTTAGGATTGACCAGTTGAAGAACCCAGTCTTAGAGTCACCAATGAGGGCACTTTTCATCAGCATAAATGCCATCAGTGCTACTAGAAAGAGATACCACTAGGGGCGTTCAAAATCCAAGACCACAGACTTCAGAACCAGATAAACCTGACTTCAAATTCCAATGCCACAATTTACTAACTCTGGGAACTCAGACAAGTCACCAGTTCTCATCCTTAAAATGGAGCAGACAATGCCAAACGTCATAGGGATGTTGGGTGGATTCATGAAAATGCAAACATCAAGCTCTCCCAGGCACCAAAGGTGCATAGTTCGTCTACATGGATTGTGCCAAAGCAAATTAGATGTCCGGGGAAAAGGCCAGGTATGCTGGGCAAATGTCCTGTGTCCTCATGGGTCCCCAGGATGGGGCACACTGTCCCCATTGGGCTCACACTAAACCGTGTTAATGGAGAAAGCCAGCCCACGTTTCATTCCTCTCCATAATGAAAAAGAAGGAGGGAATCACAAGAGAAAGAAAGACAAAATTGAGGAGCTGAGATTGGGGTTTGTGAGCACTTCAGCAAGGAAACAAATATCTTTATTGGCTCTGGACAGTCTGCCAATCAGCCACGAAATTACCAGCTTCTCTTTCCTCCCAGAAGGGCCTGCGCGGCTGCACACAAAAGCTGCCGAAGGAACTTCGGGACCTGGAGAATAAAAGCCCCTCTCTGCAGAGCACAGGCTGATTTGCAATGCATTGCTTCAGCATAATTTCCCAACTCTGCAGCCACACAAAGCCGTTTCTGTCCCTATCTGTGAGTTTAATAATTTCTATTTCCTACACCTTGCATTCATAATGCATCCTCCCAACATGGGCTTGGGCTGGGCATTGGCCTCGGGCCTCAGGCATGTCAGCCTTCTCCAGGGCCTCAGGCTGGAAAACCATTTATTAGACAATTTAGTCTCTTTGGAGGGCAGCAACAGAAGGCAAACTGCCTGACCTCCTTGAAATGTTCCTCTTGTACCTACCTTACCCTTCACAGCCCTTTTCCCCCATTTCATTATTTATTCCAGCTACTATGCGGTACATGTTGTCCTGGAGGCTGTAAGACCTGGTTTGTTATCATCAATAGCACAGCACTGGTGAGATGAGATATATATACAGACAGACAGTTGGGATTCAATATGAGAAGTGTACTTGACCATGACTCTGTGAGGGTTGTCACCATGTCTATTTAGGTTTACTCTTGTTCTCTCTAGCACTAGACACATAATAAGTGCTCAATCATATCTGATGAATATTAAGTGAAAAAATAAAGGAATACCAAGACCTATAAATATAATGAAAAGAGATTGGTTTGGTTTGGTTTGGTTTGGTTTGGGTTGGTTTGGTTTGGTAGGGAGGGAAGCAGTGGGGAGGTACATGTCACAGGAACCCTAAAAGTGAGGATAGCTGCTGAACTGACACTAGAAAAATACAGAAGTAAAATTTCACAGAAAGAGGCAGAGGTTGAAAGAAGAAACTTCCCACCAGAGGACTGAGCCCCTGCCAAGGCCAGAAGAGCATTGAGAGTTTGGGATCCCTGAGGCCGCCAGAGCCTAGGTTTAGTGGTAGCAGAGCAAGCTAGAAAAGGAGGTCAGCCCCAGTGATCCAAGACCTCACTCATATACCAGGCCAGGAACAGGGAAGGGGTCAGACAAATCCCAGGCATGAGTCCCAGCCCCATCACTGATCAGTCATGTGACTTTGGTGGAGAGAGCTAACCTTGCTGAGCCACGGTTTCCTTCTCTGTAACATAAGTGCCCACCTTCCAGCCTCGTTGTGAGGGTTACAAGCAATGGCCATGCACAGAAGCACAAGGCACAGCGCCCAGCTTAGCTGATTCCCTGGGCCTCAGGTGGAAGTCGGAGCCTGCCTTGAACAGGGATTCTGAAAATTCTGATGCAGGTATATATTAATCTGCATTCTCCAGAGAAGCAGAACCAGTAGGATATATATAAATATACAAAAAGGGATTTAGTATGAGGGATTGGCTTATGCAATTATGGAGGCTGAGATGTCCCACAATCTACCATCTGTAAGCAAAAGTCCCAGGAAATCCAGTGACAGAGTTCCAGTCCAAGCCCAAAGGCCTGAACCCAGAGGAGCCAATGGTACAAGTCCTTGCCTGAGTCTGAAGATCCAAGAACCAGGAGTGGCAATGCCTGAGGGCAGGAGAAAATGGATGTCCCAGCTCAAGCAGAGAGAGAGAATCTGTCCTTCCTCTGCCTTTTTGTTCTAATTGGTCCCTCAACAGATTGGATGACCCCCATCCACACTTGGAGAGAGATCTTCTTACTCAGTCTATGGATTCCAATGCTTACACCTACTAGAAAGGCACTCATAGACACACCCAGAAATAATGTTTTATCAGCTATCTGGGCATCCCTTAGCTCAGTCAAGTTGACACATGAAATTAAGCATCTAAGGTATCTCTGAGACTGGGTAGAAAACCATGTGAGGGTCATGGACAGACTCTCATCTTCCCTCTCCTTTCTGGTTTTAGAAAACACCAGCATGATCTGCCACCCCACTCCTATCCCTCCAGGAAGAGCCAGTCCAGCCAAAGGAAAGGTAGCAGGCACGAAGTGCTGTGAGCAAACCAAGTGCCAGCCGACACCAGTCAGAGGATAGTGAGATGAGGGATCCCAAAATGGCTCCCAGGGTGCGTGTAACCCAGGCACTTTTCCTAGCAGGCAGCCCACACTTCCTTTCTCAGCTGGCTCTTCCTCACACACATTTTCTCTCCTTCAGACAGTGAGGAAGGGGGAATCTCTCTTCCTCTTCTCCTCCACCAGCCATATTATTGTCTCTTTGCATCCCCCAGACTACCTCTCTCAGTGCTGAACCCACAGTAAAATTTGAAGGGTTAGACCTGAAATAAACCCTTATCTCTACCCTAATTGTACAGATGAGAAGATGAGGCTCAGAAAGATCATGAGACCTGCAGGGTTTGACACTGAGTTAGTGGTGGAGGCAGTGGGCGCTTAGTAGGCACAAGCTGGTTGATTGTTTCTGCCTATGTTAGTCAGGAAGCATCTAGCTGTGAGTAACAAAGTGTCCAACCCAAAAGGGCTTAGGCAATGAGAACACTTATCATCTGATACAATAAGAAGCCCCATCAAATCAGTCAATCAATATCAAGAGCCTAGGTTCTTTCCCTCCCTGCTCTGCCATCCTAAGGGTGTTGGGCAATTGTCCTTAAGCTTTTCTCCTTGTGGTGGTAGAGTGGCTGCAGGAGCTGTAAGCATCATGTCCTCACACAATAATACTCCTCAAAAAATAGGATGCAGCCGGGTATGGTGCCTTGCACCTGTAATTGCAGCACTTTGGGAAGCCGAGGAGGTAAATTATTTGAGTCAAGGAGTTCGGGACCAGCCTGGGCAACATGGCAAAACCCCATCTGTACAAAAAATACAAAAACTAGCTTGGTGTGGTAGCAGGCACCTGTAGTCCTAGCTATTCAGGAGGCTGCAGAGGGAGGATCACCTGAACCAAGGGAGGCTGAGGCTGTAGTGAGCTGAGATCACATCACTGCACTCCAACCTGGGCAACAGAGGGAGACTCTGTCTCAGAAAAAAAAAAAGACCAGGGGCAGTGGCTCACACCTGTAATCCTGGCACTTTGGGAGGCCAAGGCAGGCAGATGGCTTGAGGCCAGGAGTTTGAGACCAGCCTGGCCAATATGGAGAAACCCTGTCTCAACTAAAAATACAAAAATTAGCCAGGTGTGGTGGCGTGCAGCTATAATCCCAGCTACTTGGGAGGCTGAGGCACAAGAATTACTTGAACCTGGGAAGCAGAGGCTGCAGTGAGCTAAGATTGTGCCACTGCACTCCAGCTGGGATGACAGAGTGAGACTCTGTCTCAAAAAATGAAAAAAATATAAAAAATAAAGGATGTGCCCATTTTAGGGTGAGAAATCTTCTAAGAATCCCCTGCAGGCTGTGTCTCGCTGGTTACAATTACAGGTAGAATAGGCTTAGTGTGATTGGCTGGCTCCTTACGGGATGCATCCTTTGGGCATGGGGAAAGCGAGCTTTCCCTGAGGCACCTGGGTCCAGGACGGCTGGACAAAGTGAAGGTTCTGCCAGCAAAAGAAGAAGGTGTAGACTGACTGGAATGCAGGCAATGGACAGCTGGACATGCTGCCCAGGTGTGACACTGGGTCCCAGCTTCCCAAGGATGAAAAGGAGACAGCTTTTGCTGGAATGCAAGGGCCTGTCAGCGTTTGTTGCAGCCTAAGTCCCCGCTTTGCTCCTTTTTGCCAAGAACTCGGGCACAGAGCTAAGCAGCCAGGATGAAATCCTGACTAGCGATGTCGGATGGAGCTATCAGCTTATCCTCCTAGAGCCTCAATTCCCTCAGCCACTCAAGAGCAGGCACTGTAGCCTCCTCTGCTCTTAGCATAAAACCCCGAAACATAGTAGATGCTCAAATAATATTGCTGAGCAAATGAATAAATGCTATAAGCCTATGATAAGTATCCCTCTCTTAGAGGGTTGTAATTGGAATCCAGTGTGATAATGTAGAAAAAAGCATTTTGTTAAAAGTGCAAGGAGGTGTTAATATTTTCATTATTTTCCTCTCTTCTCTTTCTCATCCACCTCAAAAAAAACCTGACTTTGTACAAAAAGGTCTATACAGGACTCACCTAGCCTGGCTCAGAACACTTGAACACTTGGGGATTTCTGAGAAAATGGGAGAATCTTTTTTTTTTTTCTTTTTTGAGACGGAGTCTTGCTCTGTCACCCAGCCTGGAGTGCAGTGGTGTGATCTCGGCTCACTGCAAGCTCCAACTCCCAGGTTCACGCCATTCTCCTGCCTCAGCCTCCTGAGTAGCTGGGACTACAGGTGCCTGCCACCACGCCTGGCTAATTTTTTGTATTTTTAGTAGAGACAGGGTTTCACCACGTTAACCAGGATGGTCTCGATCTCCTGACCTCGTGATCCACCCGCCTCGGCCTCCCAAAGTGCTGGGATTACAGGTGTGAGCCACCGCGCCCGGCCGAAAATGAGAGAATCTTAAGAAACAAGTCCTAGATCAAAGTCTGTCTTGGTTAGCTGGGGCTGCCACAACAAAAACACCACAGACTGGGCTTAAGGCTTAAACAACACATCAATTTTCTCACAGTTCTGGAGACTAGAAGTCCAAGATCAAGATGCTGTCAGGGTTGGTTTCTGGTGAGGCCTCTCCTGGCTTGTAAGTGGCCTCCTTCTCATTGTGTCCTCACACAGACTTTCCTCTGTGTGTGCATGGACAGAGTGAGAGATCTGTGGTGTCTTTCCCTCTTCTATAAGGCCACCAGTCCCATTGGATTAGGGCTCCATCCTTAGAACCTCATTTAACCCTTATTACATCTCTAAAGGCCTTATCTCCAAGTACAGTTACATTAGGGGTGAGGGCTTTAATGTCAGAATTTTGGAGGGACCCAATTCAGTCCATAGCACCAGTCATATTAGGTTAGGGCCCATCTTAATGACCACTTTAACTTGATTATCTCTGTAAAAAAAATCCTGTCTCCAAATAAGGTCACATTCTGAAGTACAGGGGCTAGGACTTCAACATATGCATTTTGAGGGACACAGTTCAACCCCTAACAAGATCTAAGGAGGATTCCAGAATTGCCCTTCGGTCTTGAGACCACAAACATAGCCTCCCCTCTCATGATTTATGCCACAGCAGAATGTCAGCATGACAGTGTCATCTGTCCCACATACATCCTCAGATCTCCAACTGACCGTGTCACTCTTGGCATCATTCCCAGGCTCATCCATCCCCAGTTCTATATACCAGCACTTGTTATTGGCTTTTTCTCTGCCTAAACCACTTGCACAAGGGTCTAGTGGCCCATTCAGACTCTAATGTCTGGTTTCCTAACCCCAGCCTTCTGTTAAGTGAAGAAATGCACGTATCTTTGATTTGCCATGACTCACTGGGGTATATTAGTTTGTGTTACAGTTACTAGCAATTCCAAAATCCCAGTCACTTAAGACAACAAATTTGTTTAACTAATCTATATGCCTAATGCTGTTGGGCATCGGGCTGTGCTCCACACGTCATTCAGGGACCCAGGCTGATGTAAGTTCCACCAGATCATGACATCACCATCTCCGGATTCAGCAGAGGGGAAGGTTGGCGGGGTCGGGGGAGGGGGGCAGGAGGGACATGGAGAAATACACACCTACTCTTAAGTGCTTACATGTCATTCCTGGTTACACTCCACAGCCAGAACTAGCCACTTAATTCTGACTAATTCTTTCATGTGAACAGAAAAAGGAAGATGTTTGGAAATATTGATGAGCACTAATAATGTCTATCAAACTCACACTTTCATCTAATAACTATGAACCCTCCCCAGCCAGGAGAGCCTCCACATTCCCTGCTGGAGACAAAATATTCGCTTAAACATTCTCAACATACACACCCCAAAATGGGCAAGGAGCCACTCCTTATTTCTAAGGCAGTAATTTCAACATTTTTCTAATATGTGATCCAGCGATGAAAAGGAGTAATTCCAACTTTCATCTGCCCAGTAACTGGAAGTGCCTCCACCTGCCTAGAGACAGAGCTCCTCTGCCCTTTCCTATAGCAAGGTATTCCATGGTTGAGAGGACCAACAGGAAAAAGAAAATCATCCGCCTCACCACTGCTCCCAACCCCCCAGGACGGCTTACTCTGGAGAGCACTTACACGCACCCACTGTTTCCCCTCCTCCCAGGGCCCCAATCCCACTCAGCCAAGGAACACAAAGATAAATAATTCGAGACAAGGCATGCTGCCGTGCTGCTGCCATTGCCAGGATTTAGTGCACACATCGCTCATGCTCCTCTTGCTGCCACGAGAAAAATTACAAATTGATCCACAGGACCTGACTCCCTGCTCACATACTTCTCCTGGGCTGCCGTTGCTGCTTCTCTCTATAAGTAATGGCTAAGATGGTGACAGTAGAATTTAGGTCTGGTATAGGGGTGGGGGGATTGAGGATGGTAAGCACAGAGTGTGAGAAAAGTTGACAGCGGGAGGAGGAGGGGCCAAAGAGCCGGGGCTTGACCTTAATGCAAGACGCTGGGATACTCAACCAAGAGTTCCCATGGAGGAATAAGGCAAGCACCTTGCTGCTCAATAGGCAGAGATGTTGTCTTCTACCTCCTTTAGAGTAAGAGCATAAAAATACTATTAGCCACCAATTTTTAAGCCTTTATTTTGTGCTAAGTACTGTTCTAAGTGTTTAATGTGCAGCAACTCATTTGAACCAGTTCGAATTCAGCTTGGCTAGGAGTGGTAGTAAACCCAAGACAACAGCGATTTAGGTAAGCTAGGTGTTTATTTTAGATCCAGAGGTAAACTCTCTAGGGCTAGTATGCATATCACAGTGTTTAAACCTAGGTCCCTTCTATCTTATCTTATTTTATCTTATTGCTCTACCTGCCTGCCTTCCACTTCCAAAGTTACTTTATGCTCCATGGTGACTACTCCAGCTCCAGCCATGTCTGAACTCCTGCTAGCAGAAAGGAAGTAAGAGGAGAAAAGCATGCACCCTCTCTTTAAGGGCATGTCCTAGAAAGTGCACATACTTCTATTTGCATTTGATTGGTCTGAACTTAGCCACGTGGCTGCACTAGCAAGGGAGGCTGGGAAATGCAGTCCTGATTCCAGGCAGCTGTATGATCAACTAGCATTTGGGAGTTCTATCATTGTAGAAGGACAGAAAGTGACTGATGGACAACTTGCAGCTCAGTCTCATCATTCATCTCACAACAACTTTTTGAGGTAGTACTGCTATTAAATGCCTTTTACAGGTGAGGTAACCAGCACACGAAACTTTCACATGAAACTCCCTGATCAAAATCATTTTTATCCTTCAAGTTACTTAATGAAAATCAATGACATTTTACCTTGCATTAATATTAAGTGTTTACCTATCTGGCTGCCACAAGAGACTATGGCTCCTGAAAGGAAGGGCTATATATGTAATTCATCTCTACCTGGTGCCTAATATCATGCCCAGTATGACAGAGATGTTCAGCAGATAAACATCTGTCGTATTAGATAAAATACAATCCTTTCCCTTTGCTCTGTCATTATCACCGTCATTATCAAAAACCTATTAATCAGCTGTTAACATGCATTAGCATTCATATTTCAAGATAAATAGATGTAGCACCCACTGTCCAGGAAGTTATAGTCTAAATCTGGGAGAACCTGAAATAGAATAACATTCACCTCTTTCCCAACCCTCTTATCTAGAGAAGCGAGATCCTGCTCTCCTGGTGGAAGAGCCCTCCCTGGGCTTTCTTGCCAGAAGGGATGAATTCCTGCCACCCTAGGGAAGAGAAGCAGAGCTGCACCCAAGAATAGGAAACTGCAGCTCAGCATCCTTCACAGCCCCACCACCCCCGGGAGCTGATGAGGCTGAGCAGTTCAGGCAGAGTTCATCTTAAGTGACTCCCTCATCACCCTGCTCTCAGCCCATTCTTTGCGGCATTTGCAATTTCTCTGCTCCGGGGGTCAAGTCTCCAGTGTGCCCTCCCTGAGTAATTGTGAAATTATTATGGTTGGTGATTTTAATTTAAATTGGATGGAGAAATGTCATACTGCGGTCGACTCATTTGCTATGGATTTTCACTTAACCAAACTGATTAGTCAACCAACTAGACTTAACTTGAGAGTTGTAATCATTCATTATTAGATCTCATTTTTCCCAACGCACCCAGATGATGTCAAGAAATTAAAACTGCAGCAAAAACTTTAGCAGTGTCTTCACATCAAGGCAGTGGGGTCTCTGCCTGAAAGGCCCCAGAGATGGAAAAGGCTGTAGAAATCCGTCGGGGAGCCACAAGGGCCAAATTGCTGGGCCAAGAGTGGACAAAAGAAATGATCTGGGAGTTTATCTGGAGGAAACCAGGCTATCAGAAATTGAGCTATGCCTCCTCCCCTCCCCATGTGTCAAACTTCTACTCATCCTTCAAGATCCCTTCAGCTGCTACCTCTTTTATGAAGCCTTCCGTGACTTCCCAGCCGGAGTAATTTCCCATTTTTTCCATTCTTGTAGTACATCTCTCTTATAGGAATTACTAAGTTACTAATTCGTGTTATTATTGTTTGAGTACCTTTTCTGAACTATAAGCTCCTTAAGGCCATGGTCAATTTCAGTTTTGTATCCTGGCTTCTATCACTATGCTTAGCACAAGGCAGGCACTCTATAAATGTTTCTCAGTGGATTTGGATGAGTGAATAAATTGCCTAAAGGGCAATTCATGTGGTTAGGCACTGGGATAGATTTTATAAGCAAAGCAAAATTTATCACCATAGATTCTATCTGCACAAGAGTGGGAGAGAAATGGCCCAACTGCGACAGGTATAAATCAGACCTAGAGGTTAGAGTGGACATTATGCTGAGTGTGACTCACCTGTACACACTGGCTGCCAGCAAAGCTAATGTGATCACCAATTGCTTCAATAACACTAAAGAGCCTATCCAGGGCCAGGCACGATGGCTCACGCCTGTAAGCCCAACACTTTGGGAGGCCAAGGTGGGCAGATCACTTGAGATCAGGAGTTCAAGACCAGCCTGGCTAACATGGTGAAACCCCGTCTCTACTAAAAATACAAAAAAAAAAAAAAAATTAGCTGGGCATGGTGGCAGGCACCTGTAATCCCAGCTACTTGAGAGGCTGAGGCAGGAGAATCGCTTAAACCCAGGAGGCAGAAGTTGCAATGAGCCAAGATTGTGCTACTGCACTCCAGCCTGGGTGACAAAGTGAGACTCTGTCTCAAAAAAATAAAAAGTCTATCCAGAAAAAGTGACAGTCACTCAGCTTCTGCCCCAGACAGACTAACCCTGGGACAAAGCTTAGAAGGTCATCACTTAGAAGTCATCACTTAGAAGTCGTCACTGCTGACTGAAATCTGGAAACAGAGGCCTCATTTGGACAGGGGCACCTGCATGGGCTTGCAACCTGTGTGGCTGCTGCTTAGAAGGCATCTGTGGTTTAATGCGGTCTGTTGCCACCATCTTGAAATTCCTCATAATTTTTGAATAAAGGGCCTTGAATTTTTATTTTGCCCCAGGAAGCTCCATAAACTATGTAGCTGGTGCAGTATATGGTGAAACCATCTCATATGAGAAATGGCTGAAGAAACTACCATGTTTTACCTGGAGCAGGTATGATGTCCTAACTGTCTTCAAATGCCTAAGGACAGCCATGTGGGAGAAAAATGAGGCTCCTTCTGGATGCCCCAGAGGACATAACCAGAGCCACTGGGTTGAGATTCGTTCACATTGGGGTTGGTCTTGGTGGGGGTATGGAGCACTTTGCGTTGACTACAATTATTTGAGAAAGACACCCAGATGGTGATGTGCAGTCTATCACCAGAGACTTCATGCTGAGACTACATTTGGTACAGGATATTGTGGAGCAGAGGTGGAAGCATCAGATGGGGGTTGGACTGAAAGATTCATAAAATCCTTTCCAGTGCTTTGATTCTATGCTTCCAAACCTAGGCAGCCCCCTTTCTAAAGCAGAGTAGAGGCAAGTGGAAAGGCATCAGGAGAGTAGAGGGGGAGAGAAATCTACTGTCTGAGCTAAGTAGATGTGGACCTGTGACTCTTGATTTAGAACAGGTGCAGCCAGAGATGAAAAGAGGCAGCTTTACAGTTGGCCCTATCTCTAGATCTTTCTCAACAGTGTTCCCTCCTGTTGCCCAGGTAGGATGCTTAACCTCCATGAACAGTGTTACTAGTCAGCACTTTTCTACCCCACCCTAGCCAAGAAACACACCCCAGATGGATTTAATCACCTACCTAGGGTGTCCTGGGGGCTGTGGAGGAGTTAGAAGTGGCTACAGAGAAGTCAACTGCATGAACATCCTCAAAGTTGTCTTAAGTGGCTTTAATCCAGAAAGATCCAGGGATTCTCAACACATGAAAAATAAGTTCAGGGCCAATCGCTTCCTTCCTCACTCCTGGAATCATTTTTCCAGCTCTGCTGTCTGCACACCCCATGGGAGCTATTCATTAATGAGGATGAGAAATGCCTAAATTACACCTCTGGTTCATGTCCAGCTCATTCAGGTGGTAAGAAAGTGAGATAACTCACTCCTGCATCACTTCGATTATTATCATCAAGTCATTTCCCCTTCAGCACAGAGAAGCCATTGACCAGGGGACCAAAACTGCATCCTTCCCTCCTCATGTCTGCATCCCACTCTGACCGCCAGGCTCTTCCTTTCCATTCCTGTTTTCTTTATCAATGGAAGCTTTGTTTCCCTCTTCTACCTGGGCACTAGATCTTATCTGTCCCTGTCTTGTTATAAGATCAACATCGAGCACTTTCGATGGTCTTTTCCTGGAGCACAGCAGTTTCATGCTCACACTCATTGCAATTGGGGGACTGGGGAGGGACTGGTAGTGCAACTGGTACCCTCCTCCTCTCCCCACCCCATCTGCCCACTGCCACTCCAACTTCAGATGGACTCTGAAAACTGCCACCATTTGGGGGAGAACGGAAGGCAGAGAGGAAGGTGCTGAACAAAGGCTTTATTCAAACTCTTGCAGGCTAACATCTCCGAAAAGCTTTTAACAGAGACCATCATTTCCCTCCAAGAATCAATGCATTTTAATTCATACGAAGATATTTGTCTGCTGCTCCATTCCTTCGAGGCGCAGAGACACGTTGAACAAAACAAGTCAGCCTCGCGTGGAGACAAACGCTCCAGCTTCTCCCTGAAATTACTGGAAGTTCATTTTCAAAAGCCGTCCTGTTTTCTGGGAATCAATGCGTATCAACTAAAATCAATAGTTTCTCCGTGCGGATGGGCTGAGACACCAAACTGATTTAGCGTTCCAGTGCATTTGTATCCAAATCTAGACGTTCTCAACAAGTCAATGAATTTAAGCGTCTGCCAGTGTCTTTTCACTTAAAACTAATCTGTTTGCTGATCGGACTGTACATTTCCAGAGTGCGTAGTAATATAGTCTGTGTGTTTACCAGATCCAATGTACATTAACTCAAATCAAAATATTTCCACTTAAGTTAAAATCGAGTTTGTCCGGACTTCAGCAATGCTCACGGGAATTAACTCTAGCCCAGCTCTCTGGGAGGACAGGCTTGATCCCCTCCATCTGGTGCCGGGGGGGTGGAACAAAATGCTTCCTGCTTCTCTGGACCATAAACTGGAGGATTAGAAGGGCCTCAGAGGGACTTATTTGGTCTACCCGTCTGCTTCCAAAACTCTAGATTCCCTCTAAGCCATTCCACAAAAGAGGGTCCCTGTCTTCTGTTCCCGGAAATCACCTAGGAGAGTCCATCTGTGGTCATTCATTCCTGCATGACATGGTGTTCAACCAAGGACTGTTCTCTAACCAGCCACTTGCAGAGCACCTACTACACACAAGGCTCTGTGGAGATTCAAAGAATTAAAAAGCAGTCCCCGCCTTTTAGGAACATATTATCTGGCGGTGGAGAGGCCCTCATCCATGCTCAGATGGTCGGTCAACAAATATTTCTTGACAGCCCAGTTGCTCCTATTCTGTGCTAGGCACAGACAGTGATGAACATTTCCAGCAAAGTCCATTCCCTACAACCCAACCCACCCCTGCCCCAAGAGAAACATTAAGAAAATCAGCACACGAAACCAATTATTCATTATATGTGTGTGCCAAGGGCTGAAGGAGGAAAATGAGAGAGCTAGAGGGCAAATAATAGCATCTTAGTGAGTGGTGCAGTGGGAAGTGGGGCAGGGGCTGTACCTACCATGCACCAGAGCTTATACCAGCACTTTTCCCTTCACTTACAATACTTTGTATAATCCTGACAAGGCTAGAAGAAGTTGCTAGTATCCCCATTTTGCAGGTGAAGAAACTGAAACTCACAGGTTGCCTAGTAGCTCAACACTGGGACCCGCACCTTCCCTCTGCTCTGCCACCTGTCCCTCACATGCAAAATGAATTAACAACACTAGCCAACCTGTGATCCCAGAGCAAGTCAGACAAGGAGAAGCAGATGGTTCTGTCTGGATTTAGAAGAGGAAAGAGCCTGGGTGCTCAGGTCTGCATCAGGGAAGCCTTCCCAGGGAAGGTGGCTCTGGAACTAAGTCAGAGAAATACCAAGGAAGGGAAAGGTCCCAGACAAGGGGCACAGCTGGGGCCAGAGCACAGAAGTAAGAATAGATTCTGTTTCAGAGGCAAGGAGTGAGGAAATCAGGCCAGGCTGAAGTAGTGGCTTTGGGTAAGGAGGTCATAGGAGACAAATCTGAAAAAGAAGCATGAACCAGGTTCTAGAAGACCTTAAATGTCCCACTATGGATGTGTTCTTTGATTGGATCCCAGGTCCCAAAGCTGCTGTAGGGCTTGCAGAAGCAGAGAGGCAAGAATACTCTACCAGCACCAAAGCCAACTGAACCCGGACCTCCCTTGATCCAGCAGGGTCCCCCTTCCCCACTTCCCCCTGGTACTAGCAGCCTGGTGAATGCTGCTGAGGGAGGCTGGTCCCCTGCTCTGAGAAGCCTCAGAGCATCACCATGGAGATGCTATGCCAGCCACACAAAAGGAGCTGCAAGCTCCCGAGCTCACTTGGGACTCCAGCTAACAAGGAGGTGGCAAAAGTGTTTCATTTTCTCTCTTCTTTTTGCTCTCTCTCAAAAAC